>NC_000010.11:30010000-30314282 GCF_000001405.40 Homo sapiens | reverse complement strand
ATACTTTTGTCGGTTGAGTTAGTCCAGATACCTCTTCTCTGAGCAATGACATCATCATCCATAGATGATAAGCCCTAAGTTATTTCTCCAAAGAACACTCATAAAACTTACAACAGGGAAAAAAAAAACAAAAAATGAGAAGTACACACACCCACCATGCATACATACTCAATCCCCTGAGAAAGAAATTCTTTGCTATGTAAAGTTAATGCTGGTGTTTTATGTGTTTTGACATTTTATTGAGTTAACTGTTTTTATATTTAAGCCCTTCATGTACTTACTCATTTTTTCTTCTGTGTAATAATCTATAGGGAAGGGAGCAAAACAAACCTGATTCTTCTCCTCTGTACATTCAGAATCCATTTGAAACTTCTCTCAACATAAGCAAAAATGTAAGTCAAAGCCAGCTGCAAAAATTTGTAGATTTGGCCCGAGAAAGTGCCTGGATTTTACAACAGGAAGATACAGATCGACCTTCCATATCAAGTAATCGGCCCTGGGGGCTGGTATCCCTATTGCTACCATCTGCTCCAAACAGAAAGTCCTTTACCAAGAAGAAAAGCAATAAGTTTGCAATTGAAACAGTCAAAAACTTGCTAGAATCTTTAAAAGGTAACAGAACAGAAAATTTCACAAAAACCAGTGGGAAGAGAACAATTAGTACTCAGACATGATGGCTGCTACATTGTGTAAAGAACTGGGCTTAGCCTATCAAATGGTCTGTGGACTTACTTGGAAAAACTGATTTGAAACTTTCACAGATCTCAGCTTTCATCTGATGTCACTTTTCATGATCTTCTCATTGGCCCCCTTAACCTGGTCTGAAGTTCTGGGATGTTTTCAGTTTGATCAGTCTGATACTCAGTGGCACTTTATTAAAACATCAGCTGTGGAGTGTGGCGGTGCACACCTGTAGTCCCAGCTGCTCAGGAGGCTGAGGCAGGAGGATCTCTTGAGCCCAGGATTTTGAATCCATCGTGGACAACATAGCAAGATTCCATCTCTAAAAAAAATGAAAATAAACATAAGCCACAAGGAATGGGTGAAAGATTATTGTAATGTGCTTTAACTAAATAGGTAAATATACTAAACAAATGCTAAAACTCAGTTTTAGGATGAAACCATTGTTGATATCCACATCAGTCCCTGTTTAGAAAACATTTAAAATGACTTTTAGTTATGTACAGTACGTTGGCAATGAATACATTAAGCTTCAAAATTTGGTAGTGCTCTCGAATATGTATATTTGTATTTTTCAAGCGAAGTTCTCTTATTCACATATAAATTAAAGTGGGTTGGTACTGATATCAAAAAATGTTTATGTTTTTAGAACAGACATTTCAGTCACTGCATTCTTAGGTATTCCAAACCAAATATGATGACATCAATAGATTGCATTTTAAAAATATTGTTTGATTTTTCTATTTTCAAAAATAAAATTCTGTTTCTAACTAAAATGTGATATTCCCAGTATTCCTTCACATCTCTTTTGAGAACTCCCCTCTTCCTGCAGGAAAGAGACATATTTGTCTCTCAGTATATGCAGAAAATTGGTTCCAGGACCATCCACGTACACCCAGATCTGCACACACTGAACTCCTTCAGTCCTGTGGAGCCCGTGCATGGGAGAATTCCACCTTGCACATAAGCAGATTTTGCATCCTGTGAAAGTACTGTATTTTCTTTCTTTCTTTTTTTTTTTTTTTTTTTTTTGAGACAGAGTCTCGCTCTGTCGCCCAGGCTAGAGTGCAGTGGCGCAATCTCGGCTCACTGCAAGCTCTGCCTCCCAGGTTCACGCCATTCTCCTGCCTCAGCCTCTCTGAGTAGCTGGGACTATAGGTGCCCGCCACCACGCCCGGACAATTTTTTTGTATTTTTAGTAGAGACAGGGTTTCACCATGGTCTCGATCTCCCGACCTCGTGATCAGCCCACCTCAACCTCCCAAAGTGCTGGGATTACAAGCGTGAGCCACCATGCCTGGCCGAGAATACTGTATTTTCAATCCAAGTTTGGTTGGAAAAAATCTGTGTGTAAATGGACTTCGCAGTTGAAACCCATGTTGTTCAATGGGCAACTGTATATTGAAATTTAATTTCCATTACATTCTCTGTGGAGCAACTTTTTTGCTTTGTTTCGTTTTGTTTCTGAGACGGAGTTTTGCTCTTGTTGCCCAGGCTGGGGTGCAATGGCACAATCTCAGCTCACTGCAACCTCCGCCTCCCGGATTCAAGTGATTCTCCTGCCTCAGCTGGGATTACAGGCGCCCACCACCAAGCCCAGCTAATTTTTGTAGTTTTAGTAGGGACAGGGTTTCACCATGTTGGCCAGGCTGATCTCGAACTCCTGACCTCAGGTGATCGCCCACCTTGGCCTTCCAAAGTGTTGGAATTACAGGCGTGAGCCACTGCACCTGGCTTCTGTGGAGTAACTTTCTATTTAAGAAGCAAGTAAGGCCTGGGCATAGCGGCACATGCCTGTAGTCCCAGGTACTTGGGAGGCCGAGGCACAAGGACTGCTTGAACCTGGGAGGCAGAGGCTGCAGTGAGCTGAGATCACAGCACTGTACTCCATCCTGGGCGACAGTGAGACTCTCTCAAAGGAAAAGAAGCAAGTAGTATAGTGTTTAAAAACAGACTTGAGCGAGACTGGCTCAATGACAAGTTACTCAGTCTCTTGGGGCCCCTGTTTGATCTGTAAAATGGGGATCATGATCAGATCAATGTGAGGATTAAGCGAGGGATGTAGGAAAATGCTAGGTCAGTGCATTTTCCTGGCGCGAAGTAAATGTTACTTCTCTTTAACTGTTGCCTTTCGGTGTTTGTGGTATGTAATTACCTTTTTTGCTACTCAAAATTCAGATTTAGAGTTTGTAGTACTTTAAAAATTTTTCCCATTTAAATTTTATGTCAGAAATTATAATGGGTTCTGCATGGGATATTTTAAGAAACTCAGCATTGTTATGAAGCAAATGAATTCTGTGTCCTTGTGTCTGTGCTATTGGATTGCACATTTGACACCAACAAATATCAGTGTTCTGTACAGGCGATGTCTTTAAAAGCCATTTTTCATTTGTTCTTTATTTTGTTGGGCTAGAAATCCATATTGATTTAAAAAGCTTAAAAAGCATAAACCACTTAAGGGTTTCTAAATGAAATTTTTTTTTCTGTTCACAGATATTTAGTCAGATATTTTCTTTTTTAGGTTGGTGCTAGGTGTAATATGGTTATTTAAGCACATAAAGTATGTGTATGGGTTAGCATTTTCTTTTCTTTTTGGTAATTTGTAGGACAGCCTTGACACTAGGCTGTTTTACTTTTCAGAATCAGATTTAATTATGTGATTAATTTTAAATCTACAAAGACTTGTTTTTTGTTTTTTTTTTTGAGAGCAAATCTTGCTCTGTCACCCAGGCTAGACTGCAGTGGTGCGATCTCGGCTCACTGCAACCTCTGCCTCCTGGGTTCAAGCGATACTCCTGCCCCAGCCTCCCAAGTAACTGGGATTACAGGCGCCTGCCACCATGCCTAGCTAATTTTTGTATGTTAGTAGAGACGGGGTTTCACCATGTTGGCCAGGCTGGTCTTGAATTCCTGACCTCAAGTGATCTACCTGTCTCAGCCTCTCAAAGTGCTGGGATTACAGGTTACAGGTGTGAGCCACCGCACCTGGCCTACAAAGACCCTTTTTTTTTTTTTTTTTTGAGATGGGTCTCCCTCTGTCACCCAGGCTGGAGAGTGCAGTGATCTTGGCTCACTGAAACCTCCACTTCCCGGGTTCAGGTGATTCTTCTGCCTCAGCCTCCTGAGTAGCTGGGATTACAGGTGCATGCCACCACACCTGGCTAAGTTTTCTATTTTTAGTAGAGATGGGGTTTTACTCTGTTGGCCAGGCTGGTCTCGAACTCCTGACCTCAGGTGACCTGCCCACCTCGCCCTCCCAAAATGCTGGGATTACAGGCATGAGCCACCACGCCTGGCTGCAAAGACCTTTTAATACACAGTTTTAAAGTCTGTTCAACTGAATATAGACTACAGACAAATATATTTTCTCATAACTTTAGTGTATCACAACCCAGATTTTTAAAATATTTTTATTACGTGATAGTGATAACTAGCAATTATTTGTCATTGCTGTTTCTTAATTAAAAATAATTGCAATGTTAAGTAAAACTTTTTTCAAGTTTTTTTCTTCTATAACTATTACTAGGCTTTCATTCAGTAGCTTTCACCTGTAATGAGTTTTACTAAGTATGTGAAAGTAATTTTGATAGGAGACTACCCAGATCAAAACGATTTCAGCTATAGCCCACTAGTATAATTCCTGGAGCTATTATCCATCTTTAGAAAATTTGAGAATTAGCCAGAGACTTTCTAGGAAATAACGATTAGCCTGAAACGTTATAGGAAAACTGTGTGTAATTATCTCATTCACCTTCAGTTACCATAAAGGAGAAGGGAAAATAAAGTTGAGTTGAAATAAGACTTTTTTCTGCTGTCATTTCCTATTGGCGTCTTTCTTTTGCTGTAGTCAGGTGTAGAGCTCTACTCAGGTGGCTTACGCTGTAGTCAGGTGAGAGCAGAATTAGATTGTTCCACCTCATTCCATGCTCCTAGGATTTCCTTGGCCTTCCAAGTACAGCCATATTCATCCCTTTAGAGCCTCCTGGTGCCGTGGTAGGGAAATGCTACATTTGCCTGTGTAAATAAGCAAACACTGAATATGTGCAGCAAAGCCAGAAGGAGCTTCCAAGCAGATGCATCTTGTTGAAGTAGCAACTCCACTTTGCAGAGTTTGACATTCAGTTGGTGAGTAGCTGTCATATGTTTGGAGAACTAGGGGTCCAGATTGGCTAGGATGTAGTTTTTAATGTGATACGCAGAAGTTAAGGTTGAGCAAGATGGGGAAGAACTGCCAATTTCAAGTTAAGGAGGTTGAGTATATCTTCATTGGTAAATCATTGATGATTTGTTGTTGTTGTTTTTGAGGCAGAGTCTAGCTCTGTTGCCCAGGCTGGAGTGCAGTGGTGCGATCTCAGCTCACTGCAACCTCTACCTCCTGGGTTCAAGCAATTCTCAGGCCTCAGCCTCCTGAATAGCTGGGATTACAGGCACACACCACCTCACCCAGCTAATTTTTGTATTTTTAGTGGAGATGGGGTTTTGCCATGCAGGCCAGGCTGGTCTCAAACTCCTGACCTCAGGTGATCTGCCTGCCTCAGCCCCTCAAAATGCTGGGATTACAGGCGTGAGCCACCACGCCCGGCCCATTGATGGTTTTCATGCAAAGGGATAATAAAAAAGCAGCTTTTAGATGATTAATCTGTTGATACCTAGTAGTTTTAGATCATGGCTTTTTTGTTGTTGTTGTTGTTGAGACACCGTCTCAGTTTGTTGCCCAGGCTGCGCTGGACTGCAGTGGCACAATCTCAGCCTCACTGCAACCTCCACCTCCCAGGCTCAAGCGATCCTCCCACCTCAGCCTCCTGGGTAGCTGGGACTACAAGTGTGCCCCACTACTCTCAGCTAATTTTTGTATTTTGTTGTAGAGACAGGGACAGGGTTTCACCATGTTGCTCAGGCTGGTCTTGAACTCCTGGACTCAAGTAATCTGCCCACCTCAGCTTCCCAGAGTGCTGGGATGACAGGTGTGAGCCACCATGCCCAGCCATGATTCCTTTCTTTTAAAAATAACAAATTTGGCCGGGCACGGTGGCTTATGCCTGTAATCCCAGCACTTTGGGAGGCCGAGGCGGGCAGATCATGAGGTCAGAGGTTCAAGACCAGCCGGGTCAACATGGTGAAACCCTGTCTCTACTAAAAATACAAAAATTAGCCAGGCATGGTGGCGAGTGCCTATAGTCCCAGCTACTCAGGAGGCTGAGGCAGGAGAATTGCTTGAACCCGGGAGATGGAGGTTGCAGTGAGCCGAGATCATGCCACTGTACTCCAGCCTGGGCAACAGAGCAAGACTCCATCTCAGCCAAAAATAATAATAACAACAAATTTGAGTACTTGAGTATAGGTTTTATCATTAAGTTAGATAAAATTTGGCTGTTAAATTTTCCACAAAAGGCCAGAAGGTGACTGTCTCTCATATGCCTCAGAAGAGTCTTTCTCCTTAGTGTTTAATAAGAAAGTAAAGCTTAAGTAGTTTAAAGCTATCAGCAGGAAGTAACAGCTCATGGCTTACATATGATTGTATGTAAAGCCTTATTAATGAAAAATTCTTTACATATATACTTGGAAAAGAATGAAAACACGACCAGAAGTCCCTTTTCATCTTGGCAAATTTATTTTAAATACTTGAAAGACTTATTTGGGTTTCCACAATGAATTCAATTACTTGTGGATACGGATTCCAAAGAATATAAACATTACAGTGTTCCTCTGGAATTCCCATGTAGCAACTATCAGAAAGTACTGTAGATAGAATCTTTAATCTATAGTATTTGTGATACAGGATATATCAAATCACCACAAATTATTAAAAAATGTACTTTATCTTTTAAATGTGATTGCTCGTGTTTTATGTTATCTGTGTGTGTATCCACCCCCTTTCGGTACTCAGTGGAGTCAAAGCTAGATTAAAAGCATTATTCATTTTTCTAAGATGAATATGTTGCAAAAATTTTCCCCCATAGCAGAGTTTCTAAGCTTCTAGAATGTGGTGCTAAGGCATATTTTAAAGAGAGTATTAAAAAGGTCTAACTTGGCCGGGCGCGGTGGCTCACGCCTGTCATCCTAGCACTTTGGGAGGCCGAAGCGGGTGGATCAGTTGAGGTCAGGAGTTCCAGACAAGCCTGGCCAACATGGCAAAACCCCGTTTCTACAAATACAAAAATTAGCTGGGCATGGTGGCAGGCACCTGTAATCCCAGCTACTCGGGAGGCTGAGGCAGGAGAATCGCTTGAACCTGGGAGGCGGAGGTTGCAGTGAGCTGAGATTGTGCCACTGCACTCCAGCCTGGGTGACATCAGGACTCTACCTCAAAAAAAAAAAAAAAAAAAAGAAAAGAAAAAAGAAAAAATCTAACTTGAAACTCTAGATACTATACTATGATGAATACATGGTATGGGGAAAATACCTAATTTGGAACAGGCCAAGTCTAAATTAATGAAAAGTAGGCCAGGCCCAGTGGCTCACTCCTGTAATCCCAGTACTTTGGGAGGCCAAGGCAGGCGGATCACTTGAGGTCAGGAGTTCAAGACCAGCCTGGCCAACATGGTGAAACTCTGTCTCTTCTAAAAATACAAAAATTAGCTGGGCGTGGTGGCACATGCCCAATCCCAGCTACTCGAGAGGCTGAGGCAGGAGAATCATTTGAACCTGAGGGTTGGAGGTTGCAGTAAGATGAGATCACTCCACTGCACTCCAGCTTGGATGACAGAGTGAGACTCTGTCTCAAAAATAAATAAATTTAATTAATTATTAGTGAAAAATAAAATTATAGGTTGTTACTTTTGCCTGGGTTTATTTTGAAGTGTGGCACATTGAAAAGTTACTGTAATGGATGCTGTCAAATAAAATGGAGCAAACTAATGAAAAGATTCCACATTAAGCCTGCATCATGCTCCGTGTCACTAAAATTCTTTAACATGTTAAACTTGTTGGGTACAACGGAAGTCTTACGTTTCTGAAGCTTTTCCTCTTATAAAATTAAAGCATATTGACATTTCTCTCTAGTTCTACCCTGTCTTGAAAACTGGAGTAAAAGGGGTGGGTTATGAAACTGGCTGATTAGCAAGGAAAGCAAGCTCACTAATAATTGTATGAAACTTTACTATGGAGAATTTTGAACACAGGCAAAAGTAAATTGAAAAGCGTAATGAACTTGGCACACATCCGTCACCTCTTTCAACAATTAATTCATGGCCAATTGCTTTTAATTTATAACCCCATTAACTTACCACTTCTGTATTATTTTAAGCAAATTCCATTCTGCCATTTCATCTGTAAGTATGTAATATTTCTAAAAGATAACTTTTGTTCTAATATAATCACAAAATCATTGTCAGACCAAAATGGAACAAACAAAAACAGTAATTCTCTAATAATATCATCGTATTTGATTACTGTTCAAGCTCCCCATTGTCTTGTGGATATCACGATGGCTTTTTCCTAGTGCAATTGTTTGAATCAGTATCCAATTAGAGTCCACATATTGTGATTGGATGGTCTGTTTCTTAACTCTCTTAGATTCCAGGTTTATACTTCATCTCTTTTTTCGCTTGCAATTTATTGAAGATAGGGGATTGTCTTAGGGAGTTCCTACAACATAGATTATGCTGATGATGTCAGCACATATGATTGTTCAACATTGTTCACATAAGCTGTTCAACATTACTTAATGACTTGAAAATATTTTTTATTAGTTGTAGAAAACTCAACAATTTTCAAATATTGCTTTGGCTACATTCACCTTCATTCCTCTGGGATTCCACTTAACATTTATTAGGTCTTTTTGCTTAATTCCCTATGTCTCTTCTATACTTTCCTGTATTTTCTACTCTTGTGTCTCCCTTCACTCCAAGAATTTACTTCTTTTTTGTTTGTTTGTTTGTTTGTTTTTGAGACAGGGTCTTGCTCTGTCGCCCAGGCTGGAGTGCAGTGGCATGATCTTAGCTCACTGCAACCTCCGCCTCCGGGGTTCAAGCAATTCTCCTGCCTCAGCCTCCTGAGTAGCTGGGATTACAGGCACCCACCACCACACCCAGCTAATTTTTGTATTTTTAGTGGAGATGGGGTTTCACCATGTTGGTCAGGCTGGTCTTGAACTCTTGACCTCAGGTGATCCACCCGCCTCGGCCTCCCCAAGTGCTGGGATTACAGGCATGAGCCACTGTGTTTGGCCAGAATTCTGACCTATATAGCAGTTTATCAACTTTTTTCATCTGTGTCTAATTTTAAAAATCCATTTATTGAATTCTCAATTTCAGTATATTTTTTTCAGGTTGACACAGTTATTTTAAAGCCTGTGTCTGAGAAGTTGATCATGTGGTTCCCCTGTGGGTCTGTTTCTGTTTTTCATGATGTTGACTTCTCTCCTGGTATACCTGGTGGTGGCAGTGGTGGCTTTGTGTGTTGATACTGGATGGGAGAAATAGTAGGAATTACTTCGAGGGAGGATGATGTTTTCTCTTCCTTCAGAAAGGATTTACTTTTGTTTCTGGGGGATGGGTAGGGGTATTTATGATCCTGGATCACTTTAATCCAGAAAGGGTTTGAGATTTTGAAGTTGGATTCAATTCCAGATTCTAGTTCATCATTAACTTGCACTGTGGTGGGGAAGATCTCAGTCCAAAACCTGGAGTGCTGACCAGGGTCCCTTTTCCTTGGTGGGCCCTGAAGTCCTTTTTGTCTCCTATCCCTGCAAGTTTTTTGAAACCTCTGCTCCCCTCTGATCTACTTCATCAGCAGATGTCCCTAGCGGGTAGCAACCCCAAATGCTAGGCTCACTTGCTTAAGTCTACTTCTTCACAATTTTGTAATTTTTCACTCCTTTGTTAGCAGTCGGATGCTTTCAAGCAGCTGTTTTTGTTTTTCCAAGCTTCTTTCTCTCTCTTTCCTTCCTTCCTTCCTTCCTCCTTCCTTACCTTTTCCTTTCCTTTTCCCCACCCCCGTCTCTCTCTCTCTCTCCCCAAGCAGCTGTTTTTGTTTTTCCAAGCTTCTTTCTCTCTTTCTCTTTCTTTATTTCTCTGTCTCCCTCCGTCTTGTCTTTTCCTTTTCTTTTCTGTTGAGATGGAGACTCACTCTGTCTGCACATACCACCACACCCAGCTAATTTTTTATATTTTTAGTGGAGACAGGGTTTCGCCATGTTGGCCGGGTTAGTCTCGAACTCCTGACCTTAGGTGATCCACCCACCTCGGCCTCCCAAAGTGCTGGGATTGTAGGCATGAGCCACTGCGCCCAGCCTGTTTTGCCAAGCTTTTCTGGTTGTTTTCCTTCAGTGAGAGAGTTGATGGATATTACCTAGTCTGCCATTACTGGACATCATTCTTTTTTACTCCAGCTTCTGATCCTTATATATATTTTATCTTATAGGAATGTGTACTATTTAGTTTGCTTCCTTGTAAGAAGCTTTCAAATGTCTCATTTGCTGGTGCCTGTTCAATTAAGCTTTGGATAACAGTACAAAATTTGGCCAACATGAATGCCTAGTTCACCGCTAATGAAAGCTGGGCACTGCAAATGTTCTGCTATGCTCCAGAAATCAGAAGTTGCCAGCTTTTATATCTAGACTGTGATTTCCTCATAGAGGATTTTGTACATGCCAATTCAAAGTTTAAATTTGTGCCATGTGTGAATAAGTGCACAAAATGCTCAAATAAGAATGAGAAAAATATCTCCTTTTCCCATCCACATTGAGATACCTGAAACAACTATGAAATACAGTTTTTCTTCCAGTTTTCCGAAATACTTATCTGGGTTGAGACCAAGAATGGAGCATTTTAGGCCAAAATGCTTTTTTAAAATTTTATGATTTATGAGTTTAGAAAAAATCTCTTTTGGACTTTAAGCATATGTTATTTTTAGGATATCTTATTCATGAATAAAACAAATTTTTTACATAGGTGAAATAATTTAGGTGTTTGTATATTATGAGTCAGTTATTTCTATAATATATGACTAGTTTATATTTGTAGTTTTTCAGTTACATTCAGTAGCCCACATTTGTTTAGTAACAGAATTAACAAAAATTGCTGTTATTATTTTGAGTTAATTTTCAACTCGTATTTTTAATTTGCTAAATACATTCTAGCACTATTATATTGTCAGAGACCTTAATTCAAGTCTTTAAATATTTAATAAAATTATGTGAAAAATTGAAATTATTTGATGTTTTAATTTTGATTGCTCTGGACAAAGACAGTATTTCCATCTTGATGCTTCAGGATAAAAATTGCGTTAAACAATACTTGAATTTAAATGTGGTTTAAAATATTTCTTAATTCTAAAGCTCTCTGTAGTTCCTATTTTCTAAGCAATATTAGCTATATTGGATCTTCTAGATGAAGAAAGATTTGACTATGATTAAATATGTGCAGTGCCATCCTGGAATAGATTTTATTCATAGATTAATAAAATATGTGCAGCATGATTTAGGAGAAAATATTTTAGGACATTAAATTTAGTTACATAAGCTACAGTCTTTTAAATTCTGTGCAACTAAAATCTGTTTTGCTTTAAAAAGAAAAAATGTTCAAATTTCACTGGGAAATGTAGAGTATTTGTTTTCCAAGACGATCAAAATCATACCCAATCATACTTTTAGGAAATTTTCAAAATACTAGATATAGCCTTTCAACTTAATGACGATTGTTATTGTCTAATTTTCTTACCTGCACTTACCAGTATTCAGAACACTCTGATTTGGTTACATGTTTCTTATAGTACCTCCTTGGTTCAAATGTAATTCTTTTCTGATATTGAATAAACTGTAATGTCAAGGACCTAGCACAGTGCCTGGTATATATTTGGTAATCAATACACATTACTTTCTTTCCCTTATCATGTTCTTAGCTACTGATTTCTAAAGGTATTGAGAAATGGTAGCAAGAAAAATTTAGGAACTCAACTTCCATTCTAAATCTTTAAACTACTTTTTCTAAAAGAAAGATTCAAACTAATGCATGATGTTTTAGGCATAATTCTGTACTGACCTCCGAGACTTCTGTCCTCTGGAGCACACACCCTGGAAAATCTCCTCCCCATGAGTGTGATTGCAATCTGAATTTGATGGAATAGTCATTGCCTTGATTGGGTTGCATTAGATTGCAAAGGTGATGGTATAATTATTCCTGTGATTATGTTATATAATATGACTCCTTCTTAGTAGGCTGGAGAGAGAAATTCCTGCTGGCTTTGAAGAAGTAAACTGCCATGTTTAAGAGGGCCATATGGCTAGGACCTGAGGGTGGCTTCTAAAAGTTGAGAGCAATTTCTGCTGACAGCCAACAAGAAGTCAAGGGTATCAGTCCCAGCCAAAAGGAGACTGTGAGAGCTTTATTCATAACAAGTTTGCCACCAAAATATATGTATTGTGAAAACCACCACTAAATTAACCCATTTATGCCTAATGTTCCATTATTGGAACGCTAAGCTTGTGGGAGTCATTTATATCCTGCTCAAGGTCATTGCCAAGGTCTGATTCCACCCCCCCCACCACCCAAAATTTGCAACCTTTGGCATAAATGGGTTAAGGCCAAAATGGGAAAAACAAAGAATCATATCAACATTGCCGTCATTGGACATGTAGATTCAGGCAAGCCCACCATCTGATTGACAAAAGAACCATCAAAAAATTTGAGGGGGAGGCTGCCAAGATGGAAAAGGCCTCCTTCAAGTATGTCTGAGTCTTGTAAAAACTGAAAGCTGAATGTAAGCATGGTTTCACCATTGCTAACTCCTGTGGAAACTGGAGACCAGCAAGTATTATGTAACCATCACTGATGCTCCAAAACAGACTTTTAAAAAAGCATGATTATGAGCACATCAGAGAAACATTCTCTAGAGCTTCCATAGGAATACAGCTCTTCCAACACCCTGATTTTAGGATTTCTGGCCTCCAGAACTGTAAGATAATGAATTTGTGGTATTTTAAGCCACCAAGTCTGAGAATTTGTGCAGCAGTAAAGAAATTATGCACTCAATATCAGAAGAGCCTCTTAACATGGAAGAAACCAAAACAAAGTAACTCGAAGGACAGAAACTCTACAGGAACAAGAGCCTCTCAAAGATAAAAACTTTTCCTGTACTTGGAGGGAGAATATACTTGGAGAAACAAGTGAATGTATGCATTCATTAAAGAACAGAATCATACATATACATAGTAAACACTCAGAACAAAACATTCTTGAAAAATGAAATATAATAATGCAATTTTAAAACACAATATAAAGGCTGATGGATAAAGTTAAGGAAATTTCCCCCCAAAAAAGATTAAAGAAAGATAGTAGGAGAGAGAAAACAAGAAGAAAAAGTAAGCAAATTAAAGGAGCAAAGCAGTAGGTCCAAAATCTGAATAATAGAGAAAATCATCAACAAAAAAATTTGCCAGAATTGAAAGATACGCACTGTCAAGTTGACAGCATTCACTGAGTAACCAGCACAATGTGTAAAAATAAACTCACACTAAAGCACATTACCATGAACTTTGATGGGTGCAATTAGAAGATTCTATAGGTCTCCAGGGAGATGGGGGATGGGGAGAGAAGGAAAGATTATGTACAAAGGAACCAAAGGGCGTATGAAAAGGAATATATCAGGAATCAAAATAGGTTTGATCTTTTTAACATCATCATGGAGTAGCAAGATAATGGTCAATGCCTTCAGAGTTCTGGTGGAGAAAGAATTCTAACCTGGAATTCTATACCTAGCCAAACTGTCATAAATTGATGCTGGAAAAAATATTTTTACAGAAGTACCCTTACTATTTCACTGAGGGGTGTCTTCCATCAAAATGAAAGAGCAAATCAAGAAAGAGGAAGATGGAATTCAGAAAAAAAAAGGAGGAAATTGAAGGTAATATCATATGATAGGAGATCTCTGAAATGCCCAAGGAACAGTCCTTGAAGCTCTTTTCTTTTTTTTTTCTTATTGATTTATTTTTACAATCCCCATGGATACCATGGATGAAGCTCTTTTCTATCAACAACAACTCGCCATGAAATTATTGCCTTTTTTCAAATTGAGTGTAATTGGCATATCAGAAACCGTGCATATCTAAAATATACAATTACATAAGTTCTGACATATACACCAATCACCAAAATCAAGATACTAAATATGTTTGTCACCTCCAAAGTTTTCGTGATGCATCTTTGTATCCCTCCCTCTTCTTCCTTTCTGCCTCTGCTCCATTCCCAACCCAGGCCCTAGGCAAGCACTTAACTGCTTTCTATAACCATAGATATTTGTATATTCTAAAAAATATTATAAGGGGAAGATACAGTATGTATTCTATCTGACTTCTTTTAATCTGCTTGAGTTTCATCCATGTTTTTGCATATATTGATTGTTCAATTTTTTTTTTTTTTTGAGACAGGGTCTCGCTTTGTTGCTTAGGCTGGAGTGCAGTGGCACAATAATGGCATAGTTCAATCTTTTATTGCCAAATAGTGTTCCATTTTATTAATCATTTGGGTTGTTTCCAGTTTAGGGGCTGTTATAAGTAAAGCTGCTGTGACCGATCATATACAAGTCTTTATATGAACATATGCTTCCTTTTTCTTGGGCAAATGCCTAGGAGTGGAAGTAATGCATCACATAGTATATATATATTTGGCTTTTCAAAAAGTTGTCAAATTGTTCTCCAAAGTGGGTTTAAATTTCACTTTCTCATGATATATATATTAATAGTTCTACTTCCTCCTCACCTTCACCAACATTTAATATCATCAGGCTTTTAAATTTTAGCCATTTAATGATGTTATAGTCACTCTTTATAAGAAGGATGGACCTTCACCCAGAATTTGGTTCAGATTCCCAATATTGATAATGCCACGCACACACACATACACACCCCAAAAGATGTGACAGGACTTGTTACGTAATGAGTCTCTGAGAAGATCAGGGAAGGCTTCCCAGCTGGTTTGAAAATGGTTTGAGTGCTCGCTTCAGCAGCACATGTACTAAAATTGGAGTGATAGAGAGAAGATTAGTATAGACCTGCACAAGATGACAGGCAAATTCGTGAAGCATTCCATATTTTAAAAAAAAGAAAAAAAAAGTCTTGAGAGGCCGGGTGCAATGGCTCAGGCCTGTAATCCAAGCACTTTGGGAGGCCAAGGCAAGCAGATTACTTGGGCCCAGGAGTTCAAGACCACCTTTGGCAACAGAGTGAGACCCTGTCTCCACAAAAAATTATTTATTTATTTATTTTTTTGAGACAGGGTCTTGCTCTGTCGCCCAGGCTGGAGTGCAGTGGCATGATCAGGGCTTTCTGCAGCCTCGAATTCCTTGGCTCAAGCAATCCTTCTGCCTCAGCCCCCCAAGTACCCCTAAGTAGCTGGGACTACAGGCACACACCACCATGCCTGGCTAATTTTTCTGAATTTTAATAGAGATGGGGTTTTGCTATATTGCCCAGGCTGGTTTTAAACTCCTGAGCTGAAACGGTCCTCCTGCCTCAGCCTCCCAAAGTGTTGGGATTACAGGCGTGAGCCTCTGCACCTGGCCTACAAATAATAATTTTAAAAAATTAGCCAGGCATGGTGGCATGTGCCTGTGGTCCCAGCTACTCAGGAGGCTGAGGCAGGAGGATCACTTGAGCCAGGGAGGTCGAGACTGCAGTGAGCTGCTATTGTGCCACTGGACTCCAGCTTGGGTGACAGAGTGAGACCCCATCTCAAAAACAACAACAACAAAGAAAATGGCTTGAGAGAGCAAGGGAAGGAGACTGGCTTGGGGATTCAATGGTGATTAAGAGGCGGGTGAAGAAGTGAAGATTCTTAAACATAGGTCAGGGTTGTGTGGTTTAAACTTCCCACTGGCATTAAAGAAGGGAACACCAGTTTTCTTATCAGCTTTCCCAGTTGTTTGGCAGGAGAAGGAGAGGTGAGCGTCAAAGCTATTAGCTACCAAAATCAAAATTGGAGTCAGATACTTTATTACAAATGAGCATGTAATGGGGTCTGATTTTGGTGTTAATCTGCATTTCCCTGGTAGCTAATGATGTTTACCATCTTTTCACGTGCTTACTGGCCATATTTACATCTTTTTTATTGAGGTGTTTGGTCAAATCTTTTGCATTAAAAAATGAGTTCTCAAAGTAATAAAAGCCATATATGACAAACCCACAGCCAACATACGAAATGGGGAAAAGTTGAAAGCATTCCCTCTGAGAACTGGAAAAAGACAAGGATGCCCATTTTCACCACTTCTATTCTGTTCTATTCAACATAGTACTGGAAGTCCTAGCCAGAGCAATCAGACAAGAGAAAGAAATAAAAGCCATCGAAATTAGAAAACAGGAAATCAAACTGTCACTGTTTGCCGATGATATGATTGCATACCTAGAAAACACTAAAGACTCATCCAAAGCTCCTAGATCTGATAAATGAATTCGGTCTCAGGATTCAAAATTAGTAGGATTGCTTTACACCACCAGTCAAGTTGAGGATCAAATCAAGAATTCAATCTCCTTTACAGCAGCTGAAAAAAATATAAAAAAATAAAATAAAATAAAATAAAATACTTAGGAATACACTTAACCAAGGAGGTGAAAGATCTCTACAAGGAAAACTGCAAAACACTGCTAAAAGAAATCATAGATTTCACAAACGGAAACACATTCCATGCTCATGGATGGGAAGAATCAATACTGTGAAAATGACCGTGCCGCCCAAAGCAATCTACAGATTCAATGCAATTCCCATCAAAATATCATCATCATTCTTCACAAAACTAGAAAAAAAAAACCGCTGAAATTCATATGGAACCAAAAAAGAGCCTACATAGCCAAAGCAATGCTAAGCAAAAAACATATCTGGAGGCATCACATTACCTGACTTCAAATTATATTACAAGGCTATATTTACCAAAATGGCACGGTACTACTGGTATAAAAATAGCCACATAGACCAAGGGAACAGAATAGAGAACTCAGAAATAAACCCAAATGCATACAGCAAACTGATCTTCGACAAAGCATACAAAAACCTAGGGGACCCTATTTAATAAATGGTGCTGGGAAAACAGGTGAGCCACATGTAGGAGAATGAAACTGGATCTCCATCTCTCACCTTATACAAAAACCAACTCAAGATAGATCAAAGACTTAAATCTAAGACCTGAAACCATAAACATTCTAGAAGATAACATTGGAAAAACTTCTCTGGACATCGGCTTATGCAAAAAACTCATGACTAAAACCCCAAAAGCAAATGCAACAAAAATAAAAATAAATAAATGGGACTTAATTAAATTAAAAATCTTCTGCACAGCAAAAGAAATAATCAGCAGACAAGCCACAGAGTGGGAGAAAATATTCACAAACTATTCACCCAACAAAAGACTAGTATCCAGAATCTACAAGGAGCTAAAACAAATCAGCAAGGAAAAACAAATAATCCTATCAAAAAGAGGCAAGAGGACATGAATAGAAAATTCTCAAAAGAAGGTGTACAAATGGCCAACAAGCATATGAAAAAACACCCAACATCACTAATTATTAGGGAAATGCAAGTGAAAACCATACTGAGATACCACCTTACTCCTGCAGGAATGGCCATAATTAAAAAGTCAAAAAACAGTTGATGTTGGTATGGATGTGGTGAAAAGGGAACACTTTTACACTGCTGGTGGGAATGTAAATTAGTACAACCGCTATGGAAAACAGTATGGAGGTTCCTTAAAGAACTAAAAATGGAACCGCCATTTGATCCAGCAATCCCACTACTGGGTGTCTACCCAATGAAAAGAAGTCATTATATGAAAAAGACACATACACATGCATGTTTACAGCAGCACAACTCGCAATTGCAAAGATGTGGAACCAATCTAAGTGCCCATCAACCAATAAATGGATAAAGAAAATGTGGTATATATATACATACCATGGAATACTACTCAGCCATAAAAGTAATGAAATAATGTCTTTTGCAGCAACTTGAATGGACCTGCAGGCCATTAGTCTAAGTGAAGTAACTCAGGAATGGAAAACCAAATATCATATGTTCTCACTTATAAGTGGGAGCTATGCTATGAGAACACAAAGCCATAGAATGATACACACTGGACTTTGGGGACTTGGTAGGGAGAAGGTTGGGGGGAGTGAAAGATAAAAGACTACATATTGGTACTGCTCAGGTGACAGGTGTGCTAAAATCTCAGTAATCACCACTGAAGAACTTATCCATGTAACCAAAACCCACCTGTACCCCCAAAACTATTGAAATAAAAAAATGAGTTCTTATTGAGTTTTGAGTATTATTCATATGTTCTGAATACAAGTCCTATATCAGATAGATAATTTGCAGGTATTTTCTCCCAGTTTGTAGCTTATCTTTGAAGTCTGTTGTCAGTGTTTTTTGAAGAGCAGAAGTTATTAATTGCGATGAAGTCCAGTTTATAATCTTTTTCTTTTCTAAGTCATGATTTTGGGATCTTTGCTTAACTCAAGGCAGCAGATTTTCTCATTTATTTTCTTCTAGATGTTGTATGGTTTTACATTTTACATTTAGGTCTATAGTTCATCTGAAGTTGATTTTTATATTTGATAAGGAGTATGGAATGAAGTTCTTATGGGATACAGCAAAAGCAGTTCTAAGAGGAAAGTCCATAGCTATAAATGCCTACATTAAGAAAAAAGAGGCTGGGTGCAGTGACGCACTCCTGTAATCCCAGCACTTTGGGAGGCCGAGGCGGGCGGATCACTTAGGTCAGGAGTTCGAGACCAACCTGGAATACAAAAATTAGCTGAGCGTGGTGGTGCGCGCCTGTAATCCCAGCTACTCAGGAGGCTGAGGCAGGAGAATCACTTGAGCCCAGGAGGCTGAGGTTGCAGTGAGTAGAAATTGCACCACTGCACTCCAGCCAGGACGACAGAGAGAGACTCCATCTCCAAAAAAAGAAAAAAAAAGGGGGCTCTCACAAAGCAGCCTAACTTTACACCTAAGAGAAAAGGAACAAACTAAGCCCAAAGTCAACAGAAGCAAAGAAACAACAATCCGAGCAGAAATCAAAGAAACCGAGATGAGGAAAACAATTGGAAAGATCAGTGAAACTAAGAGTTGTCTTTCGAAAATAGAAATAAGGTTGGCAAACTTTTAGTTAGACTAAGAAAAAGAGAGGACTTTGCAGGACAGTGGCCTCTTCAGAGTGGTCTTGGACCACCTAGTTTTTTCCCTGTCTCACTTGCAGTTCTCAAGAATAACTATAGAATGTGGTAGGAATGCATTACCCTGAGGCAGGAAGAAATTGCCTGAAACAATCTGCACCGTAGTCCTGTCCTTCCTAGGGAATGTAACCTTGTAAGTTAGGGAGAAAGTACCTGAGACAGCCTGGACTTTTTTCCTCCCTCCCCTGGAATCAGGATGTCCTTCAAAGCTTTGCCCAGGATGTCATGTGGTCCTTGAGATATATAACCTGAGGTGGGCTGCCTTTCAGGGTCCCTCAGCTGTGGTGCAAATGAGGACCATGCAGTCCAGCTATTATCCATCCCATCCTATGCAGCTTTCATGAATGTTGGGGGACTGGCTCACAAGGGATTCTAGGCCTTTTTGATTGGTCCCTTGCTGTCTATCTGGAAGCAATCCATCTGCTTCATATAACATGTGTTTGTTCTGTCTTACCAGACTCAGGGAAATGGTAATTATAGACTCAAACAAGTAAAATTAGCGTGAAAGAGGAGAGCTTACAACAGATGTCACAGAAAATACAAAGGATAATAGACTAGTATAAATAATTATATGCCAACAAATTGGATAACCTAGAAGAAATGAACAAATTCCTAGAAACATACGTACAAACTAGCAAGACTAAATTATGAAGAAATAGAAAATCTTAACAGACCAATAACAAATAAGGAGATTAAATCAGTAATCAAAAACCTCCCAACAAAGAAACACCCAGGACCAGATGACCTCATTAGTGAATTGCATCACTCTTTTAAAGGAGAATTAATGCCAATCCTTCTTAAACACTAACAAAAAATTGAAGAGCAGAGAATGCTTCCCAACTAATTTTATGAGGCCAGCATTACCCTGATACCAAAGCCAGACAAAGACATTACAAAAAAAGAAAATCAAAGGCCAATATCTCTAATGAATACAGATGCAAAAATTCCCATTGAAATACTAGCAGACCAAATTCAACAGCACATTTAAAGGGTCATCCACCATAATCCAGTGGGATTTATCCCTGGGATACAAGGATGCTTCAAATAAATTAATAAATGTGATGCACCACATTAACAGACTGAAGGGTAAAGTTATATGATCATCTTGTTAAAGGAAAAACTTCAGCTGAATTACATTTAAAGGAGTTTAATTGAGCAATGAATGATTCGCGAGTTGGGCAGCCCCCAGAATCACAGCAGATTCAGAGAGACTCCAGGGGTGCCTTGCGGTCGGAACAAATTTATAGACAAAAACGTAAACTGACGTACAAAAATTGGAAGCAAGGTACAGAAACAGCTGGATTGCTTACAGGTTGGCGTTTGCCTTATTTGAACACAGTTTGAACACTTGGCAGTGTATGAGCGTTGAAGTACAATGCCAATACTTAGCTATTGTTACAGGTGCATACTCCTAATTTACGTTTTCAATGTTGTCTACCTATTAAATTAGGTTACAGTTCATCTACAAGGACTCAAATATAGAACTACGCAGTCTTTCTCAGGCCATATTTAGTTGGCCTTAATAATCTCAATAGATGCAGAAAAAGCATTTGACAAAATTTAACTTCCTTTCAGGATAAAAACTCTCACATGGCCAGGCGCGGTGGCTCATGCCTGTAATCCCAGAACTTTGGGAGGCCGAGGCGGTGGATCACTTGAGGTCAGGAGTTTAAGACCAGCCTGGCCAACATGATGAAACCCTGTCTCTACTAAAAAAGCCAAAAATTAGCTGGGCATGGCGGCGCCCACCTCTAATCCCGGCTATTCGGGAGGCTGAGGCAGGAGAATTGCTTGAACCTGGGAGGCTGAAGTTGCAGTGAGCTGAGATTACACCACTGCACTCCAGCCTGGAGGACAGAGTGAGACTCCTGCTAAAAAGAAAAAATAAAATAAAATAAAATAAAAAAACTTCTCACCAAATTGTATATAGAAGGAATGCACCCCAGCATAATAAAGGCCATATGACAAGCCCACAGCTAAAATCATTCACAAGGGTGAAAAGGTGGAAGTTTTTCTACTAATATTATGAACAAGACAAAGGTACCCACTCTCATGCTTTCTACTCAACATAGTACTTGAAATCTTAGCCAGAATAATTAAGCAAGAGGGAAAAATAAAAGACACCCAAATTGGAAAGAAAGAAATTAAATTATTTGTTTGCAGATGAAATGCCATGATCTGAAATATATAAAACCCAGCACACACCACCAAAAAACCTGTTAGAACGATCAACTTCAGTAAAGTTGCAGGATGCAAAATCAATATACAAAAATCAGTTGTGTTTTTCTTTTATATTTATTTATTTATTTATTTATTTATGTATTTACTTTTTTGAGACGGAGTCTCACTGTCACCCAGGCTGGAGTGCAGTGGTGTGATCTTGGCTCACTGCAACCTCCGCCTCCCAGGTTCAAGTGATTCTCCTGCCTCAGCCTCCCAAGTAGCTGGGATTACTGGCTTGTGCCACCATGACACCCGGCTAATTTTTGTATTTTTAGTAGAGACGGGGTTTCACCATGTTGGTCAGGCAGGTCTTGAACTCCTGACTTCAGGTGATCCGTCCACCTTGGTCTCCCAAAGTGCTGGGATTATAGGCGTGAGCCACCTCCCCCTGTCCAGTTGTGTTTTTATACACTAACAAGGAACTATCCAAAAAAGAAACTAAGAAAACAATCCCATTTACAACAGCATCAAAAACAATAAAATAGGAATACATCTGATTAAGGAGGTGAAAGATCTGTACACTACAAACTATAAGACACTGATTAAAGAAATTTAAAGTACAAATAAATGAAAAGATACCCTGTGTTCATGGATTAAAAGAATGATCATTGTTAAGATGTCCATATTACTCAAAATGATTTAGAGATTCAATGCAATCTCTATCAAAATTTCAATAATCTTTTTCACAGAACTATAAAACAATTCTAAAATTTTTATGCAAACACAAAAGAATCTGAATAGCCAAAGCAAAACATCCCACTATCTGATTTCAAAATCTACTACAAAGCTATAGTAATCAAAGTAGCATGGTATTGCAGTAAAAGCAGACACACAGACCAAGGAAATAATAGAATTTCTTTAAATACAATCTCTTCTTTGGGACCTTTTATATTGCTGCTCTTTTTTCTTTCTTCCTTTTTAGTTATCATGTGCAAGCCTGGTTGGAACGTTCCTGTAGATGTTTCCTGATGCACATATGAAAGACGTTTTCCTAGAGCATGTACCTAGGAGTGTAGTTGCTGGTTCAACTTGATGAGATATTTCCAAATTGCTTTCCAAGGAGGTTTACCAATTTGCTCTCCTATTAGCAGGATATGATTCTGCATCCTTTATAACATTTGCTTTGGTCCTGTCAGTCTTCTTTCTTTTATTTAAAAAAAAAAAGTGTTTTTTTTGACTGGGTAAAACTTTCAAGTGCTGCAAAATTCAAAACTATAAAAAAATGGAATGTAGGCCAGGCGCAGTGGCTCATGCCTGTAATCCCAGCACTTTGGGAGGCCGAGGTGGGTGGATCACATGAGGTTAAGAGTTCAAGACCAGCCTGGCCAACATCATGAAACCCCCTCACTACTAAAAATACAAAAATCAGCTGGGCATGGTGGTGCACACCTGTAATCCCAGCCACTCGGGAGGTTGAGGCAGGAGAATCGCTTAAAGCTGGGAGGCAGAGGTTGCAGTGAGCTGAGACTGCACCACTACACTCCAGCCTGAGTGACAGAGCAAGATTCCATCTCAAAAAAAAAAAAAAAAAAAAAAAAATAGAACGTGAGCATTCTATGACCCTGATCTCCAGGCAGCCCATTTACAGTTTAGAGTAGAAGTTCCTAAAGGAATCTTACATGGGTATTTTTATGTGGACACCAGCAAGTGTGTGTGTACATGCACATGCATGTGTGTGTGTGTGCTTTTTTGTTTTTTGACTTCTCAATCATTGTCTCATCGACATCCCTTTTGTCTCATCTGAAAAAATATCTTGGAGATCATTCCACATCAGTACACAGAGCTTCCTCAGTCTTTGTTTTTTTAAAACACTAACTGCTACTTGATTCTTTTATATTTTTTAAAATTTATTTATTTATTTTGAGATGGAGTTTTGCTCTTGTTGTCCGGACTGGAGTGCAATGGTGTGATCTAGAGTCACTGCAACCTCTGCCTTCTGGGTTTAAGCAATTCTCCTGCCTCAGCCTAAGCTGGGCTTACAGGCATCTGCCACCATGCCTGGCTAATTTTGTATTTTTAGTAGAGACGGGGTTTCATCATGTTGGTCAGGCTTGTCTTGAACTCCTGACCTCAAGTGATCCACCTGCCTCGGCCTCCCAAAATCTTGGGATTACGGCGTCAGCCACCGTGCCTGGCCATGACTGTTTTTTAAATTAAAAGAATAATTTTGTTTTGTGAAATGTATCATGCATAATAGAATAGAAAATGTTTATGTAAGAGCAGAAGAAGAATAAAATTAATTCCCGCATACACTTATCTCAGGCTCAGAAGAATCATGTCAGTAGCTTAGAAGCGCCCTTTGATCGTCTTCTCTATGACAGCCCCGAGCCTCCACCCCAAGGAAATTCCTCTCCAAACCTTTGTGTTAGTAATTCCTTTGCCTTTCTTTATAGATTTCCAACTTGTTTGTATCCTCAAAGGATACATTGCTCAGTTTTGACTGAATAGCAAATACAAACTTAACTGCAATAAAATGAGTTAATTGCCGGTAGGTTCCTGGGATAAGTTCAACTGAATCTCTGGGTTTAGATTCCCTGGATGTGTAAGAGCATCCCTTCTGAAAAGGTCAGGGGCAAGGCTGTTGTTGAAACCTGGAAACATGGGAGCACATCACTGAGGCATCCATTTGTGGAGCAGGGTCTGGATTCAGCAGTGATGTGGTCAGGCAAGTAGGCTACCCAGATCTTCCTGGGTCCAAACTTACCATAATCTGCCTCCAGCTCCCAAGAGTAGGTCAAAGAAGAACATTTCTCTGGGGGTGAAATGAGGATTCTCAGCTGATCCAAGTAGTAGGTCATAGAGGAGAAAAAAGAAACCTTCTCAGTACATAGACAAGATAGTCAATGAGCTCCATTGGACATGTGACCTTTGGTTTTAAAAAATGGCAGTGTGGATCTTGCTCATGACCTCCCAGGACATCCGTGGATGACGGTGCTTCTGTCTGGACTATGTTCCCTCTGTCTGGTCATTTTGAGACCTCCCTTTGTCATCCCAGGGATGCTCTTTGTCTCTCTGTTTGTGGGATTTCCCATGTTCCCATGCCTCTTCTTTCTTGGTTTACTCTTATTTTTGTGGAGTGCTTCCTCTAGTAGCTTTCTGAGAAAGGATATTTGGGAGATACATGTTTTGAGGGCTTGCATATGTTAAAATGTGTTTATTTTACCCTCATATTTAATTAATAGTTTTGCTGCATATAGAATAATAGGTCAGACATCATTTTCCTTTAAGATATATTCTTGCTCTGGTGTCTCAAGAAGTCTAAAGCCATGAATATTAATTCTATGCATGCCCTGTGTTTTACTCTCTGGAAACTTGTAGGATCATCTCATGCCTCTCAGGACTTGAAATTTCACATGATGGGCTTTGGTGTGATTCTCTGTGGGCTCTCTCAATCTCAGGTCCTTCAGTCCTGAGAATTTTCTTGACTCATTTCATTGATGATTTTCTTGCCTCATTTTTTTCTAATATATTTCTGGAACTCCTATTAAATATCAGCATTGGACCACCTGGACTGGTCCTCAAATTTTGTTATCTTTGCTATTCTATTTTTCATCTTTTTGTGGTTTTGACTACTCTCTGGGAGATTTCCTCAAATTTAACTTTTTTTTTTTTTTTTTTTTTTAAGACATAGTTTTGCTTGTCACCCAGACTGGAGTGCAATGGTGCGATCTCAGCCCACTGCAACCTCCGCCTCCTGTGTTCAAGTGATTCTCCAGCCTCAGCCTCCCAAGTAACTGAGATTACAAGCACCCCACCATGTCTGGCTAATTTTTTATATTTTGGTAGAGACGGGGTTTCACCATGTTGGCCAGGCTGGTCTTGAACTCCTGACCTCAGATGATCCTCCCGCCTCAGTATCCCAAAGTTCTGGGATTATACGCGTGAGCCATCATGCCCGGCCCAAATTTTACTTTTATTTGTTCTATTGAGTTTGTCATTGTTGTGTTTCTGCAATCATATTTTAGATTTCCAAAAGCTCTTTTTCTATTTCTGAATGTCTGATTGATCCTTTTTTAAATGACTCTGTTCCTGTGTCATGGATGCAAAGATTCCTCTTATGTCACTGAGAATATTAATTATATATGTAATTATATGTAAGCTGAGTGTCCATTGGCTTCTGTTCTTAGGTTCTCATGAGATCCCTGTTTCTTTTTTAACTCATGTACATCTTTACAAGGGACCCCTGCTACTTGAAGAAACTTGAAAGAGAGTATGTTCTAGCAAGCAGAAAAATCGAACACACCTCTTGTCTCTAAATAGTCCATATTTGAACACAAGGCAGGTGCTGGATCCTTCATGTTCTCTAGCTACTAGGTAGGCATAATTAATTTGGTTTACAGTTTTAGGAACAATAATTAGCTCATGATTCACACTGAAGAAAACATTCCTATCTCTTAGGCTCCTTAAGGGTTTAAGTTTCCTGATTGTTTATGTTGAGAGTTCCAAGATTCATTAGCTAAATGAAATGCACAACAAATCCACTGTCTAAACAAACAGCACCTTTCACTGGGTCTGTCGGATACAGACTATTTATTTTTGTGTAAAAGTGACCAACATCAAGTTACACATTTGCTCCAGATGTTGCACCCAAAAAAGCTAAACTAGCCAGTGCATAACAGTGTCACCTCGGCTCCGGAAGTGAGAAAGCTGAAGCCTCCACATGCTTGGAGAGCAATGATGGTTAGGCCAAGGGCTGGGACATTGAAGGCTGTTGTGTTTTGTGGCTAAGTGTGGCCACTGTGAACATCTGGCCCATCCAGATACTCAAACTGGTCACACACTCAGCTAGTAGCGATCTGCTGGTATGTGGGTCTGTATTGCATTACTTTGTGTGTGAATGTTAGGGAAAGTCATAGAATTGGATTTAATAGAAAAACAGTTCTTCACTTGGACTCAAGCAAGGGAGGAGGAGCTTGTGGCCACCATTAAGGGGCTTCACGCACATTCCCTTTCTCCAGGGCACACCTGGAATGGCACTGCCCTCTTGCCTGGAGTGCAGGTCAGGAATATGACTTGCTTTGGCCAATGAAATGTGAGTGAAAGCCTCAAGTGCCAGTGTGCCCTTATTGGTAGTCACTGCTCATCAGTACATTAGACCCACCCAAAGTGCTTAAAATTCAGATTCCCAAGCTAAACTCCAGACCAATTGGAATAGAACTCTCCAAGTAGAACCAAGGCAACAATATGTTTTAAAGCTCTTGGGTGTTTACAGCGTTGGGCCCAGGTTGAGTCCCACTGCTTGAGCTCCTGGTTCTATTTCATGTCTCTTCATAGCACTTATTAAAATAGTGCTAATATTATTAATTGGTGCTAATAGTGCCAATTACTGTTGGCATGGTGTTATATATTTATTTGTTTTCTAGAATTTGCTGTTGTGCTTTGAGCTGAGCCATATGCTGGGAGCATGATTGGCCTCCTTCCAGCACCCCCACAACACCTACCGAGGCCCTGGGCTTCCCTATCAGGTGCACGAAGGGTCCCTGGACTCTATGCCCAAGTGCTACTATATTTTTGCTTGGCATGTATGCTTCTCATTGTGTAAAACTGCTATTCTTTTGATAATTCAAGTAGCTGTTTCATTTACTATAGCTTTGAAAACAAAAAATTGTGAGAAAAAACATCCAATGATTGTGCTGTGGTTGGAGGCTTCATTACCAAGGTGTTTATGTCTTCCTTTTACCTCTCATTTTAAGGAGCTATCTGGATAGAGGCAAGAGGCAGAGAAATTCTCTGCAGACAGGGGTGGATCTGTGGCAAAACCCCACCTTCTGGAAATCCTGAAACCTGCCACCCAAAGTGAGAACTTCTATCCCTGTGTGCCCACTGTCTCCTGATTGGTTCTTTCTGAATAACGTCTTTTTGCCAATCAGATGTTGCCTTTTCCAAAGCAATCTATGGCCTGCCCTACCCCTCATCCTGTGCCTACAAAGACCCCAGGCTCAGCCTGTAGAGAGGAGAAGCAGCTGGACACTGGGAAGAGGCACCTTGACTTCAGAGACAGCAGCTGGATGTCAAACAGAGGCTTTCAAGGGAGAGCAACCTGCCCTTCCCATCTCCTTTCCAGCTCCCCTTTCGGCTGAGATCTGCTTTCATTGATCAATAAAATTATCCTCATCCACCATCCTTCAATTCGTTCATGTGACCTCATTCTTCTTGGGCACCAAACAAGGATTCAGTATGCACCAAGGGCTGATACCCAAAAAGGCTGTCAACACTGGTCCCTTTCCCTCACTGGCAGAGGGCAGCTGCCCCATACGATGAGGCAAAGGGCCCACTGAGCTGATAACACACTGCTGTCTGTGGACAGTGGAGCTAAGAGAGCATTGTAACACGCCCTCTGGGGCTCTGGGGTCACAGGCACCCCCACCTAGACACTGCTGCGGGGCCTGCCTGGAGTTTGCTCCTGCTGGCACCAAAGCAGCCAGCTGGTTCCTGCACTCACTTGCCTACATGCTCCCTCCTGTGAGGGGTGGAGCATGGCAGACCTGAAGGAATGGAGCAGCCAGCCGGTTCCTCCATTCATTTGCTTGTGTGCTCCCTCCTACAAGGGGTTAAGCGGGGTGGGCTGAGTAAACAGGGCACCCCTGTCACGAGTCCCACGAAACAGTCAAGAAAATAATCCTGCATCAATTTGACTCCTCGTCCTCCCCTAATGGTTTGCAGTCTTTCCTATGTCATAATAAAGCTACATTTTATTCTGGAAAAAAATTTGCTCTACAAGTTTAGAGACTTGCTGCATTTTGTTCGCTGCCAATTCCTTAGGACTTAGAACAGTTTCTTGCAAATTATAGGGGCTCTTATTTAATTTCATAAAAGGAAGGACATTCCTCCCTGCAAAAGATAAAGAAGATGATTTCAGAAAAATATAACAGATCTTTTCTAAGAAAGAAAACTTGACAGCTTTATACTGATTTTTTACAAAAACTGTGATTACTAGAAAAGATATTGCACACTATTACATTATGGGTTGTGTTAAGATGAGATTTTTCCTTGACTTTGACCCCCTTCGTGGAACTGGAGTGACTCATTTCACTCAGCCTGCAGCCTGCAGTCTGTGGATGGCTAAGTGTTAACAGCTCAGTAAAAGGTTAGGGTGACAGCCTTCTGCACCTGCTCTTTTTGACACCCGAGTTGTTGTTCAATATTCTGGGAGAATCAGGTCACATGAACTGTTTGAAAGATGATTGGTGCAGAAGACTATTGAGCAGTGCAAGTGGCTCTCGGTGGAAGGGGAGCTGGAAAGGGGATCGAGTGGGAAGAAGGTGATCTTTCCCTGAAGCCCAGCCTGTCTCCAGCCAGGCTCCCCTCTGAAGCCGCACCGTCTGAAGTTAGCTGCGTTTATCCATATTCTACAGTACGCAGTTGCTGCTTCTCTGCTCACCACTCAGCTGCTTGTATCCCCGACAGTCAGCAGCTTTTGTATGTGTGTGTTTTTTTTCCCTCTACCAGCTGAAGTCTGGTTTTTTGTGGGCACAGGATAGGGGGCGGGGTGGGCCAAAAAGGAAATCATTTGGGTGGAAAAATGGGGTTGGCTGTTTTCACTTAGGGCCAAGGTTCCAGGCTTCAGGATAGAGTTTAGCCAGGAGCCCAGCCCTTCTTGGATCAGTGCAATTATTTGTCCCTTAGATACATGTCTTTAAATTAGGAGTCTGTATTCAACATTACAAGAGAAGTGAAACTCAAATGTCCAGCTTGTACAAGTACTTCATTTTCAGTGGTGTACCGAAAATGGAAGCAACACTCACTGCTCTTTCACTCAATTTGAGATAGTTCCCCAAGATACCAAGCAGATACCTAGCAGAGCCCAGGAAAACCAGCCCTCACCACCCCTCCAGAGCTGAGGGCTGGGAGCTGCCCTCATGCATGAGTAATGACTAAGTGTGGGAGGGCCCTGCCATCCCTTTCCAGCCTTCAGTGGCCAAACCCTGGGACTGTTCTTTCTCTCATTCCTTTGCAGGGAAGACAAGGGAAAATGTATATAATCCTTCTGAGACATGAAGATCCCAGGATGGTACGTCTTTCCCCATCTCAACAGGGAAACAGTGGTTTCCTTAATCTTTGAACAAAGAAGAAACTTCCTATTTCATCTCTAAGAGCAGAAAGTGGAACAGATGATAAGCTGTTTGTGAAGGGTTCCATCCTCTGAAGGGTGTGAATATCTTCATGTCAACAGGAAACCCAGGGCCCTTGTGTAACTCTGAAAAGAAGAAATGTGCCTTCTACTCCTGATTAAGTCAGGTTCATCATAAATAGAGGAGCTGGGCATTTCTTGGTGGCTGGATAATCTTTTCCTCTAGGTGCCATCCTGGGGAAATAGATTATTAAATAATCTATCTCTTCTCAAAACCTAGGAAACTTAAAGAAGAGTTAAGTCAATTTACCTCACAAAAGGGAAAATCAGGCCAGAGAGTTCTTTTCACCATGTTTATATGAGTTTCTGAAAATAGCAATACAAAGACTACAACCTCACTTAAAATTTCAAACAACGTAGGATTAAAATGTAGACAGCTCCCAATTTTACATTATCCATTTCACTCCTGAAGGGCAAATGCTATATGCAGTTTGGGATGGGACCTTCGAGACATTTGCTATGTATACACCACACACACACACACACACACACACACACACACACACACACACACACACAATGATTTCCTCCATTCTATGACGCCATCAAATGTAAAGCCCAGGAGTGAACTGGTGCCACTTCTCAAGGCTACTGTCCCCTCCTGTTGTGTCCTCTCCCGTTGTGCCCCAAGTGTAGGCACAGCCCAATCCCTTTCTCCACAGCAAGACTAATCAAGTAAATGATGGTTTGCATAGCGATACTGACATTTTTGAGGGACAGCTAGCAGGAATTCCATCCCATAACAAGCCAGAAAATCTAACTAGATTATTGCTCTGGAATTGGACAGCCTGGGTTCGTATCCCAGTTTTTCTACTCACTAATGACCTGACTTTGAGAAAATTACCGAGGTGTCTTAACTTTCTTATGTGTGAAATGAAGATAATAATAGTACCTGCCTTATAGGGTTGTTCACAAAATTATATTAAATACATGAGAAGAGTCTATAGCCATGCTGGGTAAGAAGGAGTGCTCAGCAAATGTTAAATTTGTTTTACTCTTCCAAAAATCCATGTGTCATACTACAAGGCAGGGGTCAGCAAACTTTTTCAGTAAAGGGTCACATAGTAAATATTTTAGGCTTTGGAACCCATATGATCTCTGTAAAACTACTCAACTTTACATGGGGGAAAGAAGCCCTAGACAATATGTAAGTGCATGGGTCTGGCATGTTCCAATAAAGCTTTATTTATGACATGTGAATTTTATATACTATTCACAAGTCATGAAATATTCTTTTAAAAAATTTATTTCTCAATCATTTTAATGTAAAACAAACAAACAAAAAAACAAACAAACCATCCTTCACTCCTGGGCCATGCAAAATCAGGTAGTGGGCTGGATTTGGCCTACAGGCTGTAGTTCACCAACGAATCCCACCACCAGCATCACAGGTGTACCCACCTGGCCGTTTCTGTGCCCTCTCTTTTCCAGGTCTCCATTTCCCTGTTTTTGCTCATGTTTCATCTATAGGAGAAAGCAAAACTTGGTAATCACCTTTCTACTCAAGAAGAGCCCTTTCCCATTAGGACACAGGGAGCATGGTCCCTCTGTCTCAGGCTCTACACTACAGGTTGAGCTCTGCCCTCACCTTTGCAAACTAGAGGGCCTGGGGAAAATGGTCACATGTGTTATACGTGGAAGCCTGCCTTCTGTTGGGGACATATATTTTAATGGCTGCATAGAAGTCAACTGCTTGAGCCCACAAACTTCTTTAACTTGTCCCTTGGTGATTGTTATGGTTTGGATGTGTGTCTCCGCCCAAATCTCATGTTGAATTGTAATCCCCAGTATTGGATTTGGGGCCTGGTGGGAGATGATTGGATCATAGGGGTGGCTTTCTCATAAATGACTTAGCGTCATCCCACCATCCTCTTGGTGCTGTCCTTGCAATAGTGAGTGACTTCTTGCAAGATCTGGCTGTTTAAAAGCATGGCACCTCACTCTCACTCTCTCGCTCTCTCTCCTGTTCCCACCATGTGAGATACCTGCTCCCCCTTCACTTTCTACCATGATTGTAAGCTTCCTGAGGCCTTCCCAGAAGCACATGCCTGTGTTATGCTTCCTGTACAGCCTGCAGAACCATGAGCTAATTAAACCTCTTTTCTTGATAAATTATCCAGTGTCAGGTATTTCTCTTTTTTTTCTTTTTCTTTTCTTTTCTTTTTTCCTTTTCTTTCTTTCTTTTTTTTTTTTTTTTTTGAGACAGGGTCTTGGTCTATTGCTCAGGCTGGAGTGCAGTGGCGCGATCTCAGCTCACTGCAGCCTCCACCTCCTGGGTTCAAGTGATTTCTCCCACCTCAGCCTGCTGAGTAGCTGGGATTACAGATGTGCACTACCACGCCCGGCTAATTTTTGTATTTTTAGTAGAGATGGGGTTTTGCCATGTTGGTCAGGTTAAGTATTTCTTTATAGCAATGCACAAACAGCCTAATACAGTAATGAATGTTTATATCATATTGTTTCCAGTTTTCCACTATACAAAGAATGTTGCATTTTCTCATAAAATCCTCAAATAACTCTATGAGAGGGGAACAATTTAATCTCATTTTACAGATGAAGTAAAGGAGAAAGGCACAGAAAAATGAAGTAACTTGGCCAATTTCACACATGGTTATGATGGAAGCTGCTATGACTCCACTTCCTGGATACAACTGACTGACCACCAAGGGTGGTCACCGGAGCCAAGATATTGTTACTGTCATATTCATTTCCTCGTATTACTTAATTGGTCTATAAGCAGGCACATGGCCCATGCTAAGTCAATCAGTGTCCTTTTCCTAGAATTTTAGAACTGGAATCAGGAAACTCTTATAATTCAAACTCAGGTCTACTAGCAGACTTTTGGAGAAAAATTCCTCTGATTTCAAAGAGAAGGAAGCCAGGGCAGGCAGAAAAATGGATAAACCATGAGACTCTTGAGGGCACTCAAAGCTTGGTTCCAGGTGTTCCCAAGGCCCAGCTATACCCCAGACCTCCCAGAAGCTAAGCTGTTTTGTAAAAGTCCACAGTATATATTTAATCAATTACTTTTTTTTTTTTTTTTGAGATGGAGTCTGGCTCTGTTGCCCAGGCTGGAGTGCAGTGGTGCAATCTCGGCTCACTGCAACCTCCACCTCCCAGGTTCAAGTGATTCTCCTGCCTCAGCCTTCCAAGTAGTTGCGACTACAGGTGTGCGCCACCACGCCCAGCTAATTTTTGTATTTTTAGTAGACACAGGGTTTCACCATTTTGGCCAGGATGGTTTCCATCTCTTGACCTTGTGATGCACCCGCCTCGGCCTCCTAAAGTGCTGAGATTACAGGTGTGAGCCACTGTGCCCGGCCTAATCAATTCCTTTTTAAAGTGTTTTTATTAAAAAAAAAAATTTCTTTCACTTTTACCTGAGAGAGTTCTAATTACTTTAAGTAAATTAACCACCAAGTGATACTGTAAACATTATAAGAAAACAGCTATCAGGATACCGACAATTTCTCTGATGGCCACTTTAATATGTTTGTAAACCAAAAATAAATTTCTAAGCCCCCCAGCCGACTAAATAGATCCCTTCTTGGCCAAGAGGACCCCAGAAAAATCTGAAAAACTGAATTCCCAGCCATGACAGGAAGGGAGGTTGGACATACCTCATTATATTCCCTCCCTTTTGGAGTTTAGGCACAACTGACCAGCACTAACATTAAAATACAGACCATAAGACTGAAAAAAACAGACTCTTTGTGGCAATAAGATAACAAATTCCAACCTGACTCTGGTATAGCATTGCATAACAGATAGCAGACCTGGAGAGAAATCAAAATATTTTACCCCAAAATATATTTATTTGACATATTTTGAAATTGTCCTGCCAAGCCATCTTTTATGGGGGGAATTTGCATTTGTAGAGAATCTCCATTAATGGAGATAATGCAGCCACACCTTCCTTTTCCAGGCCTTTCCTGGATCTAGGAGAGATTAACTAAGAGTCTGAAATCTTTTAAGACTGGAAAAGAGACATTTACTATCTATTCTCTCTGAAGGCTGCTACCTATGAAACTTCATCCACATAACAAGAACTTTGGTCTCCATAAGCCCCCTTATCTTAAGCATTTTTTTCTACTGACTTCAAGTCTTTAGACAAAGCTTAACTCTTTCAACCAATTACCAATTAAAAAAGTCTTTGAATCCACCTATGACCTGTAACCCCCATCCCCATCTCACTGCCCCCTTCAAGATATTCTACCTCTTTAGGCCGAACAAATGTAGACCTTCCATTATTAGTTTAGTATTTTACCTGCAAGTCCCATCTCACTAAAATGTATAAAACCAGGCTGGGCACGGTGGCTCACACCTGTAATCCAGCACTTTGGGAGGCTGAGGCGGGGGGATCACTTGAGGTCTGGAGTTCGGGACCAGCCTGGCCAACATGATGAAACCGTATCTCTACTAAAAATACAAAAATTAGCCAGGTGTGGTGGTGCACACCTGTAATCTCAGCTACTTGGGAGGCTGAGGCTGGAAAATTGCTTGAATCTCGGAGGTGGAGGTTGAGCTGAGATCACACCATTGCACTCCAGCCTGAGTGGCAGTGTGAGACTCTCTCTCAAAAAAAAAAAAAAAAAAAAAAAGTATAAAACCAAACTGTAACCCAACTGCCTGGGGTACTCTTTCTCAAAAGCTCTCAAGACTGTTCCCTGGGCCATGGTCACTCATACTGGCTTAGAATAAACCTCTTTAAAATATTTTACAGAGTTTGGGGTATTTTTCCATCAGCAGATTACAGACTCAGGACAAGTAATTTCTACTGAATAACCAAAAGAAAATACATTTAGCAAACCAAGAAGCATACTCTATTAGCCATGGCATAAAAATAGACAAACGTAAGCCAGCAGTGTTGCAGAACTTTCTTTGCTAAAAATAAAGAGGGGGAACAAGTAGAGAAGTAAAGGAGGAATAATAAATCTCAATCACCAGGAATACACCATTTAAACTCTTTTCTGCAGCCTCCTCAGTTTTATGTAAAAATAAAGGAGGTAGACCAGATAACTGCCTAGCTCCCTACTATCTCTAAAATGACAATATTTAGCTCTGATGTTAAAAATGTCAATGGTAATTCACAAACTTAGACTGAATGCTTTTAACAGCACCCAAGCCACCTCTTGAATGCTTTGCTGCTTAGAAATTTCTTCCACCAGATACCCTCAATCATCTCCCTCAAGTTCAAAGTTTTACAGACCTCTAGGGCAGGGGCAAAATGCCGCCAGTCTCTTTGCTAAAACATAGCAAGAGTCAGTTTTACTCCATTTCCTAACAAATTCTTCATCTTTATCTGGGACCACCTCAGCCTGGATTTCATTGTCTATATCATTATCAGCATTTTGGTCAAAGCCATTCAACAAGTCTCTAGGAAGTTTCAAACTTTCCCACATTTTCCTGTCTTCTTCTGAGGCCTCTGAACTGTTCCAACCTCTGCCTGTTACCCAGTTCCAAAGTCGCTTCCATATTTTTGGGTGTCTTTACAGCAGTGCCCCACTCTATCAGCACCAATTTACTGTATTAGTCCGTTTTCATGCTGCTGATAAAGACATACTTGAGAATGGGTAATTTATACAGAAAAAGAGGTTTAATGGACTCCCAGTTCCAGGTGGCTGGGGAGGCGTCACAATCATGGTGGAAGGCAAAAGGTACCTCTTACATGGTGGCAGCCAAGGTAGAATGAGAGCCAAGCAAGAGGAGACACTTTATTTTTATTTATTTATTTATTTATTTATTTATTTATTTATTTATTTATTTATTTATTTTTGAGATGGAGTCTCTCTGTTGCCCAGGCTGGAGTGCAGTGGTGATCTCGGCTCACTGCAAGCTCCGCCTCCCGGGTTCATGCCATTCTCCTACCTCAGCCTCCCAAGTAGCTGGGACTACAGGCGCCCGCCAACACGCCCGGCTCATTTTTTGTATTTTTAGTAGAGATGGGGTTTCACCCTGTTAACCAGGATGGTCTCGAGGTCCTGACCTCGTGATCCGCCCGCCTCGGCCTCCCAAAGTGCTGGGATTACAGGCGTGAGCCACTGCGCCCGGCCGAGGAGAGACCCTTTATAAAACCATCAGATCTTGTCGGACTTAGTCACTACCCGAAGAACAGTATGGGGGGAGCCACTCCCATGATTCAATTATCTTTCACCAGGCCCCTCCCTCAACACGTGGGAATTATGGAAGCTACAATTCAAGATGAGACTTGGGTGGGGCACAGCCAAACCATATCAGCAATTGCAATAGAGAAAGAGTAATCCATGCAGTGCTGGCTGTGCGGCAGACCAAAGTTTTAGTATTACACAAATCAGTCTCTCCAAGTATTTGAGGATCAGAGTTCTTAAGGATAATTTGGTGGATAGGGGAAGGCCAGTGAGTCCAGAGTGCTGATTGGTTGGGTTGGAGATGAAATCATCGGGAATTGAAGCTGTCCTCTTGCACTGAATCAGTTCCTGAGTGGGGGCCACAAGATCAGATGAGCCAGTTTATCACTCTGGATGATGCCAGCTGCTCCAACAAGTGCAGGGTCTGCAAAAATATCGCAAGCGTTGATCTAAGGAACAGTTTAGGGATGATCAGAATCTTGTAGCCTCCAGCTGCATGACTCCTAAACCATAATTTCCAATCTTGTGGGTAATTTGTTATTCCTATGAAGGCAGTCTAGTCCTCAGGCAAGAAGGGGGTTTGTTTTGGGAAAGGGCTGTTATCATATTTGTTGTATTTATTTATTATTATTTTTTAAATTTTACTTTAAGTTCTGGGATACATGTGCTGAATGTGCAGGTTTGTTATATACTTAGGATTGTCTTGGCTATATGGGCTGTTGTTGGTTCCATATGAAATTTAAATGTAAACATGTGCCATGGTGGTTTGCTGCACCTATCAATCTGTCATCTAGGTTGTAAGCCCCATATGCATTAGGTGTTTGTCCTAATGCTGTCCCTCCCCTTTCTCCCTACCCACCGACAGTCCCCAGTGTGTGATGTTCCCCTCTCTGTGTCCATATGTTCTCATTGTTCAACTCCTGCTTATGAGTGGGAACGTGTGGTGTTTGGTTTTCTGTTCCTGTGTTAGTTTGCTGAGGATGATGGTTTCCAGCTTCATCCATGCCCATGCAAAGGAAATGAACTCATTCTTTATTATGGCTGCATAGTATTCCATGTTGTATATGTGCCACATTTTATTTATCCAGTCTATCATTGATGGGCATTTGGGTTGGTTCCAAGTCTTTGCTATTGTAAATAGTGCTGCAATAAACATACACGTGCATGTGTCTTTATAGTAGAATTATTTATAATCCTTTAGGTATATACCCAGTAACGGGATTGCTGGGTCAAATGGTATTTCTGGTTCTAGATCCTTGAGGAATTGCCACACTGTCTTTCACAATGGTTGAACTAATTTACACTCCCACCAGAAGTGAAATCCTTCTTATTTCTTCACATCCTTGCCAGCATCTGTTGTTTCCAGACTTTTTAATGATCAGCATTCTAATTGGCATGAGATGGTATCTGATTGTGGTTTTGATTTGCATTTCTCTAATGACCAGTGATGGTGAGCTTTTTATCATGTTGGTTGGCAGCATAGACGTCTTCTTTTGAGAGGTATCTGTTCATATCCTTCACCTACTTTTTGATGGGGTTGTTTGTTTTTTTCTTGCCAATTTGTTTAAGTTCCATGTAGATTCTGGATATTATCCCTTTGTCAGATGGGTAGATTGCAAAAATTTTCTCCCATTCTGTAGGTTGCCTTTTCACTCTGATGATAGTTTCTTTTGCTGAACAGAAGCTCTTTAGTTTAATTAGATCCCATTTGTCAATTCTGGCTTTTGTTGCAATTGTTTTTGGTGTTTTAGTCACAAAGTCTTTGCCCATGCCTATGTCCTGAATGGTATTCCCTAGGTATTCTTCTAAGGTTTTTGTGGTTTTAGGTTTTACGTTTAAGTCTTTAATCCATCTTGAGTTAATTTTTGTATGAGATGTAAGCAAGGGTTCCAGTTTCTGTTTTCTGCATATGGCTAGCCAGTTTTCCCAGCACCATTTATTAAATAGAGAATCCTTTCCCCATTGCTTGTTTTTGTCAGATTTGTCAAAAATCAGATGGTTGTAGATGTGTAGTGTTATTTCTGAGGCCTCTGCTCTGTTCCATTGGTCTATATATCTGTTTTGGTACCAGTACCATGCTGTTTTGGTTACTGTAGCCTTGCAGTATAGTTTGAAGTCAGGTAGCATGATGCCTCCAGCTTTTTTCTTTTTACTTAGTATTGTCTTGGCTATATGGGCTCTTTTGTGGTTCCATATGAAATTTAAAGTAGTTTTTTTCCAATTCTGTGAAGAAAGTCAATGGTAGCTTGGAATAGCATTGAATCTATAAATTACATTGGGCGGTATGGCCATTTTCATGATATTGATTCTTCCTATCCATGAACATGGATTTTTTTTTCCATTTTTTCCTCTCATTTCCTTGAGCAGTGGTTTGTAGTTCTCCTTGAAGAGGTCCTTCATGTCCCTTGTAAGTTGTATTCCTAGGTATTTTATTTTCTTTGTAACAATTGTGAATGGGAGTTCACTCATGATTTGACTCTCTGCTTGTCTATTATTGGTGTATAGAAATGATTGTGATTTTTGCACATTGATTTTGTAACCTGAGACTTTGCTGAAGTTGTTTATCAGCTTGAGGAGCTTTTGGGCTGAGATGATGGGGTTTTCTAAATACAGAATCATGTCATCTGCAAACAGAGACAATTTGACTTCCTCTCTTCCTATTTGAATACCCTTTATTTCTTTCTCTTGCCTGATTCCTCTCGCCAGAACTTCCAATACTAATTGAATAGGAGTGGTGAGAGAGGGTACCCTCATCTTGTGCCAGTTTTCAAAGGGAATGCTTCCAGCTTTTGCCCATTCAGTATGATACTGGCTATGGCTTTGTCATAAATAGCTCTTATTATTTTGAGATATGTTCCATCAACATCTAGTTTATTGAAAGTTTTTAGCATGAAGCAGTGTTGAATTTTATTGAAGGCCTTTTCTGCATCTGTTGAGATGATTATGTGGTTTTTGTCATTGGTTCTTTTTATGTGATGAATTATGTTTATTGATTTGTGTATGTTGAACCAGCCTTGTATCCCAGGGATGAAGCCAACTTGATTGTGGTGGATAAGCTTTTTGTTGTGCTGCTGGATTTAGTTTGCCAGTATTTTATTGAGGATTTTCACATCGATGTTTATCAGAGATATTGGCCTGAAATTTTCTTTTTTTGTTGTGTCTCTGACAGGCTTTGGTATCAGGATGACGCTGGCCGCATAAATTGAGTTAGGGAGAAGTCCCTCTTTTTCTATTGTTTGGAATAGTTTCAGAAGAAATGGTATCAGCTCCTTTTTGTACCTCTGGTAGAATTCGGCTATGAATCTGTCTGGTCCTGGGCTCTTTTTGGTTGGTAGGCTATTAATTACTGCCTCAATTTCAGAACTTGTTATTGGTCTATTCAGATATTTAACTTCTTCCTGGCTTAGTCTTGGGAGGGTGTATGTGTCCAGGAATTTTCCATTTCTTCTAGATTTTCTAGTGTATTTGCATAGAGGTGTTTATAGTATTCTCTGATGGCAGTTTGTGTTTCTGTAGGATCAGTGGTGATATCCCTTTTATCATTTTTTATTGTATCTGTTTGATTCTTCTCTCTTTTCTTCTTTGTTAGTCTGGCTAGTGATCTATCTATTCTGTTAATCTTTTCAAAAAAGCAGTTCCTGGATTCATTGATTTTTTGAAGGTTTTTTCGTCTCTCTATCTCCTTGAGTTCTGGTCTGATCTTAGTTATTTCTTGTCTTCTGCTAGCTTTTGAATTTGTTTTCTCTTGCTTCTTTAGTTCTTTTAATTGTGATGTTAGAATGTTGATTTTCATCTTTCTTGCTTTCTGATGTGGGCATTTAGTGCTACAAACTTCCCTCTAAACACTGCTTTAGCTGTGCCCCAGAGATTCTGGTACGTTGTGTCTTTGTTCTCATTGGTTTCAAATAACTTCATTATTTCTGCCTTAATTTTATTATTTACCCAGTCATCATTCAGGAGCAGGTTGTTCAGTTTCAATGTAGTTGTGCAGCTTTGAATGAGTTTCTTAATCCTGAGTTCTAATTTGATTGCACTGTGGTCTGAGAGGCTGTTTGTTATGATTTCTGTTCTTTTGCATTTGCTGAGGAGTGTTTTACATCCAATTATTGGTTGATTTTAGAGCAAATGCTATGTGGTGCTGAGAAGAATGTGTATTCTGTGGATTTGGAGTGGAGAGTTATGTAGTTATCTATTAGGTCTGCTTGGTCCAGAGCTGAGTTCAAGTCCTGAATATGCTTGTTAATTTTCTGTCTCGTTGATCTGTCTAATATTGTCTGTGGGCTGTTAAAGTCTCCCACTATTATTGTGTGGGAGTCTAAGTCTCTTTGTAGGTCTCTAAGGACTTGCTTTATGAATCTGGGTGCTCCTGTTTTGGGTGCATATATATTTAAGATAGTTAGCTCTTCTTGTTGCATTGATCCCTTACCATTATGTAGTGCCCTTCTCTGTCTTTTTTGATCTCTGTTGGTTTAAAGATCAGAGTTGTCTGTTTTATCAGAGACTAGGACTGCAACCCCTGATTTTTTTTTTTTTTTTTTTTTTTTGCTTTCCATTTGCTTGGTAAATACTCCTCCATCCCTTTATTTTGAGCCTATGTGTGTATTTGCACGTGAGATGGTTCTCCTGAATACAGCACACCAATGGGTCTTGACTCTTTATCCAATTTGCCAGTCTGTGTCTTTTAATTGGGGCATTTAGCCTATTTACATTTAAGGTTAATATTGTTATGTGTGAATTTGATCCTGTCATCATGATGCTAGCTGGTTATTTTGCACATTAGTTGATGCAGTTTCTTCATAGTGTTGTTGGTCTTTATATTTTGGTGTGTCTTTGCAGTGGCTGGTACTGGTTTTTCCTTTCTATATTTAGTGCTTCCTTCAGGAGCTCTTGTAAGGCAGGCCTGGCAGTGACAAAATCTCTCAACATTTGTTTGTCTGTAAAGGATTTTATTTCTCCTTCACTTTGAACTTAGTTTGGCTGGATATAAAATTCTAGGCTGAACATTCTTTTCTTTAAGAATGTTGAATATTGGCCCCCACTCTCTTCTGGCTTGTAGGGCTTCTGCAGTGAGATCTGCTGTTAGTCTGATGGGCTTCCCTTTCTATGTAACCTGACTTTTCTCTCTGGCTGCCCTTAACGTTTTTTTCTTCGTTTCAACTTTGGAGAATCTGATGATTGTGTGTCTTGGGGTTGCTCTTCTCAAGGAATATCTTAGTGGTGTTCTCTGTATTTTCTGAATTTGAATGTTGGCCTGTCTTGCTAGATTGGGGAAGTTTTCATGGATACTATCCTGAAGTGTGTTTTCCTACTTGGTTCCATTCTCCTTGTCACTTTCAGGGACCCCAATCAATCATAGGTTTGGTCTTCTCACATAGCCCCATATTTCTTGGAGACTTTGTTCATTCCTTTTCATTCTTTTTTCTCTAATCTTGTCTTCACACCTTATTTCAGTAAGTTGATCTTCAATCTCTGATATCCTTTCTTTTCCTTGATTGATTCAGCTATTGATATTTGTGTATGCTTCATGAAGTTCTTCTGCTGTGTTTTCCAGCTCCATCAGGTCATTTATGCTCTTCTCTAAACTGTTTATTCTAGTTAACAGTTCCTGTAACCTTTTGTCAAGGTTCTTAGCTTCCTTGCATTGGGCTAGAACATGCCCCTTTAGCTCAGAGGAGTTTGTTATTATCCACCTTCTGAAGCCTGCTTCTGTCAATTCATCAAACTCATTCTCTGCCCTTGCTGGAGAGGAGTTGTGATCATTTGGAGGAGAAGAGGCATTCTGGTTTTCAGAATTTTCAGCATTTTTGCACTGGTTTCTCCTCATCTTTGTGGATTTATCTACTTTTGATCTTTGAGGCTAATGAGCTTTGGATGGGATTTCTGTGTGGGTTTTTTTTTTTTTTTTTTTTGCTTGTTATTGTTGATGTTGATGTTACTGCTTTCTGTTTGTTAGTTTTTCTTCTGACAGTCCAGCCTCTCTTCTGCAGGTCTGCTGCAGTTTGCTGGAGGTCCACTCCAGACCCTATTTGCCTGAGTATCACCAGCAGAGGCTGCAGAACAGCAAAAATTGCTGGCTGCTCCTTCCTCTGGAAGCTTCATCCCAGGCGGCACTGGCCTGATGTCAGCCAGAGCTCTCCTGTATGAGGTGTCTGTCAACCCCAGTTGGGAGGTCTCTCCCAATCAGGAGGCATGGGGGTCAGGGACCCACTTGAGGAGGCAGAGCTGGAGCACTCGTGCTGGTAGAACCCTCATTTTCCGGATCCACTGCTCTCTTCAGAGTGGGCAGGCAGGAATGTTTAAGTCTGCTGAAGCTGCGCCTACAGCCTCCCCTTCCCCCAGGTGCTCTGTCCCAGGGAGATGGGTGTTTTATCTATAAGCCCCTGACTGAGGCTGCTGCTTTTCTTTCAGAGATGCCCTGTCCAGAGAGGAGGAATCTAGAGAGGCAGTCTCGCTTTGCCGCACTGTGTTGAGTTCTGCCCACTCTGAACTTCCTGGTCTCCTTAGCACTGTGAGGGGGAAACTGCCTACTCAAGCCTTATTAATGGCCGACGCCCCTCCCTGCACCAAGCTCGATCGTCCTAGGTTGACTTCAGACTGCTGGGCTGGCAGCAAGAATTTCAAGTCAGTGGTTCTTAGCTTGCTGGGCTCCGTGGGAGTGCAACCCACTGAGCAAGACCACTTGGCTCCCTGGCTTCAGCACCTTTTCCAGGGGAGTGAATGGTTCTTTCTCGGTGGCAGTTCCAGGCGCCACTGGGGTGGGGTGGTGGGGGGAGGGAAACAACCTCCTGCAGCTAGCTTGGTGTCTGCCCAGATGGCTGCCCAGTTTTGTGTTTGAAATCCAGGGCTCTGGTGGTGTAGGCATGCGAGGGGATCTCCTGGTCTGTGGGCTGCAAAAGCTGTGGGAAACGCTTAGTATCTGGGCTGGTCCTTCACGGCTTCTCTTGGCTGGAAAAGGGAGGCCCCCGGCTCCTTGCACTTCTAGGGTGAGGCGAAGCCCCACCCTGCTTCGGCTCACCCTCCATGGGCTGCACCCATTGCCTAATCAGTTCCAATGAGATAAAGAGGGTATGTCAGTTGGAAATGCAGGAATCACCCGCCTTCTGCGTTGGTCTCACTGGGAACTGCAGACCGGAGCTGTTCCTATTCGACCATCTTGCCGGATCTCCTGGACTCTTTTAAACGTGCTTGAATAATAATTTTTAAAAAATTTGAACACTTGGATCGAAAAGTAGGAAATCCTTTCTCTTACATTATACCTATTGATAATTTGGTGTTCTTACACAAAGGGTTAGGGCATTGTGTTATGAAAACTGTAATTAAAAACCACAATTACTTTTGCACCAACCGAATAAAATGTTAACACATCTAATCTCCTCTGAGAAGAAATGTATTTCATTGTTTTTACTTATGTAGCCCGATAGTGTGAAAGATGCCAATTTATAGAATAAGTCATCTAAGTATACTTAGAAAATAAAATAACAACTTGAACTGACCTCTGGATTGCCTCCAGAAAGAGTCAACTTTGTGTACTAAACAAATGTCATCTTAAGTCAGAAAGTGGTCTGAACGAGGCTTTTGTTTAGCCTATGTGCATTGTAATATTCTAGTGATTTGTTTGCTTTAAAAAGTGGGGTGGGAATAAGTTCTTTTGTGCTGATTATTTTTCCTGGGTTCACAATCGGGAAAATCTCTTTCCTTTTTTTTTTTTTTTGGACGGATTATCGCTCTGTCACCCAGGCTAGAGCGCAGTGGTGCGATCTCGGCTCACTGCAACATCCACCTACCAGGGTCAAGTGATTCTCCTACCTCAGCCCCCTGAATAGCTGAGATTAAAGGCGCATGCCACTATGCCCAGCTAATTTTTCTATTTTTAGTAGAGACCATGCTGGTGAGGCTGGTCTCGAACTCCTCACCTCGTGATCTGCCCACCTTGGCCTCCCAAGGAACATTTCTTAATTTAGGAGTTTCTTTCTTAACTTCTCATCGCATGAGTTTGATTTCAGTATGTTATCTGTTAGATAAATAATCATTACTGTAAATGGATTCAGAAAATCAAGGGTAGAGCAGTTTGAATTAAACTCGAGTGTTCACCACCAAGCCAATCCTAAGTACTTGTGGATTTCACTCAAGTAACCCATGGAGTAAAGTTTTCGTGATTTCTTGCCAAATTCTAATATGAAAATAAAGATATGTACTGTACTTTCTATCACTATTATATTTTCTTTATAGTATATAAAATAGGACAAAGTGTCATTTATCTTTGTTATCATGTTGTTTTCTTTGTCTTGTTAGGACAGGTTTTTAATAATTTGTTTTAACATGCTCTCTTCAGATTCTTATACTCTTGGAGTGTTTCTTTATATCAGATGCCTTGTGCCTTTTGATATTTATTTTTAGCTTAATTTAGCTTCATTTTAATATATAAAACACTTCATCACCGTGACTTCCTAAGTTGCCGTTTCTTCTATTCTGTTTAAGCTCAGGATATACATTCCGTTTTAGAGACAGTTTTAAGTTGATACTGTTAAAAGATTTTATGCCCTCTGTTGGTTCTTTGATAAATTACAAGATATATTTTGATCAGTAGGCATGTAATATTTTTAATTTCATTTCATTTAATTCTATTTTTCCTTTTTTAGAGACAGTGTCTCACCCTGTTGCCCAGGCTGAAGTGCTGTGGTGTGATCATAGCTCACTGTAGCCTTGAACTCTTGGGCTCAAACAATCCTCCTTCTGCAGCCTCCTGAGTAGCTAGGATTACAGGCACATGCCACCATGTCCAACTAATTTTTTAAATTGAATTTTAAAATTTTTTTTCTCTTTTATATGTATATTTTTTATTTTTATAGAGACAGGGTTTCACTATGTTACCCAGGGTGGTCTCGAACTCCTGGGTTCAAGCAATCCTCCTGCCTCAACCTTCCAAAGTGTTGGGATCACAGGCGGGAGCCACCGCACCCAGCCAACAAATGCTTCTCTGTCTTTATGGATTATATGTATATATTCTACCTCTATTTACAGCTTTTTTGACCCTAGGCAAGTTAATCTTTGCATGCCTCAATTTCCTCAGCCATAGAATAATGGATGATAATAGCTTATTTTATCAATTCTAAGACTAACTTTTTTCCCTACATTTTAATATACCTGACATCAGAGCATGCCTCACTGTCAGCATTAAAAAGTACCATTGTGACTTAGATTACTTGGCAGCATTTTTCTATGATGGATAAAATAATGATGATGTCTTCCACTAGATAGAATATCACATTAATACCTGTATCCTAGGGTTTTGTGGGGGTTAACTGAGTCAAGATACATGAAATGCTTAGAACTGTGAATGGCTAATGTTAATCACTTAATAAATGTAATACACTAGCTGGGTATGGTGGCGTGCACCTGCAGTCCCAGCTACTAGGGAGGCTAAGGCAGGAGGATCACTTGAGCTCAGGAGTTCAAGGCTGCAGTGACTATGAGGATGCCCATAAATAGCCACTGCACTCCAGTGCTGCGCTGCACAGTAGGCCCTTTCTCTAAAATATACACATATGTAATATATATAAATAGAGATCTCTATTCGTATAATATGTATATGTGTTATATATAACATATGTTTATATATGTTACATCTAATGTTTTATGTTGTTTATACATGTTTACATATGTTACATATAATATATGTAGATATAATATGTATATACTATATATGATATAATATATAATATGTAACATATAGAGATCTATATTTATATATAACATATACATTACATATAAGTGGAATACATATGTAATATAATATCATAATACATATAATATAAATTATATGTAACATATAAATAAGAGTTTTATATTTATAATCTATTAGTATTCTAATCTGTGGATGGATTACAAATTAACTAGTCCCCTCCTCACATTGAAACTATAGATTGCTTCTAATTCTTCTATATATACAGCATTGACTATTCTTCTATGTAAACCTTCATGTGCATCTCTAATTAGGATAGATTTCTAGTAACGGAATTACTAGATCAAAAAGCATGAACAAATTTAAGGGATGGATCATAGTGATTAGAAAGTCAAACCTGTGTGAGAATCACCACTTGAGTTGTTTTGGATTCCCATATATATGTAAAAACACATGGTATTTGTCTTTCTGTACTTGACTTATTTCACTTAGCATAATCTCCAATTCATCCATGTTGTCACACATGACAAAATTTCCTTCTTTTTTTCTCCTTTGTTTTGGAATTACTATAGCTTTGTAGTATAGTTTTAAATAAGGTAGTATGATTCTTCCAGCTTTGTTCTTTTTGTTCATGATTTCCCTAGCTATTTGGAATTTTTGTGTGTATGTGTGTGTGGTTCCATATGAATTTTAGGATTTTTTTTCTATTTCTATGAAAAATGATATTGGAATATTGATGGAAATTGCATTGAACCTGTAGATAATTGTGGGTAGTAAGGACATTTTAATAATGTTAGTGTTTTCAATATATGAACATGAGATATCTTTTCATTTATTTTTGTTTTTTTCAGTTTATTTCATCAGGTCTTATATTTCAGCATATAGATCTTTCACCTCCTTGGTTAAATTTATTCCTAAGTATATATTTTTTTGGTAGCTGTTGTAAATGAGATTGCTGTCTTCTTTTTTTGGATAGACTTTTCCTAGTGTATAGAAATGCTATTGATTATTGTGTGTTGATTTTGTATTCTACAAATGTACTGTATTCATTTATTAGTTCTAACAATTTTGCTGAAGTCTGCAGGAAATTCTATAGAATAAGATTATGTCATCACCAAACAGTGACAATTTCATTTCTTCCTGTACTATTTGGATGCCTTTTAATTCGTTCTCTTGCCTAATTGCTCTGGCAATGACTTCCAGTACTATTTTGAATAGAAGTGACAAGAGTGGGCATCCTGGTCTTGTTCCAGATCTTAGGGGAAAGGCATTCGATTTTGAGTATAATGTTAGCGATAGGCTTCTCATATATGGCACTTATTGTGTTGAGGTACATTCTTTCTATACCTAATTTGGTGAGAGTTTTTATCATGAAAGGAAGTTAAATTTTGTCAATGGTTTTCCTGCATCTAATGAGATAATTATTTGGTTTTTGTGCTTCATTATGTTAATGCAATGTATTTATTGATTTGCATGTGTTAAGGCATCCTTGCATTCAAGGATAAATCCTATTTGATAGGTGGTGAATGATAGTTTTAATTTGTTGTTGAATTCAGTGCGCTAGTATTTTCTTGAGGATTTTTGCATCTAAGTTCATTAAGCATATTGGTCTGTAATTTTCTTTTCTTTTAATTTTCTTGTCTGGTTTTGGTATCACGGTAATGCTGGCCTTGTAAAAAGAGCTTGGATGTATTCCCTCATCTTCATTTTTTTTTTTTTTTTGGAAGAGTTTGAGAGGCACTGGTATTAGTTCTTCTTTATATGTTTGGTGGAATTCAGCCATGATGCCATCCGGTCCTGAGCTTTTCTTTGATTGGAAGTTTTTTATGACTAAATTTCCTTACTCATAATTGGTCTGTTCAGACTTCCTATTTCTCCCTGATTCAGCTTTAAAAGGTTGCGTGTGTTTAGCAATGTATTCATTTCTTCTAGGTGATCCAATTTTTTGGCATATACTAGTTCACAATAGTCTCTTATGATCCTTTGAAATATGGTGTCAGTTGTAATGTCATAATGTCTCCTCTTTTATTTCTGATTTTACTTATCTGAGTCTGCCCTTTTTTTCTTAAAGAGTCTAGCTAAAGATTTGTTGTTTTTATTTATTCTTTCTAAAAACAAAAACTCTTAGTTTTGTTAGTCTTTTGTATTGCTTTTCTCATGTCTATTTCATTTTTTTCTGCTCTAATCTTTAATAATTTTTCTTCTGCTAACTTTGAGTCTAGTGTGTTGTTCTTTTTCTATTTTCTTGAGGCATAACGTTAAGTTGTTTATTTGAGAGCTTCCTTTTTGATATAGGCATTTATTGTTAGAACCTTTTCTCTAAGAACTGCTTTTGCTACATCCCGTAAGTTTTGGTTTGTGATGTTTCCAATTTTATTTGTCTTGAGATTTTTTTTTTTTTTTTCCGACGGAATCTCGCTCTGTCGCCGAGGCTGGAGTGCAGTGGCACCATCTCGGCTCACTGCAACCTCCGCCTCCTGGGTTCAAGCTATTCTGCTGCCTCAGCCTCCCGAGTAGCTGGGGTTACGGGGCACCCGCCACCACGCCCGGCTAATTTTTTGTATTTTTAGTAGAGGCAGGGTTTCACCGTGTTAACCAGGATGGTCTCCATCTCCTGACCTCATGATCCGCCCGCCGCGGCTTCCAAAGTGCTGGGATTACAGGCACTGCGCCCGGCCATATTTTTTTAATTTTTAATTTTTGTGGTTACATTGTAGGTGTATATATTTATGGGCTATATGGGATATTTTAGTACAGGCATATAATGTGTAATAATCACACCAGGGTAAATGAGGTATCCATGACTTCAAGCATTTATCCTTTGTGTTATAAACAATCCAGTTATACTCTTTTAGTTATTTTAAAATGTACAATTAAATTATTATTGACTATAGTCACCCTATTGTGCTATCAAATACTAGATCTTATTCATTCTTTCTTATATAGCAATTTTTTGTACCCATTAACCGTTCCCACTTTGCCACCCCCCATAACTCACTACCCTTCTCAGCCTCTGGTAACCATCAACCTACTCTCTAATTCCATGAGTTCAATTGTTTTAATTTTTGGCTCCCACAAATAACTGAGAACATGCAAAGTTTGTCTTTCTGTGCCTGGCTTATTTCACTTAACATAATTACCTCCAGTTGTCTCCATGTTATTGCAAATGACAGAATGTCATTCTTTTTTATGGCTGAATAGTACTCCACTGTGTATATGTATTTTCTTAGTCTATTTATGTGCTGATGGACACTTGGATTGCTTCCACACCTTCACTGTTGTGAATAATGCTGCAGTAAACATGGCAGTGGAGATAACTCCTCAATATAGTACCTTCCTTTCCTTTGGGTGTATACCTAGTGTTGGGATTGCTGGATCATATAGTAACTTTGTTTTTAGTTTTTTTGAGGAACCTCAAAATTATTCTCCATAGTGATTGCACTAATTTACATCCAGTTTATGAGGGCCCCCTTTTTTCCATATCCTCACCAGCATTTGTTATTTCCTGTTTTTGGGATAAAAGCCATTTTAATTGGGGTGAAATAATATCTCACTGTAGTTTTGCATTTCTCTGATGACCGTGATGTTGAGCATCTTTTCATATACCTGTTTGCCATTTGTATGTATTCTTTTGAAAAAACATCTATTGAGATATTTTGCCCATTTTTAATTGGATTATTAGTTTTTTTCTATAAAGTTGTTTGAGCTCCTTATATATTTTGGTTATTAATCCCTTGTCAGCTGGATAGTTTGCAAATATTTTCTCCCATTCTGTGGGTTGTCTCTTCACTTTGTTGATTGTTTTCTTTGCTGTGCAGAAAGTTTTTAACTTGATGTGATCCCATTTGTCCATTTTTGCTTTGGCTGCCTGTGGTTGTGGAGTATTACTCAAGATCTTTGCCCAAAGTTTTCTTTTAGTAATTTCATAGCTTGAGGTCTTAGATTTAAGCCTTTAATCCATTTTGATTTGATTTTTGTATATGGTGAGAGATAGGAGTATAGTTTCATTATTTTGCATATAGATATCCAGTTTTTCCAGCACCATTTATTGAAGAGACTGTCCTTTCCCCATTTATGTTCTTGGCTCCTTTGTCAAAATTGAGTTTACTGTAGATACATGGATTTGTTTCTCAGTTCTCAGTGGATTTGTTTCATTGGTCTATGTGCTTATTTTAATGCTAGTACCATGCTGTTTTGGTTATTATAGCCCTGTCGTATAATTTGAAGTCAGGTAATGTGATTTATCCAGTTTTGTTCTTTTTGCTCAGGAGAGCTTGAGCAAAAAGCTATCCTTGAGCTTGGCTGTTCCTGGTCTTTTGTGGTTTCATATAAATTTTAGGATTGTTTTTTCTATTTCTGTGAAGCGTATCCTTGGTATTTTGACAGACATTGCATTGAATCTGCCAATTATTTTGGGTAGGATGAACATTTTAACAGTAGTGATTCTTCCAACCCATGAACATGAAATATCCTTCCATTTTTGTGTGTCCTCTTCAATTTCATTCGCCAATATTTTATAGTTTTTATTGTAGAGATCTTTCACTTCTTTGGTTAATTAATATGTATTTATTTTATTTGTATCTAATATAAATGGGATTACTTTTTTGATTTCTTTTTCAGATTATTTGCTATTAGAATATGGAAATACTACTGATTTTTGTTAATTAATTTTGTATTCTGTAACTTTGCTGAATTTTTTTTATCAGTTCTAATAGTTTTTTGGTGGCATCATTAGGTTTTTCCAAATATAAGGTCATATTATCTGCAAACAAAGAAAATTTGACTTCTTCCTTTCCGATTTGGATGTCCTTCATTACTTTCTCTTGTCTGATTGCTTTAACTAGGATTTCCAGTACTATGTTGAATAGCAGTGATGATAGTGGGCATCCTTGTCATGTTGCAGATTTTAGAGGAAAGGCTTTCAGTTATTCCACAGTCAGTATGATACTAGCTGTGGATCTGTAGTATATGGCTTTTATTATGTTGAGGTATGTTCCTTCTATAGCCAGCTTTTTGAGAGTTTTTTTATGAAGGGATGTTAAATTTTATCAAATGCTTTTTCAACATCAATTGAAATGATCATGTGGCTTATGTCCTTTCTTTTGATATGATGTATCACATTGATTGATTTGCATATGTTGAACAATTCTTATTTCCCTGGGATAAATCCCACTTGGTCATGATAAATGGTCTTAATGAGTTGTTGAATTCAGTTTGTTTGTATTTTCTTGAAGACTTTCACATGTTCACCAGGGATTTTGACCTTTATCCTTCCTTTATTGATGCATCTTCATCTGGTTTTGGTATCAGGGTAATACTGGCCTCATAGAATGAGTTTGGAAGTGTTCCTTCCTCCTCTATTTTTTGGAATAGTTTGAGTAGAATTGGTATTAGTTCTTCTTTAAATGTTTGGTAAAATTCAGCAGTGAAGGCATTGACTCCCAAGTTTTTCTTTGCTGGGAGACTTTTTATTACAGCTTTTGTCTTGTTACTTGTTATTGGTCTGTTCAGGTTTTGGATTTCTTCATGGTTCAATCTTGATAGGTTGTATGTGTCTAGGAATTTGTTCATTTCTTCTAGGTTTTCTTATTTATTGGCCTATAATTACTCATAGTAGCTGCTAATGATCCTTTGAATTTCTGCACTGTTGATTGTAATTCTCCTTTTTTATTTCTGATTTTATTTATTTGAGTCTTCTCTCTTTTTTCTTAGTCTGGCTAAAGGTTTGCCAATTTTGTTTATCTTTTCAAAAAGCCAATTGTTTGTTTTATTTATCTTTTATATTTTTTCTTTGTTTCAATTTCATTTATCTCTGCTGTGATCTTTATTATTTCTTTTCTTCTACTAACTTCGAATTTGATTTGCTCTTGCTTTTCTAGTTCTTTAAGATGCATTATTAGGTTGTTTACTTGAAGCTTTTCCTTTTATTGATGTAGGTTCATTTCTATGCTGCTGATAAAGACATACCCGAGACTGGGAAATTTACAAAAGAAAGAGGTTTAATGAACTCACAGTTCCATGTGGCTGGGGTGGCCTCATAATCATGGAGAAGGTGAAAGGCACATCTCACATGGCAGCAGACAAGAGAAGAGTGAGAGCCAAGTGAAAGAGGTTTCCCCTTATAAAAGCATCAGATCTCATGAGATTTATTCACTACCACAAGAACAGTATGGGGGAAACTGCCCCCACAATTCAATTATCTCCCACTATCTCCCATAATACAAGGGAATTATGGGAGCTGCAATTTCAGATGAGATTTGGGTGGGGACACAGCCAAACCATATCATTCCACCCCAGCCACTCCCAAATCATGTCCTCATGTATCAAAACCAATCATGCCTTCCCAACAGTCCCCCAAAGTCTTAACTTATTTCAGTATTAACTTGAAAAACCACAGTCCACAGTCTCATCTCAGACAAGGGAAATCCCTTCCACCTATGAGCATGTAAAACCAAAAGCAAGTTAGTTACTTCCTAGATACAATGGAGGTACAGGCATTGGGTAAATACAGCCATTCCGAATGGGAGAAATTGGCCAAAATGAAGGGGCTAAAGGCCCCATGCAAGTCTGAAATTATTTTCTCGTAATTCTAGAGGCTAGAAGTCCAAGATCAAGCAATGTTCCATCAGGGTTGGTTTCCTGTGAGATCTCTCTTCTTGGCTTATAGATGGCCATCTTCTCACTCTGAGGTCTCTTGGCCTTTCCTCTATGCTGGCACAGAGACAGAGAGAAAGATACACACACACACACACACACACACACACACACACACACAGAGAGACAGAAGGAGAGACAGAGAGAGATCTAGATCCAGTGTCTCTTCCTCTTGTCATAAGGATACCAGTCTGCTACGGGTTTGAATTTGTCCCCCGAAGTCCATGTGTTGGAAACTTAATCCCCAATGCATCAGTATTGAGAGTGTGGGAACTTTAAATGGTGAGTCATGAAGGCTTCACCCTCATGAATGGATTAATGCTGTTATTGGCAGGAGTGGGTTAGTTTTTGCCATTACCCCACCCCCACCCCCAGTTTGCATTCCCTAGCCCTTCCAATAATTGTGGAAGCACATAATTTCTTATCTTAAATCCTATTTCTGATTGAAATATCAAGAGGATATTCTGTCACCTGTAACCTCCTTATACCCTAAAAATTTGTGTGAAGGTGAAATAATAGAGTCCTTAGAAGTCTGATAGAACTCAACGGAGCCTGATGATTTCTTTGTGGGAAGATTTTAAATTATTGATTTAATTTTAAAATTGATTATAAGACTATCTATATTTTATTTCTTCTTGAGTCAGTGTTTCTGTTTGTTTGTTTGTTTGTTTGTTTGTTTGTTTAAACAGAGACAAAGCTTCACTATGTTGCCCAGACTAGTCTAGAACTCCTGGTCTCAAGCAATCTGCCCACCTCAGCCTCCGAAGTGCTGGGCTTACAGGTGTGAGCCACCTTGCCCAACTGAGTCAGTTTTAATAAGCCATATTTTTCTATTTCATCTACAGTTTCAAATGTATTGACATAAAAATATTCACAATATTTTTCATGATCTTTATCATTTCTACTATATCTGGATTATTAATACCCTTTGTTATTTCTAATATTAATAATTTGTGTCGTCTCTCTTTTAATCAATCTTGCCAGCCATGGGTCTAGCTTTTTTTTTCTTTTTTCCAAAGACAAACTTTTGGCTTTGTTTTCCATTTCATAGTTTTTGTTCTTTAGAATATCCATCTTTCTACTTTATTTGGATTGTGATTTGTTTCAATTTCTCAAGCTTCATTCGTAGCTCATTAATTTTCACCCTTTGCTGTCTTCTAAAAAACATTTAGAATTTTCTTGTATACGCTACTTTCAATGTATCCTACAAGTTTGATAATTTTACTATTTTCACTTCATTATTTTAATGCATTTTAATTATTGTTATTTTGAAAATTTGCATTTCGTTGCTTTTTTGATCTCTGAGTTATTTAGAAATGTTTGTTTCTCTAATTTCCAAAAGTAGGGGACATTTTGTTTATACTTATGTTATTGATTTTAATTTCCTTGTGGTAAAGAGCATGGCGTTACCAAGTTGCCCATGCAGTTGAGATTTTCCGAGCATGGAGTTACCAAGTTGAGCAAGGAGTTGAGACTTTCTTTGCGCTTAACACTTGATTGGTTTTTTTGTAAATGTTCTATGTATGCTTGAGAAAAATGCATTTTCAGAGTTCTACATTTGTTCAATAAGTTATAGTAGCTAATTTTTGTGCCAATCAAAATATTGTTTCCTAATTATTATTATTATTATTATTATTATTATTATTATTATTTTTGGAGATGGAGTCTCACTCTGTAGCCCAGGCTGGAGTGCAGCGGTACAACCTTGGCTCACTGCAACATCCACCTCCCGGGTTCAAGCGATTTTCCTGCCTCAGTCTCCCGAGTAGCTGCGACTACAGGTGCTCGCAACCATGTTTGGTTAATTTTTGTATTTTTAGTAGAGTCAGGGTTTCACCATGTGGGCCAGGCTGGTCTCAAACTCCTGGCCTCCAGTGATCTGCCTGCCTTGTCTTCCCAAAATGCTGGGGTTACAGACATGAGCCACTGCGCCTGGCCCCTAATTATTTTTTATCTCCTTAACTTTTCACTGAAAGAGGTGTGTTGAATCTCTCACAGTGATGATAGATTTGTTAGTATCTTCTGAGAGTTTAGCAATTTTTGTGTAATTTTGATGCTATTTTTAAGATTGCTTAAACTTTAGAATAATTATATACACAATTTATCTTTATGTAGCACTCTCTATCATCTCTAATAATGCTTTCCATTCTAGTGTATTTTGTCGGCTGTTTTTATATCAAATTTAGGTTTCTTTTGAGTGGTTTTACTGGCATATCATTCTCCATTCTTTCATTTTCGATACTCTGTGTCCCTGTGTTTTAAGTATGTCACCTGCAGACAGCATATTGCTGTATTTTTCACAATCTTATCTCTGTTCGTTAACCAATGAGTTTGGTTCATAGACATTTCTTGTGATTATTGATATGTTTAAACTTGTTTCTATCATTTTGTTTTTGCGTTTGTTCTGCTCTTTCTATATTTTCCTTTTTAAATTGAGTATTTGTTGTTTATTTTTAATTCAATTATTAAAGTTTATACTGGCATTTCTACACTATTTCTGTTCTTTCAGTGGTTATCCTTGCAATTTTAACACACATATTTAATTTAACGAAGTCTAAACTCTCCTGAATCACACAAAACATTTGAACTTTGTTTACTGTTCTTCAACTTATGAATTCTTGTTATCCACTATTTTAGTTCTGTTCATTGCTTAATTCTACAAATGGAATCTTAGTTATCACAGATAGTATTCATATTTACAAACATGTTTACTATTTTACTTGGTCTACATTGCTGCGTTCATTTCAGAAATGTTACGTGCTGGGCATGATGGCTCACGCCTGTAATCCCAGCTCTTTGGGAGGCTGAGGCAGACAGATAACCTGAGTTTAAGAGTTCAAGACCAGCCTGGCCAACATGGCAAAAGCCCATCTCTACTAAAAATACAAAAATTAGCCGGGCGTGATGGCGTATGCCTATAATCCCACCTATGCAGGAGGCTGAGGCAGGAGAATCTCTTGAACCTGGGAGATGGAGGTTGCAGTGAGCCGAGATCATGCCACTGCACTCCAGCCTGGGTGACAGAGCAAGATCCTTTCTCAAAAAAAAAAAAAAAAAAAAAATATATATATATATATATATATATATATATATATATATATATATATATATAACTTTTCATCTTTCATAATGCAGGTCCCCTGGCAGGATTCTGTCTGGTTTTGGCCATCTGAAAGTAACTCTATTTAACCTTAGTTCTGGAAATATCATATTGCTTGATTCTGGAAGGTTATGGTTATATTCTCTTAACATTTTGAGGTTATCTCATGGTAGTCTAATGTCTGGCGTTGCCATTGAAAAGATCGTGGTTAGTTATATTGCCAGTTCTTTCCAAGAGCTCTGCTTCTCCTCTAGCTCCCCACTCTTTCTGTTTGTCTTAGAAGTTCTGGAGTTTCATTATAACAGATTTATGCATGCCTTTTTTTTTTTTTTTTTTTTTTGAGATGGAGTCTCACTCTGTCACCCAGGCTAGAATGCAGTGGAGCAATCTTAGCTCACTGCAACCTCTGCCTCCTGGATTTAATCGATTCTCCTGCTTCAGACTCCTGAGTAGCTGGGAATACAGGCAGACGCCACTATGCCCGGCTAATTTTTGTATTTTTAGTAGAGACAGGGTTTCATCATGTTGGCCAGGCTGATCTCGAACTCCTGATCTGAGATTATCTGCTGCCTCGGCCTCCCAAAGTGTTGGGATTACAGGCGTGAGCCGCTGCGCCCAGCCTATGCATGCCTTTTTTGTTTGTTTGTTTTAATTATTCTCTTTAGACTATATTGTGCTTCTTGAATCTGTGGATTCTTTTTATCAATTCTGGAAAATTATCAACTATTACTAGCCAAATACTGCTGTTTTGATATCCTTGGTTTTTTATTTCCTTTCATAAGACTGATTACATATACAGTGAACCTTTTCATTTCTGTCCTCCATATTTTTAATTTCTTTGGCAGAAATAACTATTTGTTTACATTTCCCAGCCTCTGCTGAAGCTAATTCTGAATTCTGGTAAACATAATGTAAGCCACCCGTGTGCATACAAATTTCCCATATAAAAGCCTAAACAAATATTGGCTAATGAAATTCAGTAAAAATTAAAAGGATAATCCATCAGGGCTAAGTGATTTTTATATTAGAAACATAAGGTCAGTTTTACACTTTAAAATCAAAGTCAAGGAGAAAAAAATGAATGATCATCTCAGTTGCTACTGAAAAATGAGATGAAATAAACCAACCACCTATTCATTATGGAACCCCTCAACAAACTCTGAATAGAAGGAGAATCTCATAATCTAAAAAATGCTATACATAATCAACTTCCTATAACTAACATCATACTAAATGGAGAAATATTGAGTGTTTTCCCCTGAAATAAGAAAGTATTTCAGTATGAAATAAGACAAAGTCTGAAATAAGACAAAGATGTATTATATTAACACTTCCAGAAAACATTACCCAGAGATCCTATCCAGTGTAATTAGGCAAGAACAAAAAAGCTTGGAAAACCTGGGGAGAAACTAATTTTAGAAAGTAGAATCTTAATGAGCTGCCCAAATTTGAGAATTTTACTCAAGAATGCCCTGACTTGGCTAGGCGTACAGCTCCATCAGTGAAGGCACACAGAAGTAAGGACGTTACAGTTGGAAGTCACAATCATCCGTTGCATTTCTATATGCTTAATAATTTTATTGTTAAGAAATTGACATAGGAATTCTGAAAATCACAACCTAACAATTCTGAAAAAGAAGTTAAGAAAATATGTTCATTTACAATTTTATCAAAAAGAATAAAACACTTAGGATAAACCTAGTCAAAGTGGTTAAAGACTTGTATACTGAAAACTACAAATCATTGCTGAAAGAAATGAAAGACAAAAAAAAGTGGAAAAATCCTGTGTTCATAGATTGAAAGGCTTAATTTATTATGCTGTCAATACTACCCAATGCAATCTTCAGAGTCAATGCAATTCATATCAAAATCCAAAATGACATTCTTTTGTGGAAATAGACAAATTCATTCTAAAATTTATATGGAATCTCAAAGGACCCTGAAGAGTGAACACAACTTTGAAAAAGAAAGACAAATGGAAGGACTCACACTTCCTGATTTTAAAATTCACTACAAACCTATAATAGTCAATGCTGTACTGGCATAATGATAAACATGATAGACCAATGTAATAGAATAGAGGTGCCAAAAATAAACTCTTACATATATGGTCAATTTATTTTTGACATGGGTGCCAAGACCATTACACGGGTAAAAGAACAGTCTTTTCAATGAATGGTGCTGGGAAAACTGGATATCTATATGTAAAAGAATGAAGTTAAACCCTTACCCCATAAACAAAAATTAACTCAAAATGGATCCAAGTTCTAATTGTGGGAGCTAAAATTATAAAATGCTTAGGAAAAAACAAGGGGGATAAGCTTCATGACACTGGATTTGTCAATGATTTCTTAGACATGACATTAGAAGCACAGGCAACAAGAGAAAAGAAAAATATACTGAATTATCACTTTTGGCATAATAGGATGCTATCAACAGATTTAAAAAGGCAACCCCCAGAATGGGGGAAATATTTGCAAACCATGTATCTGGTAAGGGAGTAATATCAAGAATATATAGAGAAACCCTAAAATTCAACAACAAAACAACCCTATTAAAAAATGGACAAGGGATTTGAATGGACATTTCTTCAAAGAAGATATACAACTGTCTCAGAAAGCCATGAAAAGCTGCTCAACATCACTAGTCATTAGGGAAATGCAAAATCAAAACCACAATGAGATACCACTCTAAACCCATTAGGATGACAATTATTTAAAAAAAAAAAGGAAAATAAAAAGTATTGGTAAGGAAGTGGAGAAATCGGAACCGTGGTACATTGCTGGTGGGAAGGTAAAATGGTGCAATACTATGGAAGACACTATGGTGGATCCTCAAATAGTTAAACACAGAATTACCATATATTCAAAAATACTATTCTTAGGTATATATCCAAAAAACTGAAAGTAGAGACTCAAACAAATATTTGTACACCAATGTTCACAGCACCATATTTACAATAGGCAAAAGATGGAAACAACCTAAGTGTCTGTAAACAGGTGAATAGATAAACCAAATGTGTTTATACATACAACAGAATATTATTCAACCTTGAAAACAAAGAAAATTCAAATTCATGCTATAACATGGATGAACCTTGAAAACATTATGCTAAGTGACATAAGCCAGGCTCAAAAGGTCAAATATATGATTCCACCTACATGAGGTATGTAGAATAAGCAAATTCATAGAGACAGAAAGCAGAATCGAGGTAAACAGGGGCTGGCTAAAATTAAAGGTTGACATTCCCAAGTGTTGTCAAGGATGTGGAACAACTAAAATTTTCATACATTGTTGGTGGGAGTGTACAATGATATGATGTAGTCACCTTGGACATCTACTTGGCAGTATTTACTAAAGCTAAACTTACACTTACTCTAAAACCCAGCTTCCACTTAGGGTGTAGACAGCTGGAAAGAGCATTGTTCCCACCATTACAACAACAAGAAGAAACATGAAAAAAACTTGCCTACCACTTTGTAGGACTCATTAGAGTGCTGAGAATGAAAGGCAACTAACTAGCTCCAAATCTACGGAGAATCAGGTACTCGCAGGGAGAGACAAGATGTGAGCACTTGCTTATGTGGGGCAGATGCAGCCAGGTATCAGTGAGAAGAATTAGCTAATGACCAACCTGAGCAACATAGCAAGACCCTGTCTCTGCCAAAAAAAAAATAAAATAAAAATAAATAAATAAATATATATATATATATATATATATATATATATATATATATATATATATACACACACATAATTTTTAACTAGCCAGGTGTGGTGGCACAGACCTGTAGTTCTAGCACTTTGGGAGGCCAAGGCAGGAGGATGGTTTGAAGCCAGGAGTCCAAGACCAGTGTGGGTAACATAGCAAGACCCTGTCTTTACAAAATGTCAAAAAATTAGCTGTGCATGGTGGCACAACACTGTAGGCCCAGCTACTTGGGAGGCTGGGGCAGGAGGATTGTTCAAACCTAGGAGTTCAAGGCTGCAGTGAGCTAAGATCACACCACTGCATTCCAGCCTGGCTAACAAAGCAAGACCCTATCTTTACAAAAAAAAATTAAAAAATAAGAATTAGTTGAAATTGTTAAAAGAATTGGTAAAGGCCAAGTGTGGGCTGGTGAGAAAATGTGGAGCCTATGAGATATAAAGGGAAATTGCATCCACTTGTAGGCCTTTTTTTTTTTTTTTTTTTCTCACAAACCTCACCAGGCGTTCACAGAAATGATACAGGAGAGGCCTGAGAATGTGCCCCTCATGGTGCCAGCCTGGAGGAGAACAGCAGCCACTGTGGGAAAGTTATGAAGCCCTGCACATCTTTCTTCCCTTAAATGGAACTCTTAAACTGTAAGGAAAAGGAGACAAGTCCTTTCAGAGCACTGATGAAATACCATTGCAACTGAAGAAAGGGAAAAGAAAAGTAATTCCTCCCCCGAGCTTGAGGGGTGGGGAAAGGCAGGAATACATGCTGGGCCCAGAACTATAACTACAGGAGTAGAAGGAGCTTTGGGAATCACCTCTTTCTGCCCACCCCAGACCCAGGGGCATAGTGGCTGCCTAAGACTGAAGCTTAATCAGAACAACACAGGATGATTCCCCTTACACCTCTGCCACATAACTAAAAAGTGTAAGTAACAAGTGACAGTAAAATATTGTTGGGAGAGTTGCTTCAAAACCTTCCCTGAAGTGCAGCCCAAAGGGATGGCCTAAAGTTGAAGGAGGAACAGACACTGAGAAAAACTGGCAAATGAGCCTCCCATAAACACAAGACAAGATATTGATAGAAGATTTTTTTTTAAAGACAGAATCACTCTCTGTCGCCCTGGCTGGAGTGCAGTGAGTGATCTCGGCTCACTGCAACCTCCGCTTCCCGGGTTCAAGCGATTCTTGTGCCTCAGCCTCCTGAGTAGCTAGTACTACAGATGCATGTCACCACATCCAGCTAATTTTTGTATTTTTAGTAGAGACGGGGCTTCATCATGTTGACCAGGCTGGTCTCAAACTTCTGGCCTCAAGTGATCTGCCCACCTTGGCCTCCCAAAGTGCTGGGATTACAGGCACGAGCCACTGCACCTCGCCTTAAGAGAAGATTTTGGAGACTGGTGCACAACAGACACTAAACCCAACTTAACTCCTGATTAAATTGACTCAAAGCCCATTCTAAAGGACTAGAACAAGGAAATGCATGTCCATTTATTGGCATAAAAACAATTTGCCTTCAGTCACTACTGACTAACACAAGAAAAAATTACAAGGCAAATGAAAGCAGCACATGCCAATAGACAAAGTGATCAATGGACCAGATTCAGATATGACACAGATGTGGGAACTATCATGCAGGGAATTTAAAATAATTATGATTAATATGTTAAAAGCACTAAGAAAAGGGTGAACAACATACAAATCATATGGACAATTTCAGCAGAGAGATGGACAAAATAAAAACGAATCAAGTAGAAGTGCTAAAAGTGAAAACCACATAACAGAGATGAAGAATGCATTCAGAGGCCAGGTGCAGTGGCTCATGCTTATAATCCCAGCACTTTGGGAGGCTGAGGCGGAGGATCACATGAGGCCAGGAGTTTGAGACCAGCCTGGCCAACATGGTGAAACCCCATGTCCACTAAAAATACAAAAATTAGTCGGGCCTGGTGGTAGATGCCTGTAGTCCCAGCTACTCGGGAGACTGAGGCAGGAGGATCACTTGAACCTGGGAGGCAGAGGATGCAGTGAGCAAAGAGTGCACCACTGTACTCCAGCCTGAATGACAGAGTGAGCCTCTGCCTCCAAAAAAGTAAAAAAAAAAAAAGAATACATTCAATTGACTCATCAACAGACTTGATGCAGCTAAGGAAAGAATTAGTGAATTTGAAGATATGGCCATAGAAATTGTCCAAACTAAAACAAAAATAGAGAAAAGAGTGGAAAAATAAAACAAAACAAACATTCAAGAGCTATGGGACAATAGCAAAAAATCTAATATATGTGGGATTGGAACCCAAAACAGGGAAGATAGATAATATAAGTAGAAGAAATATTTGGTTGAGAATTTACAAAATTAATGTTAGACACAAATATCAGGTCAAGAACCTCAGAGAATATCAAACAAGATAAATACCAAAACAAATACACACACAGCCCAAAGCATTTAATATTCAAACTGCTGAAAACCAAGTACAAAGATAAAATCTTAAAGGGAGCTAGAGAAAAATTCATTAGTACTCACTTGTACTCATTAGTATAAGGAACCAATGCAATGACTCTCAGTACTTCTCATGCAAAACCATCCAAGCTAGAAGCCAATGAAGGTAAAGTGCTAAAAAAAAAGTTAACACAAAACAATATAGCTCCTGGTATGTCTTCTAAAAATGTGGTTTCTTAAAAAGATCACTAAAAGTGATAAACCCTCAAACCATGAAAAAAACACAGAAGACACAAATCACCAACCTCAAGAATGAAAGAGGGGCCGGGTGTCATAGCTCACACCTGTAATCCCAGCACCTTGGGAGGCTAAGGCAGGGGGATCAGTTGAGGTCAGGAGTTCAAGACCAGCCTGGCCAACATGGTGAAACCCCATTTCTACTAAAAATACAAAAATTAGCCAGGCATGGTGGTGCATGCCTGTAGTCCCAGCTACTCGGGAGGCTGAGGCAGGAGGATCACTTGAACCCAGGAGGCAGAGGTTGCAGTGAGCCGAGATCATGCCATTGCATTCCAGCCTGGGTGATAGAATGAGATGCCATCTGAAAAAAAAAAAAAAAAAAAAAAAAGGAATGAAAGAGAAAACATTTGAATTTTTGTTTATTTGTTTAAAACAAAATAAATTTATTTCTCATGGTTCTGGAGGCTGAAAAATCCAGGATCAAGGAACTGGCAGATTCAGACATTAGAATCTTAAGGAAATCTTACTTTTGATAAGTTAAATGAAATGGGCCAATTCCTTGAAAGACATAATCTACCAACACTTACTAAAGAAGAAATAGATAACCTGCATAGCCTGTATCGAAGATTTTGAAATCATAGTTAAAAATCTTCCAACAAAGAAAACTTCAGATCCAAATGGTTTCACTGGTGAATTCTTTCAAACATTTCAGAAATAATATTATTTTTATATATTCTATTCCAGAAAATAGAATATTCATTTTATAAGGCCAAAATTATCCTGATACTAAAATCAAAGTCATTACAAGTAAAGAAAACTACAGAGCAATGTTCATCATGAACATAGATATAAAACCACTCAACAAAAAGAACATAGCATGACCAAGTGAAGTTTTACCTAGGAACACAAGGTTGGTTCAACCCTAAACAGGCAATCAGTATAATTCATTGTATTAACAAACTAAAGAAGAAAAACATATGATCATCTCAATAGATGCAGAAAAATCTTTTGCCAAAATTCAACCTTTATTTCTGTTAAAAATTCCCAGCAAACTAGCAGTGGCATGGAACTTCCTTAAACTGATAAAGGGCACCTACAAAGTCCTATAGCTAATTCCATGCTTGATGGTGATAGAATGAATGCTTTCTCCCTAAGACCTGGAATGAGGCAAGGACATTTCTTTACTCACCTTTAACTGGAAGTTCTAAATGGTACGATGAGGCAAAGAAATAAAAAAAGGATTATCTGAAAAGATTAAAAAAGAAGTAATAGAACTCTCTATTCACAGAAAACAACTCTCTATATAGAAAATTCCAAAGAATCTATTAAAAAATATCCTAAAACTAATAAGTGAGTTTACCAAGGATACAGGATGCATGATTAATATACAAAAATAAATTCTATTTTCTCTACCCTAGCTATTAGAATTTAAAATTTAAAAAAGAACACACGGACATAAGAAATATTTAGGTTGAAGTTCAGCAAAGATATATGTGGGGTCTTTATGGTACAAACTACAAAACACTGATAAAGAAGCCAAGGAAAAAATATAAATAAATCGAAAGATATACCTGATTTATGGATTGGAAGTCTCAATATTGTTAAAATGTCAGTTCTCCCCAAGTTAATCTATTAAAACTTCAGTTAAAATCCCAACAGAGCATTTAGGTTTTTGTAGATATTGAGGTTTTGTAAATATTCAGGTGTTTGCAGATATTGACAAGCTAATACTTAATTGTATGGAGAGGTAAAGGAAGTGGAATAGTCAAACCTTTTGAATTAGAAGGTAGAGGACTCACACTATTTTATTTCAGTACTTAAGCTATGATTAAGACAGTGTTATACCTGTAAGAGGATAGCAAAGAAATCAATGAAACAGAATAGAAAGCTCAGAAGTAACTCTTATCTCTGAAACAGATGTAGACAATTAAAGACAAAAAGCATAGTCTTTTCAACAAATAGTGCTTGAAAAATTGGATGTTCATATACAAAAAAAGAGTCTCAACCCATAATTCACACCTTATAAAAAATTAGAATGGATCATCAACCTAAATGTAAGACATAAAAGTAGAAAACTTCTCGAAAAAAATATATAAGAAAATCTGACCTTAAGTTAGGCACAGAATTCCTAGATACAATACCAAAAACATGATTCATAAAAGAAAAAATAAATCAGATTTTATCAAAATAGAAAACATTTGACCTGCAAAAGACACTGTTAAAAGGATTAAGGATGAAAAGACAAGCCATAGACTGGGAGAAAATATTTGCAAATCATATAACTCATAGAGGTGCGTTATTTATAATCACCAAAACTCAGAAACTACCCAATTGTCCCTCAGCTGATAAAGAGATAAACAAAACTGTGGTGTATTCATCCCACGGGAAACTATCCCACAATAAAAAGGAATGAATTATTGATACATGTAACAATGTGTATGATCTCAAATACATGTTGCTCAGTGAAAGAAATCAGACCCAAAAGATTATGTATTCTATTATTATTCCATTTGTATGATATTTTGGAAAAGGCAGAGCTACAGCAATGAGAGAACTGATCAGTTCTCCACCAAGTTGCCAAGATTTGGTGGTGAAGAAAGTTTCAGGCGGGGCACAGTGGCCCTCGCCTATAATCTCAGCACTTTAGGAGGCTGAGGCAGGAGGATTGCTTGAGCCCAGGAGTTTGAGACCAGCCTGGGCAACATGGTAAAACTTGTTTCTATAAAAAAAAATATGAAAATTTGCAGACCATGTCGGTGTGTTCCTGTAGCCCAGCTACTTGGGAGGCTGAAGTGGGAAGATCACTTGAATCTGGGAGGTTGAGGCTGCAGTGAGCCATAATCGTGCTACTGTATTCCAGCCTGGGCAACAGAGTGAAACCATGTCTTAAAAAAAAAAAAAAAAGAATTTTACTACAAATGGGTAACACATTTTGGGGGATGATAAACTTTGGTATCATGACTGTAATAGTGGATAAATGGCACTATGTGTGTTAACAAATAGAACTTTATTTCACAAAAGTGAATTTTATTGTATTTAAATGTATCAAAATTTTAAAAAACTATTTATTTTTAAAATCTGCCCTTAAGGTTGGATCCTACAGGTAATGTGAATTTGGACTACAAACCCATATAAGCAGTGACTTAAGATTATGAATTTTCAGGTTATTCCCCCCCACCGCCCACACCACCCCCTACCATCTAGTGTTAAAGTTGAGTTACATTTTCTTGTTATTTGCTTTCATGTGGCAGGTTTAACTTCTCATTCACCCATATGTTGAGGGTATACCTTCTGGGATCTCAGATTTATATAATGGGTTTCCTACTAGATGCCTCATTTAGGCTTTACCTCCTATATTAGTCAGGGTTCTCCAGAGAAATAGAACCAACGGTGGGGAGAGAGAGAGAGAGAGAGTCTCTCTGGTGTGTGTGTGTGTGTGTGTGTGTGTGTGTGTGTGTGTGTGTGTATGTAAAAGAATTTATTTAAGAAATTGGCTCACGCAATTGCGGAGGCTTGGTGATTCCAAAATCTGATGGGTGAGACTGGCAAACTGGAGACCCAGGAAAGGGTTGCAGTTCAAGTCCAAAGACAAAGCGCTGGTGAACCAGAAAAGCCAGTGTTATCAAAGAAGTCCGAAGGCAGTCTGGCAGAACTCTGTCTTGCTCAGAGGAGGTCATCCTTTTGTCTAGTCAGGCCTTCCACTGATTGAATGAGGCCCACCCACATCATGGAGGGTCATCTGCTTTTCTCAAAGTATACTGATTTAAATATAAATATCATCCAAAGACACTCCCAAAGAAACATCCAGAATAATGTTTGGCCAACTATCTGGGCAACGTGGCTCATCCATGTCAACACATAAAAGCAACCGTCACGCAGTGGCTCATGCCTGTAATCCCAGCACGATGGGAGGCTGAGGTGGGCGGATCACTTGAGGTCGGGAGTTTGAGACCAGCTGGGCCAAAATCATGAAACCCCGTCGCTACTAAAAATACAAAAATTAGCCAGGTGTGGTGGCATGCTTCTGTAATCCCAGCTTCTCGGGAGGCTGAGGCAGGAGAATCAATTGAACCTGGGAGGCAGAGGTTGTAGTGGACCAATATCACGCCAATGCACTCCAGCCTGGGCAACAAATTGAGATCTCAAAAAAAAAAAAAAAAAGCAACTGTCACACCTCCTGTCCCCAAACCCATGTGGTCCTTGAAGCAGAAGTTAAGGTCTCTAAGGCTCAGCAGAAACCTTTAGGGTAAAAAAGCCTGTTTCATTCTAGTTTCGACTTCTGATGAGTATTTTCGCTCATGCCAGTCAGCAATTCATTTAAAAGCATTCTTAATGTATTTTACCAAGATTTTTGTTGTTTCAGTTGGGAGGGGCTTTCAAGCTTTCTAAGTTTACCATTTTGCTAGTACTTGAAGAAACTTGCACTAACTGTTCCCTCTGCCTAATATATTTATCTCCATTTTTGTCGACCTACCTCCTATTGTCACTTTTCAGTTTAAATATTACCTCCTTAGGCCCTTCCTGACTTGAATCTCAGGTAGTCAGTGTTTTCCTTGTATCACCATCATCTTCTTTTCTTTTCCTTCCTTCCTTCCTTCCTTCCTTCCTCCCTCCCTCCCTCCCCCCTCCCTCCTTTGTTTCCCTTCCTTCCTTCTTTCTTTCCTTCCTTCTTCCCTTCCTTTCCCTTCCCTTCCCGTCCCTTCCCTTCTCTTCTTCTTCTTCCTCTCTCTCTCTCTCTCTCTCTTCTCACCAGGTTGCCCAGGCTCATCTCAAACTCCTGGACTCAAGAGATCCTCCTGCCTCAGCCTCCCAAAGTGTTGGGATTACAGCGTGAGACATCACGCCCATCTCCATCTTATTTTCATTCTCTGTCCATTACTTCGTAATTTCTTTTTTAATCATTATTTGTTTGATTTTCCATCTCCCCACCCTCCTATGGGATGTGTGTGACTTAGATGCCAGGACTTTTCCTGATTTATTTACCATTCATTTTCCAATGGCTTTTTCCAATGGCTATGATAGTACTCTAGATATTTGTTCAGTAATAAAAAATGTTAAGCTACCTGTTTGTATTAGTCCATTCTCAACAATGCTGTAAAGGCATACCTGAGACTGGGTAATTAATTTAAAAAAGAGGTTTAGTCGGCTTACAGTTCTGCAGGCTGTACAGGCTTCTGCCTCTGGGGGGGCCTCAGGCAACTTGCAATCATGGTGGAAGGTGAAGGGGAAGCAAGGGCGGCTTACCATGGCCAGCAAGAAGGAGAAAGTGAAAGAGGAAGTGCAACACACTTTCAAACAACCAGATCTAGTGAGAACTCTTATCACAAGAACAGCAATGGGGAAGTCCGCCCCCATGATTCAATCACCTCCCACCAGGCCCCTCCTCCAACACTGAAGATTACAATTCCACTTGAGATTTGGGTGGGGACGCAGAGCCAAACTATATCACTATTAAATAATGCCATCAGCTGGCAGATATTCAAATCCCTCTCTCTTACCTAGAAATTGAAATTAACATTTAACTCTCAGGTCTCCAAGTCCAAAGTAAAGAGGAGCAAGGAGCTCTTTGGCTGGATATCGAAAGCTAGGATTACTTCCTCATCTATGTAGTCAACAACATCTATTGAGTGCGTATGATAAGGCTAAGCTGAGCACATATGTACAATGCTGAGTGTTGGGGATATAGGGACACTGAATATACCCCCGAAGAGCTTACTTTCTGATATAATAGATAGTACATAGTATGCATACACACACATACACACACACACATACCACACACAGATATAAATGAAGTTTTGTACCAGGTACTATAGGAGCAGTTGAAGGAGGAGGGGAAGTTGGGAGTTCCTTCATGGTTCATCAAAGACTTTACTGAAGAGGTGATGTTTGAACTGCATAGGTAGTGGTGAGATTGGGCACTAGAAAACTGCTTCAAAGGTAGCAAGAGAAAAATCTAGAGCTACTCTTGGCACTATCCAATAGAAATATGATGTGGGCCACAAATACAGGTCACATATGCTATTTGAATTTTTTAGTACCCACATTAAAAAGTAAAAAGAAATGTATGAAATTAATTTTTAAATTAATTTTTATGGCAGGAAAATACACATAACATAAAATGTACCATCTTAACCATTTTGAAGTGTTCAGCTCAGTGGTATTAAATATATTCATAATGGTGGCCAACCATCACCACTATCCATCTCCAGAGCTCTTTTCATCTTGTGAAACTGAAGGTTCATCGTATATTTTATTTAACCCAATATGTCCAACATATTATCATTTCAACATATAATCATTATACAAGTTTGAGATATTAGACATTTTTTTCACTAAGTCTTTGAAATCTGGTGCATATTTTGCCTTATATCACATACCAATTTAGACAAGACACATTTCAACTGTTAATAGCCATATGTGGTTACTGGCTACCACATTGAACACCGCAGATCTAGTGGAACTTCACATTCTGCATAGATGAAAATATGGTTTAGAACAGTGCATCTCAAACTATCTCTAGTGAAGAATTGGTGTTTCTGTTGCTTTTTAAAGGAAACTTCAAGTTTGTTTTGGACTGATACTTTTGTAAAGTGGAAATAAAAAAGAATTACTGGAAAAAAATAAAATCAAGGGCCGGGCATGGTGGCTCACACCTGTAATCCCAGCACTTTGGGAGGCCAAGGTGGGCGGATCACTTGAGCTCAGGAGTTTGAGACGAGCCTGGCCAACATGATGAAACCCCATCTTTACTAAAAATACAAAAAAATTGGCCAAGCGTGGTGGTGGACACCTGTAATCCCAGCTACTAGGGAGGCTGAGGCAGGAGAACCACTTGAACCTGGGAGGTGGAGGTTGCAGTGAGCCAAGATTGCACCACCACACTCCAGCCCGGGTGACAGAGCTAGACTCCGTCTCAAAATAAATAAATAAATAAATAAAAAGGAAATGTAAAATGCAAGCTTGATTTTTAAATGTCAGATTCAATAGACATTATATCCTATACTCTTACTTTGAATTTCTGCATTTTTCTTGTCACAGGCCAATAATACAGACTTCACAGAGCCCAGACAGTCTGCAGGGATCCTGGTCTAGAATGTGGTGGGGCTCACTTGTCCTCTAATCAATCTTGTTAATTCCTGCCTCACTTATAGTTGACTAAAAAGATGGCATGCCTCTGGTGATTTGATTCTCAGAGGCCCCAGCTAGGGAAACAGTGCTGCCCTCATTTGTCCAGTAAACAAGTCTATGCACACGCAGCACGAATTCTGTTTGCACTTTCTCCAGTCTCTCAGAGTCTGGGTTAATCTATTTTTGTTTGTTTGTTTTTGTTTTCCAGGCCTTACAGAAAGTCTCTCAAAGGCAACTTCCCTCTTCAGTCTTTTTAGCACAAACTTCATGAGAGTTTCAGTTTTCCATCTCTTTTCTTTAGAGACAGGATCTTGCTCTGTCCCCCAGACTGGAGTGCAGTGGTGCGGTGGCCCAATTACGGCTCACTGCAGCCGTCCCGGGCCCAAGTGACCCCCCACCTCAGCCTCCTAAGTATCTGGGACCACAGGCTCTTGCCACCACGCCTGGCTGATTTTTTAAATTTTTTTAGAGTTGAGCTCTCCCTATGTTGCCCAGGCTGGTCTTGAACTCCTGAACTCAAGTGACCCTACTCCCTTGGCCTCCCAAAGTGCTGGGATTATAGGAATGAGCCACCGAGCCTCGCCAATTTTCCATCTTTTTAATACAATTATAACAGGGAGTTAGATTTGAGCCTAAAATGAGTTTCATATAGGATTCAAACAGATCAAAAGAATGAAAAGGAAAGTCAGCCAGTGGTCTCACTGAGTGCCTGAGGGGTCTCTTCCTGGGAGAGAGTGGACCAGGAGCATTGACACTGCTGCGACAAGAGACAGAGCCCTCGCTCCACAGGACGATGCTTACTCATGGCTTAATAACCATTTGTCCAGCACCTCCTGTGCATAGACCATGTACTTTATATAGATTATGACCTTTAGCACTTCCCCTGAAATCAGGGAGCAGGGCTAAATATAATTTAATTCTTTATTTATTTACTTATTTATTTTGAGACAGAGTCTCGCTCTGTTACCCAGGCTGGAATGAAATGGCATCATCTTGGCTTACTGCAACCTCCATCTCCCGGGTTCAAGCAATTCTCCTGCCTCAACCTCCTGAGTAACTGGGATTACAGGTGTGAGCCACGGTGCCCAGCCTATAATTTTATTCTTTGGAGGTAAAACTTTCACTTAGTTCAAAATTCAAAATTTACTAAAGGATATACAGTGAAAACACAGCAAAAAGTCTTTCTCTCATCCTGTCTCATGCCACCCAGGTGTTCTTGACACTGGCACCCATTTTTATAAGCTTCTTGTGTATCTTCCTAGACATCTTTCATGCTTCTGCAAAGACACATTTTTCCCCATTGTTTTGTCTCTCTCCTCCATTTGTCATTGTATCATGGTAATTATTCTAGATCAGATATTAAGTGTTTCCTCATCCATTTTTAGAGCTGCAAACATTTCCTTTGAATGGATAAATTATCATTTATTTAACCAGCCTCCTACTGTCAGAAATTTGTTTCTAGTGTTTTTTTTTTTTTTGCAATTGTAAACAATGCTGCAAATAATATATTGCATCATTGTTACTTGTTTTATGTATTAATGTATTATGTATTAATGTATGTGTGGGATAAATTCCTAGAAATAGACTTCCTGGGCCAAAGGGTTTGTGCATTTGTAATTTTGAGAGTACTTCCAATCTGCCTTCTCAGCAATGTGTGAGAGTGCCTATTACTTTATTTTTAATTTTTATTTTATTTTATTATTTTTTTGAGACTGAGTCACTCTGTCACCCAAGCCAGAGTGCAGTGGCAAAATTTTGGCTCACTGCAACCTCCGCCTCCCAGGTTCAAGTGATTCTCCCCGCTCAGCTTCCCAGGTAGCTGGGATTACAGGCGTGCGTCACTACACACTGGCTATTTTTTAAATTATTATTATTTTTAGTAGAGACGGGGTTTCACCATGTTGGCCAGGCTGGTCTCGAACTCCTGACCTCAAGTGTTCCTCCTGCCTCGGCCTCCCAAAATGCTGAGATTGCAGGCATGAGCCACTGTGCCTGGCCGAGGGTGCCTATTACTTTAAACCCTCACCAAGAGAGTAGCATCAATTTTTTTCTAATATAAGTAAAAACTGGTGTCATTGTTTTACTTTGCATTTATTTTCTCATAAGTTAGGTTGAGTATCTTTTAGAGTTTTAGGCTCATTTGAATTTTCTATTCTGTTAACTATAGCTTTTGTAAAACTTTTAATTATCTTTTCTATTGTTTTATGATAATTATTTCTAAATTAGGGAGATTAGTTCCTTGACTACAATGAGCCCCCTCATTTGCCATTTGTCCTTTGACTTTGGTATTGTAGCTTTTGCTATGTAAATATTTTTAATTTTATATGATAAAATATATTAATTTTTTTTTCTTTGCTTAGAGCTAAGAAAGGCTTCCCCATTTCAGGATTATTTTAAAATTATCTCATTTTTTCTTCTAATTCTTTGTGATTTTATTGCTTGCATTTAAGACTTTACAGTATCCAGAATTTGGGCCAGGCACTGGTGGGTCACACCCATAATCCCAGCACTTTGAGAAGCCGAGGCAGGCACATCACTTGAGGCCAGGAGTTCAAGAGCAGCCTGGCCAACATGATGAAAACCTGTCTCTACTAAAAATACAAAAATTAGCTGGGCGTGGTATTGCGCACCTGTAATCCCAGCTACTCAGGAAGCTGAGGCAGGAGAATTACTTGAACCCAGGAGGCGGATGTTGCAGTAAGCCAAGATGGCTTCCAGCCTGGGTGAGAGAGGAAGACTCTGTCTCCAAAACCAAACTAGCAAAAATGTATCTGGAATTTATCCTAGTATAATATATGAATAGTATCTAATTTATTTTTTTCTAGGTGGCTACCCATTTGTCCTACCACCATTTATTAAATAATCCATCTTTTTCTCAGGAATTTAAATCCTACCTTTAATATATAGTAAATGTCAATTTGTATTGGGGTCTGTTTTTTTGTATTGATTTGTCTATTCATGTGCCAATATATCATACTGTTTTAACTTTACAACTTTATGTTTTAATATCTGAAATGGCTTATCACTCTTATTTTCAGAAACTCCCTTGCTTTTTTGTTGTTGTTATTTGTTTTTTGTTGTTGTTGTTTTTTTGAAATGGAGTTTTTGCTCTGTCACCCAGGCTGGAGTGCAGTGGCTCACTGCAACCTTTGCTTTATGGACTCAACCAATTCTCCTGCCTTAGCCTCCTGAGTAGCTGGGACTACAGGTGCACGCCACCATGCCTGGCTAATTTTTAAGTTTTTAGTAGAAACGGAGTTTCACCATGTTGGCCAGGCTGGTTGCTGTCTGTTTAGTTTTTAATATGAACTTTAGAATCTGCCAATTTCCAACAAAACCTGGTTGGTATTTTTATTGGGATTGTATTAAATTAATAGATGAATTTAGAAAGAATTAACATCTACGTGATGTTTTGTCTTCCTGCAAACGTGATGTACCCTCCCATTTGTTTACATTTTTTTGTTTCTCTCAGTAGTGTGTTTAAAGTTTTCTTCATATAAATCATGCCCATTTCCTGTTAGGTTTGTTCTTAGATTGTTTATCTTTTTTTATTGCTACTATAGAGTTTTTTTTTCCATTATGTTTACTCATCTACTTTTTTTTTTTTGGTAAGAAATGGGGGTCTTACTATGTTGCCCAGGCTGAGCTCATCCTCCCACCTGGGCTTCCCAAAATGCTGAGTGACTGTTTTCAGTATTCTTTTTCTTTTTCAGACAGGGTCTTGCTCTGTCACCCAGGCTGGAGTGCAGTGGCGCGGTCTCGGCTCACTGCAACCTCCACCTCCCGGATTCAAGGGATCCTCCTGCCTCAGCCTCCTGAGTAGCTGGGACGACAGGCACCTGCCATCATGTCTGGCTAATTTTTGTATTTTAGTAGAGACGGGGTTTCACCATGTTGGCCAGGCTGGTCTCGAGCTCCTGACCTCAGGTGATCCGCCTACCTTGGCCTCCCAAAGTGCTGAGATTACAGGCATGAGCCACCGTGCCTGGCCCCAGTGTTCTTATTTTTACAGATGAGTAGACTGACACTGAGAGAGGTGACTCACTCAAAATCTCACCAAGAGTTATGGCAGAGATGGAACTTGACCCTAGGTCTTCTGATTATACCCTCTACACCAACTTGGAGATAGAAACCGTCCTCTCTTTAACATACACTTTGGTGACAGATACCTATGATGGCTCTCACATGTTTGTTCCTTCTTAGAGCTTAAAGGAACCTCAAAAATGATCTAGCCCATTCTCGTTTTAGTCATGAGGAGAATGGCGCAGTATTATCAAAGAGCAGACTGAAATTCACAGGTGCAAGGGGGAAAATAGATTTCTATGTGCTCCTGTCATCTTTGACCAATTCCTTTTTCATGAGAGCAGCTTCAAAATGTGAGGGAGGCTTCTCTACATTGGAGCTGGAAATCATAACTTGCAGCCTGGATTTACACTTTAATTGGTAATGCTATTTTATTCATGCTGCTGAATTTTTTCATGAAACTGAAATTACCAGGACGGTTTCTATTTTACATACTTGTTTAAAATACTGCATTTTGCTCTGCTACTATAAAATGCACAACAGAAAGTTGTTGGCTTTTTTCTTCTTTTTTGGTTTCAGCACATTTCATTTTATTTTAAAGTAATTGTAGTTTCTGCTGACTACCATCTTCTATTTTTTCAAGGAACCCAAGAATGGAAAGGTGGCCAGTTATTACTCTCAGGGACCTGCAGAGGGAGCTCAGTGGTTTGTTTGTTTATTTTTTTCTCCAATGCCTGTGGGTCCATTGGTTAATGTGGGAGAGCTTAGAACTATGTCATCATCAGCTTGCTGCTTATCAACTATGTATTTTTGAGGAGTCAAGGTAATTGTTCCTTTCCCTACAGCTTCACTATATAATGGATTACCACTCTGGGACCGGGTTCAGTGCATAGGTAGTTTTAGTCAAATGTACTCTGCAGTGCTTCTGAAAACCTCTGGAAAATCTCCCTTCTAGGGATGGACCACAATACATCTTCTGGCTTGGGTGCTGGGGAAATGTGGTATTAGACCAGGAAGCCCCAGAAACAAAGAAGCTTCCTACTGGGCCTGGGGATGATCATCTTTTCCTTCTTTCTTTCTTTCTTTCGTTCTTTTCCTTCCTTTCTTCCTTTCCTTCCTTCCTTCCTTTCCTTCCTTTCTTTTTCTTCTTTCTTTCTTTCTTTCTTTCTTTCTTTCTTTCTTTCTTTCTTTCTTCCTTTCCTCCTCCTCTTCCTTCTTCTTCTCCCTCTCCTTCTTCCTTCTTTCTTCTTTTCTTTTTTTTTTTTTTTTGAGATGGAGTCTTGCTCTGTCACCCAGGCTGGAGTGCAGTGGCATGATCTTGGCTCACTGCAACCTCTGCCTCCCAGATTCAAGTGATTCTCCTATCTCAGCCTCCCAAGTAGCTGGGACTACAGGTGCCCACCACCACACTGGGTTAATTTCTGTACTTTTAGTAGAGATGAGGTTTCACCATGTTAGACAGGCTGGTCCCGAACTCCTGACCTCAGGCAATCCACCTGCCTTGGCTTCCCAAAGTGCTGGGATTATAGGCGTGAAACACCACGCCCAGTCTTTTTCTTTTTTTAAAAAATAATAAATTAGGCTGAGGGTGATGGCTCACATCTGTAATCTCAGCACTTTGGGAGGCTGAGGTGGGAGGATCACTTGAGCCCAGGAGGCAGAGGTTGCAGTAAGCTGAGATCGTGCCACTGTATTCTACCCTGGGTGACAGAACAAGGCCCTGTCTCGAAAACAAATAAATAATTTCATTTGCATTTCCTTAGACTGATTTTTTTCTTGGTAAAATGTTTTCCCACTGAGTGAGGTCCCCTTAGCATCTCAACAATGAAAAGTAACAGAAGTCGTAACAGATAAAAAGCTAACATCAATTTAAAGAGCAGCATTTTATTTTTTACTGTTTAGAGACGGGGTCTCACTATGTTGCCCAGGCTGAGCTCCAACTTCTGGCCTCAAGCGATCCTCCACACTCAGCCTCCTGAGTTACAGGTGTGAGCCACTGCGCCTGGCCCAAGAGCAGCATTTTAAATCAAGGGGCACTACAATTGCAAAGCGTTCTGATCTGTTGATCTACGTAGTGCTTTTGTAAGAGGTGCTGAGAAGCCAAGGTTCTACAGAAGTGAGGAAGATATTTTTTAAAACAGTGATCTCACTGAAAAAAATCCCCCAGGTTTCCCTCCCAAAAAGCTGAAGGTATTTCCTGAGGGTGAAGTCAAACCTAAAAGGGCTATCATCCTAGTCAGACTGTGGTTCAGACTTAGGCAAAGTGAGATGAAAAATGTTCTTTCAGCAGGAATCATTTTCTGAATCTGTTATGCAGGATGATTTCATTCAAATGGGACTACCAATTTTCCAATTAAAACGTGAGACTAGAAAAGTAATATTGTAGGTGCACATTTCCTATGTGGTACAGACTTTATTTTATTTCGGTAATGGGTACGGATGCGGCACAGCCTTGATTAAACACTGAGGAACTCAATGAAGGATCTAAATTAGTTGCAGTAGAATAATTCCTGGGGCCTTTGTTAGCATGCATGAACTTATTTATGAACCAGGGAAGCCTTATTCTCGGAGGTAGAATTTTTGTAATCTTGCCAGAGGAGGCGTTTATGGTTTATATCTATGTCAAAGGCAACGTTATTGTTGTGATCTTTGTTTAACAACCTCCACCACAACAAAAAGCACCAGAACAGTATGGTGGAAGAGGCTGATTAAATTTTTAAGTTAATGTCCTTGAATTCAAGGTTGCATGACCTAAAAGCATGGCATTTGTCACATGTCTAGGTGCTCAGTAAACATATGTTGAATGAATTAAATGAATTACTTTTGTCTCCCACTATGAACTGTACACCTGGGCCCATTTCCTGAGATGACATAAAGGAAACACCTATGCGTCTCTACAGGTTATTGAGTGTCTTCTTGGGCTGGACTCAGAAAACAAAGGGTAAGCAGCTGACCCAGGGCGGCTCAGATAGCTGCCAAGAGACACAGCTGGAGACGTGGGGCTTGCGGGAAAAAACCTGGCTGGCTTGGGTGCTGGGGAAATGTAGCGTTAGACCAGGAAGCCCCAGAAACAAAGAAGCTTCCTGCCGGGCCAGGGGACGATCATCTTCTTTCTTCTTCTTTTTAAAAAAATAATACATTAATTAGGCCAGATGCGGTGGCTCATGTCTGTAATCCCAGCACTTTGGGAGGCTGAGGTGGGAGGATCGCTTGAGCCCAGGAGTTTGAGACCAGCCTGGGCAACATGGAGAAACCCCATTTCTACTTACTAAAAATACAAAAAATTAGCCAGGCACGGTGGCCTACACCTATAGTCCCAGCTACTCAGGAGGCCAAGGGAAGAGGACCACCTGAGCTACAGAAGTGGAGGCTGCAGTGAGCCATGATTGTGCCACTGCACTCCATCCTGGGTGATGGGAGAGAGACACTGTCTCAAAAATAAATAAATAAATAAAATTAATTAATTAATTCTCCCAGCTTTATTAAGGTATAACTGACAAAAATTGTATATGTTACAGTACATAATATGATGTTTTGAACTACACATACATTGTAAAATGGCTAAATTCAGCTAATGTACATATCCATTCCCTAACATATTTATCATTTTAAAAAATAATTTATTTTTTATTTTTACTTTTGAGGCATGGTCTCCCTCTGTCACTCAGGCTGGAGTGCAGTGGCACGGTCATGGCTCACTGCAGCCTTGACCTTCTGGGCTCAAGTGATCTTCCCACCTCAGCTTCCAGAGCAGCAGGGACCACAGGTATGCACCAGCATGCGAGGCTAATTTTTTTACTTTTTGAAGAGATGGTGTTTCACTATGTTGCCCAGGCTGGTCTTGAACTCCTGGGCTCAAATGATCCTCCCTGCTTGGCCTCCCAAAGTGCTGGGATTATAGGCATGAGCCACCACACATGGCCTTAATAAGGTACTTTTTTTTGTGAGGAGAACATTAAAGATCTACTCTCAGTAATTTTCAAGTATAGGCTACATTAGCTACATTGTTATTAACTGTAGTCTTCATGCTGTACAATAAATCTCCAGAACTCTTTCATTCAGTCTAACTGAAATTTTGTACCCTTTGACTAACCTCTCCCCATTCCCAGCCAAGACCATCTCCTTCCTTCTGACCCTGACTTCCACCCCCACCCACCCCCATCCAGCTACATCGATTTCTTTACTTTTGAAATTGTGTGTTATTTGTTTCAAATCTCAGGAGTAATGTGTGTTCCTTGTGAAAATAAAAACTAAAGCACAAAGGAGAAAGTTACCCATAATCCTGGTACCCAGGGCAGAGATCATGCATATTTTAGTGTATGACGCTTTCGTGCTTGTGCCTAAATATGCCTGTGTATAAATATGACTTTTATACGAGCATACATGTGTGTTTTTACAATATTAGGATGTATGATACGTATTGTTTCACATGGTTAGTGTTATTAAAACACAGTGTTTCTTAGAACATGTGTTTTATGCCTCCATAACCTAACCAATGCATGTGACATGTGGTTCTGGAGACTAACTCCATCAGATCAAATGGTGGCTCTTGGCTCTTCTATTTGATCGTTAGGTGACTTCAGGCAAATTACTAATTTCCGTGTACTTTTAGTTTTCTTTTCTTTCTCTTTTTTAATTTAAAAATGTTAATCCCATTATTTACTTAATGAGTTTCCTTATCTCTAAAATGAGAAAGATAATATCTATCTCACATTGTTGTAATGGAGATTAAAATATGTTAATCGGTAAAGTGTTTAGAACATCGCCTGGCACGTAGTGGACTCTTAATAAATATTATCATTTACCACTAATATTAGTAATATGAGCAATAGCATGAGGAGTAATTTAACAACTCTCTTAATTGTGGGATATTCAGGTCTCAGGTTTCTGATACTATAAATAATTCATTAGAACATCCTTGTAGACAAATTTCTGCACACATATCAGTATTTCCTCCAAGTATAATTGCTGGGAGTGCATATTTAAAAGTTTTGGTCCATTTTGCAAACTGTGCTCTGGAAAATTTGCACCATTTCACTTTACAGTCAACATTGAAAAGATGACAATGTACTTCCTTCAGCACTAAAGATTGTTATTTAAAAATCTGTATGTGAATTCATTTTTTCTTTAATTAGAAGAGAATTATTTTCATATGTTTATAATCAGTTGTATTAAATCTTTTGTGGGTTGCCTCCTTTTCCATGAATTGAATTAAATTGAACACATAAGTTTAATCTATTTATATTTTATATATTGTTATAATTCAGTGTATATTTTATATAACCCACATTTATTGTAATTTAAACACTTTATTTCTACCATATTATTTTGTGTTTTCTGTTTACTATATATATACATTTTCTTTTTTTCTTATTTTGTTCTTTTCTGCTTTCTACTGGAATGATTATGTTTTCTTCTTCCTTTTCTTACTTACTTGACTGCTTCTTGGGAAGGTATATATTCTGTTATTCTACTTCTATTCTTCTGTGGCTCTGTGGCTACTTTTCAATTTTTAACTTTGTTCCTGAATTAACAAATTCTTTACTTGTTTTTTTTTTTTTTTTTTTTTTTTTTTGAGACAGAGTCTCGCTCTGTTGCCCAGGCTGGAGTGCAGTGGCACAATCTCAGCTCACTGCAACCTCCACCTCCCAGGGGTGAAGCGATTCCCATGCCTCAGCCTCTTGAGTAATGGGGATTACAGGTGTGTACCATGACACCTGGCTAATTTTTGTATTTTTAGTAGAGATGGGGTTTCGCCATGTTGGTTAGGCTGGTCTCGAACTCCTGACCTCAGTTGATCCACCACCTCAGCCTCCCAAAGTGCTGGGATTACAGTTGTGAGCCACCGACTTTACTCAGTTGTTCTTTCTGCCTTTCTCTTGCACAATACACAGTTCTTGGAATGTTTAACTCCCTATCCCTCCAACTCTCCTCGATCAAACATGTCATTGTTATCTAGTATTTTATTTCACTTTTGTACCTCATTCCGAAACACTGTTATCATTCTTGTATAGCTGTTCCTTATTTAGATTTTTCTGAATGCTTACCAGTTTCATTGCTTACCATTGCTTTTACATCTTGTTTGTTTCTTCTGGGTTTGTTTCTTCCGACATTTAAAGAAATCAAAAGAATTTAAAGAAATCCTTTAAGTGCTCATTCAGTGAGAGTTAATGGGCTAAATACTCTCGGTCTTGGTTTGTCTTAAAATATATATATTTTTTCTTTTTTTTTTTTTGAGACGGAATTTTGCTCTGTCACCCAGGCTGGAGTGCAGTGGTATGATCTCAGCTCATTGCAACCTCTGTCTCCTGGGTTCAAGTGATTCTTCTGCCTCAGCCTCCCGAGTAGCTGGGATTACAGGTGTGTGCCACCACACCTGGCTAATTTTTGTATTTTTAGTAGAGATGGGGTTTCACCATGTTGGCCAGGCTGATCTTGAACTCCTGACCTTAGGAGATCTGCCACCTTGGCCTCCCAGAGTGCTGGGATTACAGGCGTGAGCCACCATGCCCAGCCTGAAAATATTTTTAAGTTTCCCTCACACTTGAACAATGATGGTAGAAATCTAGATTAAGAGCTGTATTCTTTCAGCACTCCAAAAATATTATCCCATTGCATTTTGGTTTTTATTGCTGCTATTAGAATATATTTACTATTAGCTTAAAGAATGCCCTCTCTGGTGGTGGCTTTTAAGATCTTCTCTTTGTCTTGTGTTTTGCATTTGTATCTTGATATATTCAGATGTGAACTTGTTTATTTTTCTTACAAGGTGTTGTACTTCCTGAATCCACAGATTCATGTCTTTGATAAATTCCAGAAAATTTATCTCTCTAAAAATACTGGCTGTCTTTATTCACTTAATTCTCTTTCTGCAACTTGTATTACATGTATTTAGATATTTTCATTTTATCCGAATATCTCTTTCTTAAAAATATATTTTATTGATGTAAAAATTCACATAAAATTAACCATTTAAAAGTGAAATTCAGTGAAATTTAGTACAATCACAATGTTATGTAACCACCACCTCTATCTAGTAATAACTATTTTCATCATTCTGAAAGAAAGCCTTATACACATTAAGCAATTGGTCTCCATTCTCTCATCCCCCTAGAACCTGACAACCAGCAATTTGCTTTATGTCTCTATGGATTTACATATTCTGAGTGTTTTTGCATTTTTTTATCTGTGTGCCACATGTTGTATGACTTCTTCAAATTTACTTCCCAGTTCACTGATTCTCTAATCAGCTGTGTCTAAATCAGGTGATACCTAGCTGCTGAGTTTTTCATTTCAATTACTAAATTTGTTTCTGTTTTGTTTTGTTTTAGAGATAGAGTCTTACTTTGTCACCATGGCTGGAGTGCAGTGACACAATCATAGCTCACTGCAGTCTTTCATTTTTCTTTTTTTTTCTTTTTTCTTTCTTTTACTATTATTATTACCATTTTTTGATACAAGGTCTGGCTCTAGTGTCCAGGCGGGAGTACAGCGGTGCTATCTTGGCTCACTGCAACCTCCACCTCCTGGGCTCAAGCCAATCTCCCACCTCAGCCTCCTAAGTAGCTGGGACTACAGGCGTGCATCACCATGCCTGGCTATTTTTTTGTATTTTTAGTAGAGATGGGGTTTCACCACATTGCCCAGGCTGGTCTCAAACTTGTGAGCTCAAGTGATCCATCGGTCTTGGCCTCCCAAAATGTTGGGATTACAGGCATGAGCCACTGCACCCAGCCACTCACTGCAGTCTTGAACTCCTGAGCTTAAGCAGTCCTTCTTCCTCAGATCCCCAAGTAACTGTGACTACAGATGCATGCTACTATGCTAGCTAATTTAAAAAAATATTTTAGAGATGGAGACTTGTTATGTTGCTTAGGCTGGTCTTGAACTCCTGGCCTCAAGCAATTCTCCCACTTTGACTTCCTAAAGTTCTGGGATTGCAGGCATGAACTGCCCTGCCTGACTGGATTTTTATTTTTATTTTTTAAATTTTTGTTTATTTCTTATTTTTACCTGATTTCATTTTTGATAATGTTACATTATTTTCTTATGCTTTGATTTCCTTTCTTTCTGACATTAGTCATGTCAAATACTCTTAGTTTATAATTTATAAGATTATCCAATTTTCTGAAGTCCTTGGGTTCTAATACTATTGTTTGTTATGTCTGCTGGTTCTTAATCATGGTGGATTATTTCCTCAGGCATTTTAGAGGTTTTGATTGTGAGCTCATCCTCTGTGAAAATCTCGTGCAGCCTGAGTTCAGTGCCCTGGGGGTTTTTATTGGCTGGAACCATTTTCATATTATTTTCTTGGCTTTTCGTGAACCATGCTGATAGTGTGAATTTGAACCCAAATTTGAATGAAGTGCAGTTATCAATTTCCAGGAAGGACTTTTTTTTCTGACTCCCAGTGCAGTAAGTAACACAAAAGCTCTCTTATAATGCCACTGTGATATTACATGGATATTTATCTAGTCTAATCTTTTATTGAGATTGTTGTTCTTTAAGTGTTCCTACTTGCTGTGGGAGTCTTCTTTACTTGCATGAGATGAAAACTCTGCCTTCTATCTTATCAGGAATACTAAAACCCAAGCCCCAAGGTTACTGAGGCTGATGATTTCTGGGCAGTCACAGTATCAGCTCACTCGCTCACTGCTCTGGTATTCAGCTCACTCTTTAAGCTGCATTTAAAATAATGTTTATCCTACATTATTCCATACTGCCGGATGTTTGTAATGGTTTGGTTTTCAAACCATCTCATTAAAAATGGAAGTTCCCCCCTTTTGGTTCCATTGCAGCTGACATAATGTTTCCTGTAGGATGGAACTGGAGCTTCAAGAACCACCTATGCCTTCTCCCCAAAGACTTGAAAGCCCAAATTTAGATGTGGTCTTCCTGGATTCTTATAATGAATGGAGGGTCTTCACGTAGCACAGAGAGCACAGCTCTTGCTGGAGCTGTGCAATGTGGTAGCCTTGGGTAAAGGTTCAAAGGCACAGCTCAGGACATACTGTACAGAGACTCGATGTGGTGCCACCAAATTGCTAAGAGGCAAGATAAAGCAATGGCAGACAGACCTGTCTGAGCCCCAGGGTTTTGAAATGAGCCCCAACCTTCTGGAAGTAGAAGGCCTGGAGGAAATGGTACAGATTCAAGGTGGCTCTTGGCCTTGGAAAGGTGAGTTTTTATTAAATAGTTTATATAGTCTGCCTTGTGTTGGATACTGGCTGAAAGATGCAGCCAGGGTGTTACCAGACTAACACAGGGGACTGTGTTACTCTGTTTTCCTTTGTTATAAAGGAACACCAGAGGCTGAGTAATTTATACAGAAAAGCTGTTTATTTGGCTCGTGGTTCTGCAGGCTATATAAGCATGGCACCAGCATGTGAATTAACAGAGTGAGAACTCACTCATTACCATGAGGAGGACACTAAGCCATTCATGAGGGATCCTTCCTAATGATGCAAACACTCCCCACTAAGCCCCACCACCAACATTGGAGGTCACATTTCAACGTGACATTTGGAGGGGACAAACATCAACACTACATCTGGAATGTTCACCTTCTAGTCAAAAGCAGCCAGAAAAACAGTGGTTCTGAATTTGAGTATAAAATGTCTCAATTAATAGGAATATCTGTCATAGATGTTATGCTGGTTTTGTATATTGAAAATAATGACCATTAGAGCTTGCAAAACAACAAACCCCACTTGTCCTAGATCAACCAATGAAGTTAGCAGGGCAAACTTACTATGAAAAAGGTCATATGCCAGCCGGGCGTGATGGCTCACGCCTGTAATCCCAACACTTTGGGAGACCAAGGCAAGTGGATCACTTGAGGTCAGGAGTTCCAGACCAGCCTGGCCAACATGGTGAAATCCCATCTCTACTAAAAATACAAAACTTATCTGGGCTTGGTGGCACACGCCTGTAGTCCCAGATTCTCAGGAGGCTTGAGGCAGGAGATTCGCTTGAACCCAGGAGGCAGAGGCTGCAGTGAGCCGAGATTGCACTACTGCACTCCAGCCCGGGCGACAGAGCAAGATTCTATTTTGAATTAGTGCCATGGAAACTTCTTGAACTGTAGAGAAATGCTTATTAAGCAGTTTAAAGGTTGAAATGGAAGACAGTTTTAAGAATAAAGAGATAGTTTAAGCAAAAAAATATAGGTCTCCAGACCTCTTAGTCAATGTACCTAGTCAGTTCCTTAGAGTGACAAGTATTTTTATTAATTTCATTACAGAGAGCCTGGAATTAACTGAATCAGATCAAGCTTTGGGAATAAGTGATACCCAGAAATAAATAACTGATGCAGTACATTTTCCAATAGCTCATTGACTGGGGGCAGAGGCTCTTTTATATAATTAAAGTATGTAGGTGAGCCTAGGATTACCCAGAAATGTACTGGTGACAAGTGTGGCAGCTATCTCATTATTTAATCTACCCGAAATGAATGTGCACAACTTCATGTCATTTCCTGGCCTCAGGTGCTGTGAAAAAAACGTGCCACTCTTTAAGATCTAAGTTTCCCTTCCTGAATAAACAGCTAGACCTCCTTTCCCAGACTTCCTTGTGTAACTGAAATTCAGGTTCAGTCACTTGCTGCTTGCAGAGTCCAATGAACAGGGGTGAGGTCTGGTGTAAAGAAAGTGACGTTATTCTAAGGCTTAGCTTAGGGGAAGATGTACTGGCTCCTGCCTTTAAGGGTACTGCTTCCCTTTGTGTGCAGAAAGCAGGGCTTTTAAACAGGAACCTGGCATGAGCAGCACACAGGGGAGGGAGCGATCAGGTGCAAGGTCTACATGACTCACTGTGTCGCCTTATCTACTGAGTGGTCCAGCTGGTGCCATCCTGGGCAGAGCTAGGTTGTAAGGTGGCCATTGTCTCGAGATACTCTCCAGGTGGGAGCGAGTTCCATCGTGGACATGCTTTAGGTTGCAGATTGAGTGTTGTCTCTTGAGGTGATCTCCTGGTGAGAGAGAGTCATGGCTCTGGAGCTTCTAAGTAAGCAGGCAGTTAGAGCCTCTGGGAGTATCATGTAGGGAGCATCTGGTGAAGGGAAGCTGAGGGTTTTCATTGCATTTCTAAAGAACTAAGTGAGAAGTGGGGAACAAGGAACAAGGAGGAAAGAGAAAAGAAGAAAAAAGTAATTAACAAAATAACTTTGTTCTCTTTGTCTTGAAGAAATAGGGGTATGTGTTTATACCTGGAGTTCAGTATGATCATATGACTGAGTGCTTATGAATGGACTATGAGCAGCCGTGTGTGTCTGTCATTTCCAGGTCTGGCCTACAAAAACTTTGCAGGCCAGGCGTGGTGGATCATGCCTGTAATCCCAGAGCTTTGGGAGGCCAAGGCAGGTGGATCACGAGCTCAAGAGCTCTAGACCATCCTGGCCAACATGGTGAAGCCCCGTCTCTACTAAAAATACAAAAATTAGCTTGGCATAATGGCAGGTGCCTGTAGTCCCAGCTACTGGGGAGGCTGAGGCAGGAGAATTGCTTGAACCCAGAAGGTGGAGGTTGCAGTGAGCCGAGATCGCGCCACTGCACTCCAGCCTGGTGAAAAAGCGAGACTCCATCTCAAAAAAAAAAAAAAAAAAAAAAAAGCAGCAAAAAAAAAAAAAAACAAACTTTGCAGGCATGCTCAGACATGCTCGTTTCCTCTTCTGGATGATTGAGGTGGCAACCCTCAGGAAAGCTACATGTTAAGGAGGACTACCATCAGCCGCAATCTTGGTTCTCGTATGACTACATGGGGTAGAGTTGCCCACCCAACCCTCTGTGAGCTGTTATATTTCTATGGTGTTGAGCTACTGCACATTTGGGCCTATTTTGTTATCTCAGCCTAACCTCCCTGAACTAATGCATAGTATAACCAGGATGCCAAGGATATTAGAGGTCCTGTGAGCCCCTGTGTGTGTGACTCCCAGTAGAATTATTTTTCCTCGTTCTTTGATGAAAGATGCTGTAGCACATCCCTGGCCATCACCCAGAGCCTGGCACCTGTGCTCCCTGTCCTTGCCATCTACCGCAGCCCAGTCGCCAACCAGCCTTTGTCTAAATGTGACTGGCGATTTTAGACACCTGATGATTCAAATCCCTGGGCATCTGAAACTGGCCCATGTGTTCCCCTGCCACACCCTCCTAGAGCGCTGGGTTTGACTGAGTGATTTTTAGAGGAGAAAAAACACGATTTTCATATTAAAATAAACATTCATGGGTAGAAGGCAAAACTGGATGAATTTCAAAGACCAAGCATAAGACTTCAAAGAGATTTCAAGCTTGCATTTGCAGTTCTGGATCGAGCCCTTGGACCTCCCCTGGGGCACTCGTTCACTGTGTTTTGGGTTGTCAGAACTGCACTTTATTTATTGTTATTCTAAGGGTTTTTAGGTTTTAATCCAATAGCCAAATATTTTCTTTCAATACAGTGCAGACACCTAATTCAAGTGTTGTTAAATATTATTAGAACATCAGATCATTTGTTATTGGTTTCTTTTTTCTTCCCATATCACCACACCCCCCAAAAAAAGAAGGGAAGAAAGAAATTTACTACCCTAGAATATAAACTATGAAGTAGATTTTAGATGTGAGTCTCCCAGCCCACATGGGGAAGAACCAGGCTCCCTTTTAGTCTGTGGCTTCAGAAGCCCCCTCCCCTCCCCACAATGCACTCCCAGCTCCCCAAGCCCCCACATTTCAGGAAGATGGGAGTAATCCTTCAGGCCCACAGGCCACTGGATTTCTTCACCCTCAACCTAGACAAGTCTTGAGTCTGTGTTGGAATCATGAGCAACCTGGTCGTCTTGGACAGAATGGCCAACTTCTGCTCTGAGCAGTCTTGTGTTTAATGCCTGTACTGGGCACGATTTTTTTCTCCAAAAGTTCATATCTTCTCCTGGTAGTCAGTGTATCTTCAGCTAACATCTACTCAGGGAGAAAATAATCTCCTCAGGAGCTGCCAGCTGATTTGCAAAGAACTTCTCATTTCCTGAGAGTCAACCTTCCATCAGCAGCTCATTTCAGATTCACAGTCCACACTCCCCTCACTGCACTCAGTCCTGCTTTGTGGCGTCCTCTGGGATTACTGGGCATGTGCTTACTCAACTTGGGGCCACAGTCTTCTGAGTGAGGAAAATACACCCAGGGTCAGATTTGCTTCTGGAGAGGTCTAGGGCAAAGCTGGTGGAGATGGGCCAGCACCAACAAGAGGTCCCGGAGGCAACGCCTTGGCTTGCACTCCCTGAGGACTGGGAGTTGCTGCCAATATCAGAGGAGCTGGGGCGGAGTCTCTGTGCCAGATCCCAGGGGTGAGTGCTCCACCTAGAAGGCAGGGGAGGGGGTGGTCAGGACCATGTGCAGAAATGGAGGGCAAATGGGAGAGGCTGAAAAGACAAGGACTGGAGACAAATGGAGATGCTGGGATCTTGCCCAGGGTAGGTCAGCCTGTCTATAGCCTGGAGCTCTGAGAGCAAAGCAGCAATATTTGCAATGAGAATCTCCTGATTTTTTTAAAAAAATACTTATTTTGACTAGGTAGTATATCCAGAGGGAAAACAGTGCTTGGCACTGTGGCACACGCCTGTAGTCCCAGCACTTTGGGAGGCTGAGGTGGGAGGGTCACTTGAGCCCAGGAATTCAAGACCAACCTCGGGAACATAGTGAGACCCCCATCTCTACAAAAATTAAAACAAATCAGCAAGGCATCGTGGTGCACCTGTAGTCGCAGCTACTTGGGAGGCTGAGGTAGGAGGATCATTTAAGCCCAGGAGTTAGAGGCTGCAGTGAGCCATGATCATGCCACTATACTCCAGCCTGGGAAACACAAGACCCTGTCTCAAAAAAAAAAAAAATTCTCCAAAGTGGACAAAAGGGCCTACTTTCACCTTATCCCCATGACACTCAGTTTTCTTCCCACAAAGCCACACTTCTTCTAGCTTCTCATTTATTGTTCTATAGTTTATGCATGTATAAGCATATGTGTTTGCATTATTTATTGGTTTATCTGTTTATATTTCAAAAATGGCACATTCTGTACAACTTTTCATTATTATGCTTTTGGCTGCAAGAAACTGAAAATCGCTATTAAAATAACTTAGCCTTTATTTGATGTAACAATAAGTTGAGAGGTGGGTGGTTCCAGGGTTGGGTTGAAACACACCTTGCATCTTAGAATCCTCTTACAGGGGTGGATTTCCTTCCCTTGGCTCTAGGCCACAGCCTTCTGGGAGTGCAAAATCCTCCCTGCATCATTTCACTTCCTGAGAGGTTGAGAGCAAGGCTGGGGCAGGGCCTCTTCTCGGGCCACCAGAGGACCGTGTGGCCAAAACAGTGAGTCACGGCCAATATCAGAGGAGCTGGGGCTGGATTTTCCAGCGTCAAATTGCTGAGTAGGTTCTTTCTCGGTTATTTCTCATCTTCGGATGAGGAGAGGTCTTCCTGAGCCAGCTATTAATACTTCCAGGAGGACTTGAGTTATGTTCCAGGCTAGCAGGAATCCTTTCACCAGGGCCTATGAACTCCTGTAAACTTTTCCCCACCATGTCCTGGAATCAGGCTTTGTCCATACCTTTCCCTGTCCTGTGCTGCCTTTTTTGGGTCTCAAAATTTCAGCGAAGGGCCCAGCCCTGGCCCAACACCTGTTGGCGTTGTCTCAGACGTGGGATGGATGTGTGTGCTCCTCGGGGAGGGAGCCTCCCAGCCTGAAGGACTCAGCTGTGCCCTCACGGCCGGCCCCTTGGACCTTCTCGTCTCTCTTTAGGCAGCCCTTCCTTCCTCACTACCGTGCTTCAGGGGACAGCTGACTCCCAGTCGTGTTTCTATTTCTTGTTCTGCTTGTTGTTTTCGAGCAATTCCCCAGTGGAGAAGGCGGAATACCCCATTCACTGCTGCTCTGGGAGACTGGCCGAAGCTCTTCTCTCTTCAGGTCACACCAGTGCCATTTTCCCCATGACTAATGTTTTTTTTTTTTTTTTTTTTTGAGATGGAGTCTCGCTCTGTCACCCAGGCTGGAGTGCAGTGGCACAATCTCAGCTCACTGCAACCTCCGCCTCCAGAGTTCAAGCGATTCTCCTGCCTCAGCCTCCTGAGTAGCTAGGATTACAGGTGCCTGCCGCCATGCCCAGCTAATTTTTGTATTTTAGTAGAGATGGGGTTTCACTATGTAGGTCAAGCTGGTCTCACACTCCTGACCTCAAATGATCTGCCTGCCTCAGCCTCCCAAAGTGCTGGGATTACAGGCGTAAGTCACCTCGCCCTGCCCATAATGAAAGTCTTTCCTGCCAGCCCACCCTGAGGATGACAGGCACCTGGAGATGGTATTTCAGTCCACTGTTGTTTGTCAGATTACATTAAATTTCATGTATTATTTATTTATTTTATTTATTTATTGTTTATTTGAGACAGAGTCTTACTCTATTGCCCAGGCTGCAGTGCAGTGGTGCAATCATGACTCACTGCAGCCTCAAACTCCTGGGCTGAAGCAATCTTCCCATCTCAGCCTTCCGAGTAGCTGGGACTACAGGTGTGAACCACTACACCCAGCTAATTTTTAAACATTTTTTTGTAGAGACAGGGTCTTGCTATGCTGCCAGGGTTGGTCTCAAATTCCCGGCCACAAGCCACCCTCCCGCCTCAGCCTCCCAAAATGCTGAGATTACAGGTATGAGCACTACACCCATCCCAACGTTTATTCATTTAAATAAGAGAAAGCATGGGATGGCTTCAGGGTTAGCCCCGGAGAGCCTCTCCCTGTGCCAAGCCCACAGTCAAGGGGCGAATGTGCTGCAGCACCTGCAGTATCTCCCAGGAGGGAAAAATGCCCTTCCCCACAGTGAGAGCCACTGGCATTACAGCCAAGGGGGATATCCACACTTGGGTTGTCCGAACTTGGCTTCAATTCTGGCCCATGTCTTGTCAATCTAAAACATTACTAAATCTGGCTGGGCACGTTGGCTCACGCCTGTAATTGCAGCACTTTGCAAGGCTGAGGCAGGTGGATCACTTGAGGTCAGGAGTTCGAGACCAGCCTGGCCAACATGGTGAAACCCTGTCTCTACTAAAAATATAAAAAATTAGCCAGGAGTGGTGGCACACACCTGTAATCCCAGCTACTGAGGAGGCTGAGGCAGGATAATTGCTTGAACCTAGGAGGCAAAGGTTGCAGTGAGCCAAGATCGCGCCACTGCACTCCAGCCAAGGCGGCAGAGTGAAACTCCATCTCAAAATAATAATAATAATAATTAATAAATTACTAACCTAGTAGCAGTCAAGGTGTGGTCTGAGGGCCACTTGGGGCCTGGGAAGCTGCCCTTCGGATGAACTGGATTATATTTCTGTATTCAAACTATGTTTCCACTTTGGGGAAGAAATTGATCATTTCCATATGCTTCGACAAAAGCAACTTCAACCAAACCATTCATTCTTGTCAGTTTTGGTTCTGATGAAAATGCGGACATTTAAAATGACATGTATTTTGCCCAGTGATGAAATGCACAGAGTGAAAATCTAGAAAGTCTCTGGTTTACCATGCTCCTGTCATGTGAGTGCGTGAGTAGGACTAGGGTGGAATTAGACTGTGGGCTGGTTACCAACGGTAACATGGACTTGGAAGGACGCATCAGGAGATGTCCAGTGACTACAGGTGAGTGTAGCTCACTGTGGAGACCAAGACTGTGGAAGCAGACAGCCCAGGCTCAGGGGGGCCTCTATTTCACTAGCCACAGGACCTTAGTTTTCTTAGGTGTAAATTTGGGATCATAAGACCTTCTCTGAATTTTAAATAAGAGATCTTAGGTAAAGTGGCTAGATGAATGTCAGTTTTTTAAATGAAAAATTATAGGGAGAGGGGACTTGATACCAATTCCAAAGCAAAAATATTCTAGGAAGAATAAAAGATTTGAAAAAGGCAAGGCTTCTATAAGAAACACACACTTTAAAGGGTTATAAAAATAATATATGCGAAAGCACTTTTTTTTTTTTTTTTTTTTGAGATGGAGTTTGGCTCTTGTTGCCCAGGCTGGAGTGCAACGGCACAATCTTGGCTCACTGCAACCTCCACCTCCCAGGTTCAAGCGAGTCTCCTGCCTCAGCCGCCCAAGTAGCTGGGATTACAGGAGTGCACCACCATGCCTGGCTAATTTTTTGTATTTAGTAGAGATGGGGTTTCACCATGTTGGTCAAGCTGGTCTTGAACTCCTGGCCTCAGGTAATCCACTGGCCCCGGCCTCCCAAAGTGCTGGGAGAAAGCACTTTTTAAACTGTGAAGAACTGCATAAATCTGTGGACATTTTATGATTACCATTGTGACAGCATCAGTCCGAATTAGATCTTCATTCTTTAAGAGGATCACTCACTCACCCATCAGACATTGATGGAGCATCTGCTCTGTGCCAGGCACTGTTGAGATATGGAGGAGCAGCCCGCACAGGTGGGGCTCCTGCCCTCAGAGGGCCAGGAGTTCAGCGGGACAGACAGACAATCAATAACAGTGACAGGGCGATGAAAGTTAAAGACCCCTAGGGTGTAACAGGACTTCAGAGCAGTGGCCTAACTGCCTGGAGAAGTCAAAAGGCCTGCTCAGAGGAGATAACTTAACTAACCTAGAAGAGCTCCCGGGAGGTCAGAGCCAGGGAGGGGACCTGAGGCAGGTGTGTTTGTCTGTTTTTTGTTGCTATAAAGGAATACCTGAGGCTGGGTAATTTACAAAGAAAAGAGGTTCATTTGGCTCACGGTTCTGCAGGCTGTACAGGAAGCATGGCACCAGCATCTGTTTCTGATGAGGGCCTCAGGAAGCTTCCACTCAAGATGGAAGGTGAAAGGGGAGCAGTCATGTCACATAGTGAGAGAGGAAGCAAGAGAGAGGGGGAGGTGCCATGCTCTTTTTAACAACCAGATCTCATGTGAACTCATGACCATGGGGACCGCAGGGAGGGCACCAAGACATTCATGAGGGGTCTGCCCCCATGACCTGAACACCTCCCACTAGGCCCCACCTCCAACACTGGAGATCATATTTCTTTTCTTTTCTTTTTTTCTTTTTTTTTTTAGATGGAGTCTCGCTGTGTTGCCCAGGCTGGAGTGCAATGGCATGATCTCGGCTCACTGCAATCTCCACCTCCCAGGTTCAAGCAATTCTCCTGCCTCAGCTTCCCGAGTAGCTGGGACCACAGGCATGTGCCACCACACCCGGCTAATTTTTGTACTTTTAGTAGAGATGGGGTTTCACCACATTGGCCAGGCTGGTCTTCGAACTCCTGACCTCAGGTGGTCTGCCCACCTCAGCCTCCCAAAGTGCTGGGATTACAGGCGTGAGCCACTGCGCCCAGCCTGGAGGTCACATTTCAACATGAGATTTGGAGGGGACAAACATCCACATTATTTGACAGGCACGTGTTCCGGTGTCCCAGCCAGAGGGAACAGCCCACGCAAAGGCTTGGTGGTGGGAGACAGCATGGCACAGATGAGGAACTTAGACCAGTGCTAGTTATATCAGCATGGAAGCGGGAGGAGCCACAAGAAGGGGAAAAGGATTGGAGATGTACTGGAAAAAGAGGAGCACAAAAATTATTTTTGGAGGGGAAGATAGATATTTTAGGACATGCCATCTGAGATGGCTCTGAGGGATGTAAGATGTGACAGGCACCAGCTCTGAAGCAGGTTCACCGAGGGGTTTGCAGGGGAGCTCAGAGTGTTGTATCTGCTGTTCAGTGCAGTTCCCAAAGTGTCAGCAACCCCAGCTGGGAACAGCAGCTGCCCAGGTAGGAGGGAGGCAGAAGGTGAGGGTCCTCAGGGGTCCCTTATGGGGGGGCTGAACAGTGTGGGGCACCAGCATTAGCAGTGTGGCCACCGCAGTGGCCAGCCGCAGGTTAGCACTTACATATTGGGGTTACAAAAGTCTTACACAGGTGGAGGAATTTCTCTAGGAGTTTCCATGAATTTTTTGTGACATCCATGGGTGCCAGAGGGCAAGATCTGTTCTTTGACATTTGCTTTCCAATTCTCACAGGGACCCAAAGTCAAACTGGGCAGCTGTCCCGTGGTTCCGCGGCCTCATTCCATATGGCTTTACGTTTTTAAAGTTCGCTTACTCCAAATAATTAAAATGCTTTATAGACTTTATGTAGCAGCTTCGCCAGGAGGAGGCTGTTTCAAAGGAGAAGTGACATTCATGCCGTGACTTGGGGGAAACAGGCAAGGATAGGTATTGAACGGAACCTTAGGACTTTGAAATCAGATGCACCATGTCTTTTATTGCTGCTGTTTTTGTTTGTTTGCTTGTTTTTGAGACAGAGTTTTGTTCTTGTTGCCCAGTCAGCTCACTGCAACTTCTGCCTCCCAGGTTCAGGCGATTCTCCTGCCTCAGCCTCCCGAGTAGCTGGCATTACAGGCATGTGCCACCACACCCGGCTAATTTTGTATTTTTAGTAGAGATGGGGTTTCTCCATGTTGGTCAGGCTGGTCTTGAACTCCCGACCTCAGGTGATCCACCCGTCTCGGCCTCCCAAAGTGTTGGGATTACAGGCGTGAGCCACCCTGCCCATCCTATTGCAGCTGTTTTGTTTTATGTTGTTGTTTTTAAAGATAGGGTCTCACTCTGTCACCCAGGCTGGAGTACAGTGGTGTGATCATAGCTTACTGCAGCTTCAAGTTCCTGGGCTTAAGAGATCCTCCTGCACCAGCCTCCTGAGTAGTGAGTCTCAGGGAGTACAGACGCATGCCACCATACCCAGCTTTTTTAAAAAAATTATTTATTTATTTATTTATTTATTTTTTGTAGGGGTGGGATCTTGCTATGTTGCCCAGGCTGGTCTCAAACTCCTAGCCTTCCACCTCAGCCTCCAAAGTGCTGGCATTACAGGCATGAGCTACCATGCCTGGCCTACACCTTGATTTTAACTATTGCTCTGCCATTTTCTTGCCGTTACTTGACCTTGGACAATTTATTTCCTGTGAGCCTCAGGTTCTTTGTGTGTGAAATGGAATAAGATTGTTCTATTACAGATTTGTCACATGGAGATTACAGAGTAAATGTCTATCAAGTGTCTAGCTCGGTTCCTGTTTCTCTCAGGTGTCTCCAGGTGCAGCCTGTGCATCATGGAAATGTCTGTAGGTCTGACACCTTTGGCAGGGAATGTCCTGTGGCCCCAGCTCGTTCCTTGATGTAGTCTGTGCATCATAAAATGTCACAATGGCAGCTTTGTTTATTGGCTTTCCCCAACAGCATTGGGGAAAATTGCTGCCGAGTATTTTTCCATTTATGGAGAGCTGCTCTCCATATATGTGCTGCTCTTATATAAGATTTGGGCTCAGGCTTGCTGGTTTGCTGGTGTGCATCCTATTGTCCCTAAATAGGGCAAAGAGCACCCCATGGTCCCCTGATGAATATGCAAACTGAGGGCAACTGGAGCCTGAGCAACCTCTCCTGTTTCATGCTCAACCAGTGTGTTTCCCATCCCTTATACACCTCCTCATTCAAAGAAGGATTCCAAGCAACTTACAGAGCTAGAACCAATGTAAGAAGCAATCACGAGTAGCTGAGGCAGGAGAATCGCTCGAACCCGGGAGGCGGAGGTTGCAGTGAGCCGAGACCATGCCACTGCACTCCAGCCTAGCAACAGACCGAGATGCCGTCTAAAACAAACAAACAAAAAGAAGAAATCACGAGGATGCAAAAATAAGAATAGTAACCCAAATGTAGGTCATAAGGCTTTGACTGCATTGGTAGAGGTGGCTTTCAAATTTGGCTCTGAACATCTTAGCAGCCGGGGTGGAAAGGAAAGCAGATGTAGCCAGCTTGTGATACCATCCGGCAAAACCATGTTCCCAGTACAAAAAGGAGCGTAAATCGTTTTAGCTGGTATTAAGTCTACATATATTTAGTACTCATGGGGCACACGGACCTTTTATGGAGACAGGGACTTGTTGGATTAACAAAAGCAGCAATGTTATCCCTGAACTCACTAACATTTATAATCTGATTTTTCAAGGCAATTAGTTTGTGGAAAGCCACAAGCAATATTTTGAACAGATTTCATGGAAGCAGTGGAGCCGCGGGGCATTCTGTGAGGCGCTCTGCGTCTGGTCTCTTCTCTCTGATGAACTGCTCAGGTGGCATCGGCTCATCTCAGTCTACCCCTCATGGCACATAGGAATACAAATAGACACCTACCCAAAAAATGAATGCCACCCTATGTGTGTATTTTGATCACACCCTTTAAACATTGATGAGGTTTTTGCTTGTAGTAAATTAAAAACAGTCAATCCAACAGGGAACTTGAAAAATATATGATTCTCGTTCACACAGTGAAACCATAATTATTTGTGCCCCGTTGGGAATCTCTAGGTTTCCATGTGGTTCTTTCAAAACCCCTGTAACAGAGGAGGCTCTTCAGGGAAGGCGGGGCCTGAAAGCCCTGAACGGGCATTGGGGAAAATAGCTGCACAGTTTTTCTTTTAGTGTTGTGGAGGAGGGAGAGGGAGCAGAGGTCTTGGAAATCATTGAGTACGCGGGGGGCAGAGAGGGTAGAGACAGGTGAAAGAACTGAAACACACTGAGAGGTCACAGAAAGTCCTCTGTTAACAGCAATAGCCAAAATATCTCCCGGAAATTGGGAAACATTGCTGTTATGTATAAAATTATATTAAGCTTCCAGCTCTGAGCCCACGTTTCCTCCTTCAGCCGCACATTCCTTTCCGCCACTCACTCTGCTGCCTTCTCGTCCTGTTTGTGCAACTGACATGTGATCTCTCAAAACCAAGCCTGGACTTGACTTCACTCACCGACCTTTGTTCCAAAAAGAGACCCTCTCACGCTGCAAGCTTTGGCTCCCTGGAACATGGGGCTGCCCGGGAAGAGCGCCCATTGCTTTTGTAGCAATGGCCTGGGGCACGTGGATTAGGTTTGCTGTTTTGCAGTAATGCTGCACACTCAGCCTCACAGGGTGATCCTTGACTGACAGCTGTGCTCCTCCCCAGCTGTGGGGGAAGTTACTATTCTTATCAAACAGTACGGGTCCATCATTATGTTTCCTGCAGCAACCTCACTTGATTTTCACCAAGTATTATCATCAGTACCTTCTTCCCAATTTCTCATTTTGAAAATATTCAAACGTGCAGAAAAATGGAAAAAATCATAAAGTGAAATTTTTACACTTTTGGACCAGAGTCACCAATTTTGCCCCATTTGCTTGTTCTCTCTCCAGTGCACGCTTGGGTGCACCTCTCTCTCTCTCTCTCTCTCTGTCTCTCTCTCTATCTTTCTCTTCCTCTCCCCCGGCCACTCCCTCCCTCTTTGTTCTATGTTATTTATATACATATATCCACTTCTTTTTGCTTAACTATTTGAAAATAAATTGTAGTCATCACAATAGTTCATCTCTAAATACTTCAGCATGAATCTCCTTAGAATTAGAATGGTTTCCTACCTAATTGTAGTATCATTGTCATACTTAATAAAATGAAGAATTTCAGCCAGGTGCGATGGCTCATGCCCGTAATCCCAGCACTTTGGGAGGCCAAGGCGGGTGGATCACTTGAGGTAAAGAGTTTGAGACCAGCCTGGCCAACATGGTGAAACCCCATCTCTATTAAAAATACAATAAATTAGCCAGGTGTGGTGGCATGTGCCTTTAGTCCCAGCTACTGAGGAGGCTGAGGCAGGAGAATTGCTTGAACCCAAGAGGCGGAGGTTGCAGTGAGCCAAGATTGCACCACTGCACTCCATCCTGGGCAACATGGCAAGACTCTGTCTCAAAACTAAATAAATAAATAAAATGAACAATTTCATTATATCTTCTCATGCAGTATATATTCCTTTGTCCAATTCAGGATCCTATTAAGTTTCAAGCATTGCATGTGACTGTTACTGCTCTTTAATTTCTTTATTATAGAACAGTCCACATGCTTTTCTATCTTTTGTGATGCATTTTTTGAAGAGTTCAGACCAATGGTCTTGTGCCATATTCTGCCTTCCAGATTGATCTGGTTGTCTCTTCATGGTGGTGTTTACTGTGTTCCTGGTAGCTCCTATTTTTTCCCTGTAACTCAGAGTACCTTAAGTCTAAATGTGTGATTAGATTCAGCTTAAACAACATTGGTAAGAACATTACAGAAGTGGCCTTGAAAACTTGTGCTTTCATCACATCAAGAGGCACATGCTATTAGGTTGCCCTAATATTTGTGATGCAAGTTTGATATTTTGGCTAAGACTGTGACCACCAGATCTCTCCATTGTATAGATGCAGTTTGCTGTTGTTTTCAACTGTCAAATTATCTGTAGGGGGGATACTTTGAGATTGTTTGAATACCTTGTCACTAACAATATTGTGTCCAGCTGTTAAAGAATACATGAAGATCCCTGCCTCAATCAGTTATTACATTGAGAGCTGCAAAATTATTTTTTAAATTTGAGAATCTTTTCAACATTTATTAACTGGACTTCTGTAAAAGAGGAGTTTCCTTTCTTCTTCCACCTTTATTTCTCTCTCTCTCTCTCTCTCTCTCTCTCTCTCTCTCCCCTTCACTCCCTTTCTCTCTCTTTGTGGCACAAGTCATCTCAGGCTCATCTTGTGCTTTCTCTGCCCCAGATCTAAAGTCAGCCATTTCTCGAGGGATCCCTGGTTCCTTTTAGTGGGAATGACACTTAGAAGCCAAAATCTGGGCACTGGTTGTGCTCAGGCCATTTCAGCAAGCAAAGCTGGGAGATGCGTTGTCAACATAATCATGAGTTCTTTTTTTTTTTTTTTTTTGAGACAGAGTCTAGCTCTGTCACCCAGGCTGAAGTGCAGTGGCATGATCTCGGCTCACTGCAACCTCTGCCCCCTGGGTTCAAGCAATTCTCCTGCTTCAGCCTCTAGTGTAGCTGGGATTGCAGCTGCCTGCCACCACACCCAGCTAAATTTTGTATTTTTAGTAGAGACGGGGTTTCACCATCTTGGCCAGGCTGGTCCCGAACACCTGACCTCGTGATCCACCCGCCTAGGCCTCCCAAAGAGCTGGGATTACAGGCGTGAGCCACTGCGCCCAGCCAGTCATGAGTTCTTAATGACATTTCCTGCACAAATGTCATAGTATAGGACTTCTCTTATCTTCCTTTATTTTGTATTTTCATCTCTTTTGTATTTCATCTCTTTTCTCTTACAGAGAGAATCTTGTTTCCTAAGTAGATTATTTGCTTTATCCAAAATAAAAATAGAACTGTTTTAGAGTTACATTGTGTTAGGGTTCTCCACAGAAACAGAACCAAAAGGATCTGTGTGTATGTGTATGTGTTTTTATATGTGTATCTATAAACATATATATATATATGCCTGTAACCCCAGCACTATGAGAGGCTGAGGCAGGTGGATCACTTAGGCCCAGTAGTTTGAGACCAGCCTGGCCAACATGGTGAAACTTCATCTCTACTAAAAATACAAATCTTAGCCGGGCGTGGTGGCACATGGCTGCGATCCCAGCTACACAGGAGACTGAGGCACAAGAATCACTTGAACCCGGGAGGTGGAGGCTGCAGTGAGCTGAGATCTCACCACTGCACTGCAACCTAGGTGACAGAGTGAGACTCTGTCTCAAAACAAACAAACATATATAATTTTTATATGTATATATATAAAAAACATATAAACATATATAAACATATATTATATATAATATATGCAATAAACATATATAATATAAATGTATACAATAAACATAGATTTACTCTAAGGAATTGGCTCATGCAATTACAGAGGCTGACAAATCCCAAGATCTGCAGCCAGCAAGACCCAGGAGAGCCAGGCCAATGGCCAGCAGGCTTGAGACCCTGATAGAACCAATGTTTCAGTTTAAGTCTGAAGGTAGGAAAAGAAATGATGTCCCAACCTGAAGGCAGTTAGGAGGAGGAGTTCTCTTTTATTCATGGGAGAGTCAGGCTTTTTGTTCTGCTTAGGCCTTCAGCTGATTGGATGAGCCCCACCCACAGTCGGGCAGTCTGCTTTTATTCATTCTACCAACTCACATGTCACTCTCACCTAGAAACACCCCCACAGACACACCGAAAGTGTTTGACTAATGTCTGGGCAACGCATGGCCTGGTAAAGTTGACCTGTAAAATGAACTAACATTACTGCTGTCAACAAAACTATTAAGTCAACTTTCATATTTATTTACCGTTCTTTTTGGCCTTAGCCTGTATCCCATTACAGATGGCAGTCAGAAATAAGAGTAAGTTGAGGGCTGAGCACAGAGGCTTGTGCCTGTAATCCCAGCACTTTGGGAGGCCAAAATGGGAGGACCACTTGAGGCCAGGAGCTCAAGACCAGCCTGGGCAACAGAGCAAGATCTCACCTCTGCAAAAAAAAAAAAAAAGAAAAAAAAAGGAAGAAGAAAGAAAAGTAACTTGAATTAGCCAGCATGAAAAGATTTTTAAAATTAAAAGTTACTTGAAATACTTTTTTTCTCTCTGTGGTTATTTTTAATTTGATATCTATATTTATGCTTACTTCTGTTTGCATTCAATTTTAGCATTTGAAAAATCCTTTTGGATTTAATTTTGTTTTTTGAATATGTAAAACATTTATATGTTTCAAAAATCAAAATGATATAAAAAGTTGTACTCTGAGAAGGCTCATTTCCATCCCCCCTCCCATCCTACTCCTTCCCACTCATCTGTTTCAAGCTTATCATTTTTGCATTTCTTTTAGCAAAAATAAGAAAATACTCTCTGTACTATTTACTGAAGGCTTTTCTAATTGATTCCTCTCCATTTTCCATCACCAAAGTATTACATATTCACTGTAGACATTTCACAAAATGCAGAAAAGTGCCTAAACACCACAAAAATATTTTGGACACCTATTGTTTGATAAATCATGTTAATTAACTGAGCTAAGTCAGATATTCATATGATTGGATTTAGATTTGGTTCAGTGGGATTTTCTTTAGTTTCTTTAAAAACCTCATGCATCTTGTTCTTTTGAGTTACATGATTTAATTATTATTTCTATTTTCACAAACACATTTCCTCTCTAAAGTCAGTATTTCCTTACAAGGATGACACCCCGGAGAATAGGATGCAGGAAGTCATGAGGCCCTTTCTTTGTCTACTTAACAGAAAAGAGGCTTCAGTTAGACGAGTAACACCAGGAAGGACCTCAACCCTGGCTCCACCCAATTCCCGGGAGGAAGTGCTCATCTCCGCAAGCCAGGATGTCCTCTGACAACCGACTCCCTAGAGGAGGGAAAAATGCTTTGAAAACACACTGCATTTCAGTAGCAACCCAGTGCTGCCTTTAGCCTTGCCAGGTGGTGTACAGTTTCAATTGGTCGTATTTCTCAGGCTAAACACAACACGGCACAATTGGGATTGTACGAAGGGTGGGTGTATTTAGAGGAAAAGAACAGAAAATGGCAACGGGGCCAAGACTGGCTTTTAAAAACAATACATTTCATGTGTGTGCAGCGCTTCACTTGCTAGAAGTGGCTTTATATGTATTATTTCCACTGGTGTAACTCTGAAAAGTAGGGTAGAAATGATCATACCTTTTTTAAAGATGGGGAATCTGAAGGTGGTTAACCCAGAGATGCTCTGTCAATCAGCAGCGGAGCTGGGAGGCTCAGGGAGCGATTTCCTGGGTCAGAGTCACTGATTTTTCCTCCAAGTATGAACAAAGATTTCAAAGAATGCAAACACTCTTGAAGCCAGAGTCTTACATAAAGCCAAATACCTTGTATTACAAATACTCAGTGTATTAGCTATCTATTGCTGTGTAACAACCCCCATAACATAGTGGATTAAAGCAGCAGACATGCATTTCAAGACTGTCTCTCAGGAATCAGGATGCAGTTGCAGTTAGTCTGGGTGCCTGAGACTCTTCATAAGCCTAAAGAAAACCCAGGATCTCTCACAAGAGAGACAGAAATCAAGGTGTTGGCCAGGTCTGCAGTCCTCTCGAGGCTTCACAGAGGACACTGCTTCCAAGATCATTCACGTGGCTGCTGGCGGGCCTCAGAGCCAAACTCGCTATTGGCCAGAGACCCCATTTCTTTGTGGGTGTTTCCACAGGGTTATTCACAGCATGGCAGCTTGCTTCACCCAGAGTAAGGAGGGAGGAGGGAGAGAGACGAGGGGCAGCAGGTGGGGCAGCAGGTGGGGCAGCGGGGGGAGAGAGAGAGAGAGAGACCAGATAATAGGAAAAAAAAAATCAAAGAGAGACCAGATAACAGGAGAAAAGTCAGAATCTTTTTGTAACCTAATCTAAAAAATGACAGTCCATCGATTTCACCATATTATTTTTTTCACTAGGTAGGTCACTAGGTAGCAAGTCACTAGGTAGGTCCAGCTCACACTTGAGGGGAGGGGATTACACAGGGGCATGCATGCTGAAAGGTGGGGCTTACTTACCAGGAGCCATTGTAGAGGCTGCCCACCATATTCAGCAATTTAGTTAAAGATTTGTGTGTGTGTGTGTGTGTGTGTGTGACAGAGTCTTGCTCTGTTGCCCAGGCTGGTGTGTGATGGCACCATCTCAGCTCACTGCAACCTCCACCTCCCGAGTTCAAGTGATTCTCCTGCCTTAGCCTCCTGAGTAGCTGGGATTACAGGTGCCCATCACCACGCCTGGCTAATCTTGTATTTTAGTAGAGATGAGGTCTCACTCTATTGGCCAGGCTGGACTCAAACTCCTGACCTCAGATGATCTGCCTGCCTTGGCTTCCCACAGTGCTGGGATTATAGGCATGAGCCAGTGAGCCCTACCTTAAAGATTTTATTTTATATTAGCCCTTATGGTGATGTTTTTTAGAATTTCAACAATTCAGTGAGATCTTTTTCAAAGAGAATCTAAAATATTATTGTCCTTAGAAGATACAGATTACTTTCCTCTATCCAAAAGACAATAGAGATTTATAATAGGGTATCTAATGTGATTGAAATTAATTTTGCTCCCCCACCCCCCAAAAAACCCAAAAACCAGAAAACACCCAATGGGTAGGAGGAACTTAATGGCTGCTGTGTGACCCAAAGGTAATATCCATTAGGAATTCACAAGTCTTCAGAGAAAGATGATGGTAGATCTCAATGCTTCTTCCTGCAGAATAAGTGCTATTAAAAGTTGGGATGGCCCTGACAAAGACTCAGTGACAGATATGGGCAATTGAGGCTCTCTGGATAAAATTGCCCCAAGGGCAGAAACCAATGTGATAGTGGTCAGGCCCCTTGACTAAGTCCAGTGATAAAAGGAGAACCACGCACGGTTCCAGCAGCAGATGCTGGAGCCTCTCCTTCTCAGTCATCCTGGGCAAGGCTTTTTGCCCAATGGGAAAGGATTTAGAAGTGAACCTAAAGAGCTCTAACACTGGGATCCCAGGGCAATGTTGATAGTGGGGGTCTCAAAAGTGGGAAACTCAGCACCATCCATATTTCTCTGGACCCAACAGTGACAACTTATTCCAGTGCCAGCAGCTGCAATGGCAATGTGAGTACGATCTGGGATTTGTTATGTCCAAGCAACCAGGGCTGGCCCTTGGATGTGAGTTAGGGAGCTCCCTGTGAGAGCCTTGGGTTTATAGGGAATAAGGTGTTCTGAGGGTGGGAAATAGATTCCTTACTAATCTGAGGATCTGTTTATCCCACTGTTGTATTTTAGAGGCTATTGCAAGAGGTTGGGAAATTTACATATACCTACATCCAAACTCTATAGCAGAACACCCCAGTTATATGAGATGCCTTAGATACGCAATGCTAATGTTTAAATAAACATTTGCATTGAGTATCTAAGGCATCTCATATAACTGGCATCAAATCAAAATTACCACAGGCTTGTAGCTGGCTGAGATGGTTTGGATCTGTGTCCCCATAGAATCCTATATTGAATTGTAATCCTCAATGCTGAAGATAGGGGCTGGTGGGAGGTGACTGGATCATGAGGGCAGATTTCCCATGACTGGCTTAGCATCATCGCCTTGGTACTGTCCTTGCCATTGTGAGTGAATTCTCATGAGATCTGATTGTTGAAGAGTGTGTAGCACCTTCTCCTTCTCTCTCTCTCTCTTGCTGTTCCAGCCACGTGACTTGTGTGCTTCCCCTCGGTCTTCTACCCTGATTGTAAGTTTCCTCAGGCCTCCCCAGAAGCTAAGCAGATATAGGCATCATATTTCCTGTACAGTCTGCAGAGCCATGAGCCAATTAAACCTCTTTTCTTTAGAAATTACCCAGTCTCAGGTATTTCTTTATATCAATGCAAGAATGGACGAATACACTGATAAACCTTGCTTCCAGTCCCGGTGCTGTTAACAATTGGGTAAGAGACTTCTCTGAATTTCAGTATTCTCACTGATAGAACAAGGTTGAACTTTTGAGGCATAAGTTCCTTTGAGATCTGCTAAAATGGAATCTTTTAGAACATGCACTGCATCTTACTCATCTTTCCATCTCCAGTCACCGGCCCAGTGCCTAGCACAAGTTGGCACCAAATTTAATATATGTTAAATAGCTTTTGAGTACTTTTATTATTTTTGTGTTTTGAGACTCAGTCTCACTCTGTTGCCCAGCCTGGAGTGCAGTGGCATAATCTCAGCTCACTGTAACCTCCGCCTCCTGGGTTCAAGCAATTCCCATGCCTCAGCCTCCCTAGTAGCTGGGACTACAGCCACCTGACAGCATGCCCGATTAATTTTTGTATTTTTAGTAGAGACGGGGTTTCACCATGTTGGCCAGGCTGGTCTCTAACTCCTGACCCCAAGTGATCCACTTGCCTCGGCCTCCTAAAGTTTTGGGATTACAGGCATGAGCCACCGTACCTGCCAACTTTTGAGTACTTTAAAAAGAAATGAACCAAAATGTTGCCCTCCGTTGGGATGACTAAATGCTAACTCCATGATAAGCACAGCTATTTCAAAGCTACATACAGGAGCAAAAACCTTGCACAGTTTTTATATCGAGATGTTTTCCGTTGCAAGTAGAAAAAAAACCAGCTCAAAATGGCTTATGACTAAAAAGGATCTTCTGGCTCAGTAATAACTAAAAGGTTCATAGGTAGTAGGCTTCAAGTGCAGTTTGATCTGGCTCTATTTCTGTGGCTGTCTTACCTCTACCCACCTCTGTGACCGGCTTCACGCTCAAGATGGTTTCCTTCAGGGTCCCAAGACGGCTGCTGGCAGATCCTGCTACCTCCCATAACCATGGAACAGGAGTTCTAAACTATGTTCTAATTCGTCCATCCCTGAACCAATCACTGTTGTCAGATTATTTTAGACCAATCATGATCTATCCCAGTAGCTGGGGATGGAATTAATCCAACTAAAACCTCTTGGCTTCAACACAGTGGAAGAGGGAAAGAGTGGATGTTGAGAGTGGATGTTGGGAATATTGTTAATCAATATCCACACCTTCAAAATGCTCATACTTAGCTGAGAGGCACAAACTTCAGCCAGCTGCAACTCCAGCCTCTGCAGCTAATAATGCCAGGCCAGGATGTAGCTCCTCATTATTGAGTAAATTAGGATTAAATGATAAATTACTGACTCCAACGTTATTGCTCAGGATTCTCAATTACAAACAATGGAATCTACTGGACTATATTAAACAAAAAATGAATTTAGTAAATGACATCAGATAGCAAACAGCATCTCAAAGGGGACCAAAGAGCCACATTCTAAAGCTACAGATTAGGAACAATGCCCAATCATGCCGCAGGTACAGGTCCAGCAAAAATACTCCCGTCACTGCCACCAGACTTCTACAGCACTTAAGGGCTGGGTGCCAGAAGCACTACCACTATTGCCCAGATGGAACTGAAACCGCGTTTGCAAAAATTATAACTGAGAAAATTATGACGGTGAAAGAGATCTGACCTAACTGGCTCCATCTTGCTTCTATTCTCCAAGCCGACCTTGGTTCATTCCCGGGTGCAGGCCAAACTAACTTTGGGAGGAACTTTGTTTATGGTTTAACTTTGAAACAAAGGCGATAATAGTCCTTTTGCAAAACAAACTCCCTTCTTTCTTGGGGACTAGTCTGCCTTTGTACGACTAACCACTTAGCTGCAAGATTAGAAATTGTGGTTTAGGAGTCGTGGGGATGGAGGCTGTAAGATTCTGAACCTCCCCAAGTTGCTCCTGGGGATAACATCACTATTGTAAAACCTAAGATCAGCACTTGAGATGTTTTGCAGATGCTGCATTTTGATGCACCAGAGGATGCCTCCCATACTAAGTAATTTGGCTCAACCAGTTCTGTGATCCTACTTAGGATGAGAAGACAAGGAAAATCCACTTCGACTCCCTATTATCTCATCTGACCAATCAATCAACACTCCCCACTTCCCGACCCCCTACCCACCAAATCATCCTTAAAACCCCCAATCCCCAAATTTTTGAGGGGACTGACTTGAGTAATAATAAAATTCTGGTCTTTTGTCCAGCCAGCTTTGTGTAAATTAAACTCTTTCTCTATTGCAATTCCACTATCTAGATAAATCGGCTCTGTCTAGGCATCAGGCAAGGAGAACCCGTTGGGCGGTTACAGAACCAAACACTGCCTCCACAGTTGCTGAAAGATTCATCTCAATTCTTCATTGTTGCTCTTTTCTGTTTTCACATTTCCCGTGGGTGTATCTGATAGGTGGAAGTTAAGCTATGTGTCTGCCCTGTAGAGGCAAGGGATTCTGGGGATGTGAATTTCCTGTATTCTACCTTGGGAATGTAGAACTCATAATGTGAGAAGTTATCCAAGACGTAGGATGAATGTTGAAAATATATCAGTCGCAAACGATAAATGTATCCTATATTAACCTATAAACATGGGAAAAGAAGAGGGCACATACATTAAATCCTTCCATTTGGGAAAGAAGATCATGGTAAACAAGGTATGTCATATCCTCACAGATGGGAATTCTGTTTCTTGGTCTGAAAGTGGAGTTAGTTTTTTGGCCAACCAATTTGGTATCCCTAAGTTCTGTGTTCTGGGGGGACTCTCCCTGGCACCTGGTTTTGCCTTTTGGGGAATGAGAAAAAGGTTCTGTCTTGTACTTTTTTTTTCTTTTTCTTTTTCTTTTTGAGACAGAGTCTCACTCTGTCATTCAGGCTGGAGTGCAATGGCACAATCTCAGCTCACTGCAACTTCCGCCTCCCAGATTCAAGTGATTTGCCCTGCCTCAGACTCTCGAGTAGCTGGGACTACAGGCGCCACCACCATGCCCGGCTAATTTTTGTATTTTTAGTAGAGGTGGGGTTTCGCCATGTTGGCCAGGCTGGTCTCGAACTCCCAACCTCAGGCGATCTGCCCGCTTTGGCCTCCCAAACTACTGGGATCACAGGTGTGAGCCATTGCCCCCGGCCTCTTGTACATTATTTTTCATAAGAGAGACATTGGGAAGGAGGCTTTTTCTGAGCCTGCACAGCTTTAGCTTGTCTCATCTGTTGGTGGTAGTTCTGAAACTATATGGCTATAACCCTGGAGGTTAATCAATCATAAGTTTTGTTGGCCAGGTTTGAATAACTTTTGTATCACACCTTCCTAAAACTTTAGTTTTAGGCTTTTGACCTGTTTGTTTCCAGTCAATTCCATGGGCTTGCTACCAGGGCCATAGACCTTGTTTAGGTCTGGTCTTCAAATCTGGGAATTCCTATTTCTAACAACAAGCCTCTGTACTCTGGACATCCTCCCAAATCATGGTTTTCAACCATGAATATTAGAGTAACTTGGGAAGATTCTGGAAACATGGAGGCATCATTTTTCAGTCTCTTCAAATCTCTGTATTAAAACAGAGCACACAGGTAGTAAAGCCAAAATCCCATTCACAACATTTACAACCAAACTAGGTGACGAGATGTCTTCAAGAACCCACAAATACACCAGGTAGAGGCCTACCGGCAGCTACAAGATGTTCAGGTAGTAGCATTTCTGCAGTAGAAAGCAAAGAAAATCAACAGAGGAAGCATGGAGGGGCCGGAGAGACAACAGAACTCCAAAATAATGAACAGAGCTTTGAGCTGACTTGAGAATAGTTGCTGAACCTGGGAAGGCTCTTGCTCTTTCCAATAGCAATTGCATGCAAGAGGCTTGTGGTAAGCAAGTCTGAAGGGGCTGGAGCAATGCAGCCCCTGTGAACTCTCAAAACCAACTCATTAGCCCTCCTTTCTAAGGGAAGTGTCCAACACTGAGAATAATCTGCTGAGAGTAGAAGAAAAATTGAGGAGCCAGATTTACACACACACATGCACACACACACACACACGCGCGCGCGCGCGGAGAGAGATTGAGAGAGAGCGAGAGAGACAGAGAGATTCAAGTACCTGTATCTAGGGCTGACCTCAGATTAATTAATTAAATCAGATTATTTGGGGTCAAGTGGGCATCAGTAGGTTTCCAAAGCTTTTCAAGTGATTTTCATACGGATCCAGATCCAGAGTTAAGAACTACTGTCCTAGCCTTTGGTTGACCTTTTTTGTGATAGCTTCTCTGAGGAAATTCAGTAGGAAACTCAATTGCCTAGATTGTCCAGGCAACTTGCCCAGGATGTATCCTAGATGCATCTTCATAAAAGATGAAAACAAGCAGATGATATTTCATAAATACTTTAAAATATGTGGCCGGGTTCTCCAAGCCAGAGTTCCCTTACATGTAAATGAGGAGAAAGGTAGCTCTTTCCATGTATTATCTCATTTAATCCTAACAAGAATCTCCACAGGATAATAATAAATGAGATAATATGTGTAAAGTGATTGGAACAGTACCTGGTACATAGTAAGCCCTTGTTTTTATTGACATGCAGGGTAATTGCTAAGTGCAGTTCCTAACAAATGGAAAGATTGTTGGCAGCTTTTATACACTTGGAAAAGCTTGGCTATAGCTAAAAAACTAAGAATATAACCAAGTTCAAAGTTTAGTCCTACTTTTTAGGCAAATCCAAACCCCTTATCTTATTGTCCATCTGGTCCCTTTCCCTGTACTCCTTGGAGCTACTGTGGTTCATTTTCAAGGGAAAATATCAAGGTCAGATGCAAGGAACTGAAGAGAGTTCAAGTATTTTTGTTGGAACTGTTAGCATTCTTTTCCCCTGGTGTGAGTGCCCGGGGGTTAAGTGACTATTGCGGTTTTGCAGAGCAATGTGGGGCTATCTAGGGGGCAACAGGAAACACTGGCCCCTTTCCTAACTTTGATTTTGGCATCCAAATCAGAGCTCCCATTTCTGGCCCTCACAACAATACCTGTCCCACGTTCTGCTGAAAGACAGTGTAAGAATGAATGGAATGTCTGCAAAGTGGGAATGACACTGCCACTGTCATCGAGGGCTTTTACTAAGAGCCTCCCTCCTCTGTTCCAGCCCCAAGGCTATATATATGATAGCCACAGAAGCTGGGTAATTAAGAAAGATCGACCCTGCTCTTGAAGCTATGCTTTGAAGCGTGGTCGAGAAACATCAGTGCTGGTAAACCACAGCTGTTTGTAGCTCCCTTTCTAAGGCTGTTAAGGTTGCACCGGGCTCTCATTTCCGTTCGTTTTTGACTTCTTGACCTTTATGCCCAGTCAGGTATCTCCTCTCCCTCTTGTGTCTTAGCATAGTCAATCTCTCTCCAATGGCTTCACTGCCTTCTACAAATGTGCTCAGGTCTCCCCTACCCTAAACAAAACCTCTCCGAGCTGGGCTGTCACCCTCAACACCTGGTCCATCCTGCCCTTCGTTCGCTGCCACCATCCTCACGTGCTGCCGTAGCGTTTGCCTCACACGTGCTTTGCGCTGCTCTTCTCCATGTTTCTTACCTGCGCCTTGAATTAATACTCGTTTAAGGGCGACCTCCAATTACCACACCCACTGGCCGCTTTTTCATCCGGTCCCCTCAAGTGGGATTTTGACAACCTTCCTCCCCTGGCTTCTGCGCCTGTGTGCCCTGCCCTGTTTTCCTTTGCTTGGCACCAACTATTCTCCTCTTGTTAGGACTATGTGTGTGTAAATGACATTTTTCAAGATTCTCTTTTTGATATTTCACACTCTCTTGCTATGCTCATTCACCCCTTGGTGGTGTCATCCTCTTTCATGACTTGAGAACTGGGCCAAATCAGTTAATTTTTTATTTTTATCTATCTATCTATCTATCTATCTATCTATCTATCTATCTATCCATTTATTTCATCAGTTGCTATTGCTTCAGGATCGGCCAAATCAGTTAAGAGTGATCTCTAATTCCCAAATCTACTTAGAACTCATCTCCTGAGGTGTAGGCCCCTGTTTTCAACTGTGCACTCAGATATGGCATTTGGGGTGTCAAAATTAATATTTCCCAAAGCCGCCCATCCCTTGGAGATCAGTTCTGCTGCTGGCTCCAAGCTAAACCTGGGATCCCATTCTCTTTCACCTTCTACTTTTAATTTGTTGCCAGGAACAATGGAGAATTTCATTATGATTTCTCCTCCCCTTTCTATTAGCACTACCTTTGTCAGTGCCACCTCACACCTGGCTTGGACAATTCCAATAGTGGGTTTTTAATGGGTTTTGTCGCCTTCAGTATCCCTGTCCACCTGTCCTACACACCATCTCTTGATTGATCTTAAAGTCTTACATGGGTCTTGTTACATAAGTCTCATTACCAACTAAGTCAAATTTAGTCACCTTAGTGGGATATTCAAGGCCTTTACAATCTGTCCCTATCCTATCTCAGGTTAGCTTTTCAGACTAGTCAAACCATTCCCTTCTTATTCAACAACTCATTCCCTCACAGTACTTCATTCATTGGACAATGAATTAGTGAATACCTCTTAAGGACCAAGCACTGTTTTTATTTTATTTTATTTCTTTTTTTTTTAATTTTAGTTTCAGGAGTACATTGCAGGTTTGTTACATGGATATATTTCAAGATGCTGGAGTTTGGGCTTCTATCGAACCCATCACCTGAATAGTGAACATGGTACCCCACAGGTCATATTTCAACCTTTCCTCTCCTCTCTCCTTTCTCTCTTTTGGAGGCCCCAGCGTCTATTGTTTTCACCTTTATGTCCATGTGTCTCCATTGTTTTGCTCCCACTTATAAGTGAGAACCCACAGTATTTGATTTTTCTGTTTCTGCATTAATTGACTTAGGAGGATGGCTTCCAGCTCCAGTTGCTACAGAAAACATGATTCCATTCTTACTTCTGGCTGCATAGTACTCCATGGTGTATATGTACCACATTTTATTTATCCAATCCACTGTTGATGAGCACCTAGGTTGATCCCATAATTTTGCTATTGTGAATAGTGCTGCAATACACATATGAGAGCAGGTAACTTTTTGGTAGAGCAATTTATTTTCCTTTGGGTACTTACCTATAAATGGGATCACTAGGTTGAATGGTAATTCTATTTTTCTTCTGAGAAGCCAAGCACTGTGTTAGATGCCGATGATATGCAATGATGAACAAGACCCACAAAATCTCTGTAGTCATGGATTTTACATCCCAGTGGGCTTCAGGAGTGGACTTTGTGTTTGGTAACATCAGTAACCTAAAGAGAATTGCATGAATTTTACTTCTTACTACCGTTCCCATTTTCAAATTCCACTGCATTCATCAACTTTTGCTGCAATCGCAAACAGGCCTAAAATCTCAGTGTTCTAAAACAGCACGTATTTCTTTCTCACTCACCGGACTCGCGGATATGTAGGTAGGCTGGGGCTGATATGCTTCAGTCTGAGAATTAAGCAACATTCACACATTATTCTCATAGTGAAGGGTAGAAACTCCCAGGGACATGAATGGAAGCATACAATGTGTCTTCAGGTTTAGGCTCAGAACTAGCTCTTCTGCTCTGATTCCTCTGATCAAAGAAAGTCTCATGGTCCAGGCCAACATTACTGGGTGGAACAACATACACCCCTATGGCGGGGGAAGGAGAAATATAGTCTGCCACACCTACAACCTTCAAGGACAAGCTCAAATCCTTTCTTTCTAATGTATTTTTTTAGAAGTTGTAGGGATTGCAGTATATATTCTTCACATATTGTGGTTTACTTATAGTTAATATGTATCTGATGATATAAAATGTAAGAATCTTGCAACTGTATAGTGTATTTTCCAGCCCTATGTGTTATGCTGCAGTTATTATATGTAATACATTATGTATATTATTCACTCCAAAATATAATATTTTAATTTTTGCTTTTTAAAATTATTTATTTATTTATTTATTTATTTATTTTTAAAAGAGATGGGGTCTCCCTGTGTTGCCCAGGCTGGTCTCAAACTCCTGGACTCAAGAGATCCTCCTGCCTCAGCCTCCCAAAGTGCTCAGATTACTAGTGTAAACCGCCACGCCTGGCCAGAATAACTTTTTTTTTTCTTTTTAAGACAGGGTTTTGCTCTGTCACCCAGGCTGAAGTGCAGTGGCATGATCATAGCTCACTGCACTCTCAGCCTCCTGGGCTCAAGCCATTCTTCTACCTTGGCCTCCCAGGTAGCTGGGAACACAGGTATATGCCACCATGCCCAGCTAGGTTTTTAAAATTTTTTTAAATATTTATTTATTTATTTTTGAGACAGATTCTCACTCTGTCACCCAGGCTGGAGTGCAGTGGTGCAATCAGGGCTCACTGCAACCTCCACCTCCCAGGTTCAAATGACTCTTCTGCCTCAGCATCCTGAGTAGCTGGTATTACAGCTGTGTGCCACTGTGCCCGGCTAATTTTTTTGTACTTTTACTAGAGACGGAGTTTTACCATGTTGGCCAGGCTGGTCTCAAACTTCTGGCCTCAAGTGATCTGCCTGCCTCGGCCTCCCAAAGTACCAGGAATATAGCCATGAGCCACCGCACCCTGCCGGTTTTTTAATTTTGATTTTTTATTTTGTAGAGACTGGGTCTCCCTACGTGGCCCAGGCTGATCTTGAACTCCTGGGCTCAAGCAATCCTGCTGGCTCAGCCTCCCAAAGTGTTGTGATTACAGGCGCAAGCCACTGCCTAATTTTTGCTTTGAATAATCATATGCATTTTATAAAATTAAGAGAAGAAAATAATCTTATGTGTATACGCCATATTTACCATTTCCTGTGCTCTTCTTTGTTTTCTGAAGATCCAGATTTCCATCTGTTATAATTTGCCTTTATCCTGAAGAACTTTCTCTATTTAGCATTTATTGTAGTCTAGGTCTGCTGAAAACAAATCTTCTTTCTCTTTTTTTTGTCTGAAAGTGTCCTTATTTTGCTTTCATTCTGGAAGGATAGTTGAGCTAGATATAGAAATTGATGGTGATAGTTTTTTTTTTCTTTTTCAGTCTTTAAAGATGTTGTTTCAGCCATCCTGGAATCCTTTTTTTCTGCCTATTCTCTACTTTCCTTCACTCTGTAACCAATTGCCTATGCTGGGAATCTCCTTCCTTGAAGCCTCTTCTTTTCAGCTCTCTGCCTACTTTGTTTAGAGACTCATTCTCTGGTTTTATCCAGGAGAAATTGTAATATGGGAATATACTGAAAGGGGAAGGGGCACAGCTGACCCTGTGGTTCTGTAGGCAGAAGAGACAACAATGTCTTCATTTCAGATGACATGCCTGTATATCCAGACCATCAAAGTAAGCCTACTATTAGAATTAAATAAGAAAATTTTATTAAATAGGCAGATAAAAGTGAATTTACAAAATTAATATCTTTGAGCTAGTAGTAAAAAGTTGGAAGCTAAAAAGTTTTATATTTCATTCATACATTAAAAATTATAACATATTGGCCAGGTGCGGTGGCTCATGCCTGTAATCCCAGCACTTTGGGAGGCCGAGGCAGGCAGATCATGAGGTCAGGAGATCGAGACCATCCTGGCTAACACGGTGAAACCTCGTCTCTACGAAAAATGCAAAAAATTAGCCAGGTGTGGTGGCGGGTGCCTGTAGTCCAAGCTACTCGGGAGGCTGAGGCAGGAGAATGGCGTGAACCCGGCAGGCGGAGCTTGCAGTGAGCAGAGATCACGCCATTGCACTTCAGCTTGGGCGACAGAGTGAGACTCTGTCTCAAAAAAACAAAAAAATTATAACGTATTTAGAAATAAATATGTTATTTAGCTTGTCTTTTGTTTATATATTTTTCTATAACTGTCAATTATTATTAACATAAAGCATGAATAAATGGAGAGATAGCTCATGTTCTTATATGGGAAGATTTAATTTTAAAAAATTGTCATTCCCAGTTATTTTAATTTGATTCCAGTAGATTCCCCATTTTTCAGAACTACATACAATCATTACATAGTTCATGTGAAAGAATAAATGTTGAAAAATCAGTGGATGAGAACAGAAGTTGAAATTGAATTAATGAATATATGGGAATTTAATATAAACAAAGGTGGCATTTCAAGCCAGGCCAGAAAGGATGACTTATTTAATAAACAATGCTAACTAAGGACTATCCATTTAGAAAGAAACAAATGTAGAATTTAATTTGTATTATATGAAAAACAAAATGCCAAATAGGTTAAGGTGCAAGGTACAACATTAAATAATAAAAATACTAGAAGAAAATTCAAGATAGTATTTGCATTATTTGGAGGGTAACTTCTTAGTAAGACAGAAAAAACAGGAGCAATAAATGAAGGAATATGATAGAAAAAATATATAATATGACTTTATATATGTGTATGTGTGCATATATATGTGTGTGTGTATATATATTCGTATTTGACTGCATACAATTTAAAAACAATTGTATAGCAAAAGGCACATGAAATAGAATCCTACTTTGGAATCTTCACAGAGAAAAATAAATAAATATATATATATAAACAACAGACACACTAAATAGAGTTCAAAGACAAATAATATACCAGGAAAGATATTTATAGCACATATAGTGGATACATATGGTAAACCATTCTATTATACAAATCTTATTAACAATTTTTCTAAAAAAGACAGCCCAATGGAAAAATGGACAAAAGGATAAGTGGCCAAGATGGCCATATATTCTCATGCCATTTCTGAAAAGCATCTGTCCAACTAGGAGCCAGATTTCTGAGCCCCTGCCCTCCCTATCTAATGATGTCATGTGACTAGTTCTTGCCAAGGTAAGTGATTGTGTCATTGCCGGGGTCAATGAGGTTAAGGAAAGGGTGTTGCTTTTCTATCCCCTTTTCCCAAAGCTCCAGGGAATGGTGAAACCACAGGATGAAAGGAGCCCACACCCCTGAATCATCTCCTGGAAACCTGCGCACAAAACACCCTCACTGGACTGTTACATGAATAAGAAATAAAAAGTTTGAATTTTCTTTACTTTTGAATTACATTACTCTAGCAAGTATAGTATGTGAACACAAAATTCATAGAAGTGAATTACCCAGTAGTCAAGGAACATATGATTAGGGATTTAACCTCCATAGCGGTCAAGAAAATGCAAATGAACAGAGATATATCATTTTGAAGAATCCATCAAATTTGCAAAAATTAAAATCCCAGTAATATCTAGGACAGTTAAGATGCAGAGAAATGGACATTGCTGGTGGAAATGCACAATGCTATTACACAATCTTTGGGGGAAGTAATCTGACAATGTTTATTACAATTGAAAATACGTATTTATTATACAACATCTCATGTCATGTATATTTATTTTTGTGTTTCTTGCCAGAAATGTGTAACCTTAATCTAATCAAGCCCCTAGATCTAAATTTCAGTTTCAGAAATAGCTGAAGTAAAGAGAAAAATTAAATGATTTAATGGAAAGAAATGATCAGAGCAATCCAGAATGTGGGACATTCTACAAAATAACTTGGCTGGTCACCTTAAATGCCAATGTCTTAAGAAAAAAAATGAGAGGACTCTTCTTCACTAAAAGAGACCAAGGGGTGTAAAACCCAAATGTAATAACATTAACCTAGATTGAAACCTGGTTAGCAAAAAGAGAAAACTGTAAAGGAGATTCTTAGGACAATTGGAGAAAATTTGAATATGAACTGAATTATTAGATGATATTATGAAATGATTTTACATTACCTTAGATATGGCAGTGGTTTTATAGCTGTGTAGAAGATAATCTCTATTCCTAGAGAGGCATGCTGAAATATTTAGAAGTGACTTGTCATAATATTCAGGTGTGAATTATCAAGTAGTATAGCAAACATATGAATTATGCATACTTATAGAGATAAATCACACACATATATTTGATCTAGCAGTCCCATCTTTGTGAGCCTCTTCTACAAAGTAACTGTGCTAATACATAAGAATGAATGTGCAGGAGTGCCTGTTGCCTAATTGTTTATTATGACAAGAAGTTAAAAACAACTGGAGTGCCCATCAATAGCAGAAGGTGAATAAATTAGGACACATTCATGCCATGGAATATTATACAGCAATTAAAAAAGAATGAGTATGACTTGTCTGCACTGACGTGAAGAGATATGCATGATCTATTAAGTCACAAAAATGTTATAAAATAATAGTGTATTATAAATCCATTTTATATAAGGTGATATTTATATAAAAACAAACCATACCCTCCCAAACTACCTACCTATAGATTGATCAATCGTCTATCTATAGATTGATCAGTCATCTATCTACCTATCATCTGTGTGTGTGTGAAATATAAATATCAGGTGTGAACACTGGTGGCCTTAAAGAAGTAGGGGGAGATTTTTTTTAATCTGTATTATTTTACTCACTACAATTAGTGTGAGTGACAATTTAATTTCTTAAACACCTTAGGAGATAAATTTTGATCTGCCTATGACACCTTTTCCTGCTTTCCATCACTGTTATGGATTTATTCTTCGAAAATGTCATTTCTTATCATTGCAATGGGATTTGGGGAGAGAGGGCAAGTTAATGCATGCTCAGTTCATCATCTCAAACCTGGGTCCCTCCCACTGCTCTCTCGAGCTTCTCTGTAGTCATGTAGTTTCTTCTTCCTGAGGCACTCTTACCTGCACATAGAGTTTCTAGCTAGAAATTGTGGATCTGGGAACTCCTTCATGGAACTGTTCAAAGTTTAAGCATTGAGGCATCATACGAACTCCTGGACTTGGTTTGTTCGGGAGAGGAAGAGGAATGAACTGTGACCAATCCCTATCTTCAAAATTCCTCCATTCTCTTAAAAGAGATGCATTTGGTGGAACAACATTTCCAGCTGGTCTGATAATATACAAGCTCTCTGTTGGAGATCCACAAGAGATCTTTGCTCTTTCTGTTAGCAGCACTGACCAGAAGCCTTCTGAAGCCATTAACCTACTTTCTAATTGGCACCTGCTGCCTTGGTGTAAGTTATAGGGACGTATTTATAGCAAGCAGTGGGGTGAAAGAGGATAAGCCAACTTAAATCACCAATCATAGAACTGGCACAACACAGGTGGCCGGCATGCCTGGGTTAGGTAAGTAGGTCAACTGTTTCGTTTAGGTGCATACAGGTAGTTTGTTGAGGGCAAATTTTGAAAGAACACAATCCCTAGGTTTGGTAATGTGTGTGTCAGAGGAGAAAAAGGAAATGTCTCAGAGCATAGCTGGGGGCGGAGATTTCTCCTATGGAAACGACAGAGAGTGTATTGTTCCCAATGCTGGATCAGGAAGGAGCCTCTGGGAATCATTGTGTGCAGCGCTCTATCTGGACACAGACAGAGGTGAGGAGCTTCCTTTTTCAATAACTGAAGGACAGAGATGCCACTCCTTCTACAGAAGTGGTTTATGTCATAAAAAGTACATTTTCTCTTCATAAATGATCAAAAATGCCCATTCGGTAAAAGTGGGACGTGGAAAGACTATGATTCTGGTCCCTTTTTTATTTTTTTCATGTTCTCACTCTGTTGCCCAGGCTGGAGGGCAGTGGCATGATCATGGTTCCCTCGAACTCCTGGGCTCAAGCAATCCTCCCATCTCAGTCTCCCAAGGAGCTGGGACTACAGGTGTGTGTGACATCATGATTGGCTTAATGTTTAAATTTTTTTGTAGAGACGGGATATCACAATGTTGCCCAAGCTGGTCTTGAACTCCTGGCCTTCAGGAATTCTCCTACTTTGGGCTCCCAAAGTGTTTGGATCACAGATGTGAGCCACTGCGCCCAGCCTTCGTCCATTTTGTCATCAAGACACTCATCCTGGCTGCTTGTCCTCATTGTGTCCCCAGAAGAAACAAAGTGAAGGATAACAGTAAAAGCACCAAAGAAACCCACCTAGGGCAGCCCCAAGAGCAAAGGTGGAGAGCACCAGTGAGAAGGCATGACTGTTCCCTCTTCCAGGCTGTTCCAGCAATGCTTAGCCCTGCCTGACTCCGCAAATTACCTGCCCCCAGAAGCCAAGAAACTGCCCTCTGCTTGAACAGCAAGTTCCCGATCCCCCACTCTGCATGACCATGCCCCCCTTGAATCTTGGATTCCCTATTATCCTTCCCACTTGTTACCAGAACAAATTTGGACCAGGGACATCTAACTCAAAGCTCTCATTCACTCTTTCTCCTGCACCTGGAGTCTGGGTCAGGTTTAGACATTTGATGCTGTATTTTGTTCTTCTGGTTTCACATGTTGGTATGATGCTTGCCTACTGTTTGCACATCCTTGGACTTATCTTTCACTCACATAATTTTCCCTGTGAATGTGTACCCTAGGGCATATAAACTTCCCTTACGCAGCTTTTCAGCAACACAGATCAGCCGTCACCATGTCTTGCATTGAAATGGCTCTTAGAGTTTATAAAGCACTTATACATATATTGGCTTGATTTATCTTCCTAGCTGACTTCTAAGGTCAGTGATAGTACCCGGCTTTTTAAAATAAGGAAATTGAGGCACAAGAAGGTTAGGCAATGTCTTAAGTCTACTCACCCAGTCAGTGCTGGGTTGGGGCCAGGATCCAGGTTTTCTGGCTCTTCATCTTCTGCCCTCTGGTCTCTCAGCTCCATTTGGAGCTGAAGATCTCCAAACTCCACTTCTTAGTCCCCTCACCAACTGACTTCCTTTTAGGTTCTGTCAATAGGAAGCATTCAGGGGAGATTGGCTAGGTAGGAAGTGGACAAAAAAGGCTTTTTTCTCCCCACAGTGTCCAGTTCCAATCAGTGTTGCTCTCATAGCAGCAGGGAGAAGGTTCTAGCTGCCCACTGTGTGACTGCTCCCAGCACCTGCCATGCTGTGCCTGTTCAGTGATGTCCACAGGAGCTGGACCATATCCCCTTTGCAGTTGTACAGCCAGGTGGGCTATGCTTTTTTTCTCACCCTGAGCCAGTGCTTCTGGACCATTCGAGCGTCTGTGGGGCACAATCCCTGCCCCATGAGTGACTGGAATATCCACTGGGTTGTGCTGCCAGCTCAGACATCCAGGGTATGGCCAGACTTCCTTTTTAGAGGTACAGGTACCAGCTAGACTGAAGACCCTCCTTTAAATATGAGGGTCCACCACTATCAACACCCTACTTAGCGTCTAGGCACTAGCAGTACAAAATGTCCCCCTGAAGGTCTGATCTCCAGAACATGGCACCCTATTCTCAGAGGCTGCAGTACTAGCTGTGTAGAGATTTCCCTCAGCGGTTTAAGTGGAATCCCTACAACACCAAGGTCCTGATAGCAATATTCCTTCCCTTTTGTTCTCTCAGCCTGGGATGGTAGTTTCTTCCTGGTGTGAATAATTTCAGGGTTATCTTAGCATCTGCTTTTTGTTCTTTCAGTCTTCCAGTGCCTGTGATGAATCCGTAATTACCTGTGGTTGCTTGCAGCAGAGTGGCCCGGAAGGCAAAGCCTTAAGAATGCAGCTGGCTGCTTCTGATGGCGCTGGAGAATTTACAGAGGTGGGAAAGTGACAAACTCAGGTCTTTAAGCCCTCAGCTCTGTTTCTTGGTAGAATAGCCTACAATCTCTAGAATATATATTATAAACCTACTTATGATTACTTAGATAACCCAACAATTCCACCTTGAGATATATACCAAAGAAACATGGAAAAATATCGCCCTACAAAAACTTGTACAGGCATACTTTGGAGATATTGCAGGTTCCAGACCACCACAATAAAGTGACTATCACAATAAAGCGAGTCAATACAATTTTTTTCCTTTCCTGTGCATATGAAAGTTTTAAGTTTCTTAAAGATTCTGGATATTAGACCTTTGTCGGATGCATAGTTTGCAAATATTTCTCCCATTCTGTAGGTTGTCTGTTTACTCTGTTGATAGTTTCTTTTGCCGTGCAGAAGCTCTTTACTTTAATTAGGTCCCATTTGTCAATTTTTGGTTTTGTTGCAATTGCTTTTGGCATCTTCATCATGGAATCTTTGCCAGGAACTTAAATAAATTAACAGACAGAAAACAAACAACCCCATTAAAAAGCTGACAAAAGACATGAACAGACATTTTTCAAAAGAAGACATACATGTGGCCAGCAAACACATGAAAAAATGCACAACGTCATTAATCATTAGAGAAATGCAAATCAAAACCCACATGAGATACAATCTCACACCAGTCAGAATGGTTAGTATTAAAAAGTCAAAAAATAACAGATGCTGGTGAGGTTGCAGAGAAAAGGGAACACTTATAAACTGCTGGCAGGAATATAAATTAGTTCAGCCATTGTGGAAGGCAGTGTGGCAATTTCTCAAAGAACTTAGAACAGAATTACCATTTGACCAAGCAATTCCATTATTGGGTATACATCCAAAGGAATAGAAATCATTTTACCGTAAAGACATATGCACTGATAAGTTCATCGCAGCACCACTCATAATAGCAAAGACATGGAATCAACCTAAATGCCTATCAATGGTAGACTGGATTTTTAAAAAGTGGTACGTGTACACATGGAATATGACACAATCATAAAAGGGAATGAGATAATGTCCTTTGCAGCAACATGGATACAGCTGGAGGCCATTATCCTAAGGGAACTAATGCAGAAACAGAAAACCAGATACTGCATGTTCTCATTTATAAGTGGGATCTAAACATTGAAAATACATGGACACAAAGAAGGGTACAGACACCAGAGCCTACTTGAGGGTGAAGGCTGGGAGGAGGGAGAGGATCAAAAACTACCTGTTGAGTACTATACTTATTACCTGGATGATGAAATAATCTGAACACCAAACCCCGTGACATGCAATTTACCTGTACAACAAACCCACACATGTACCCCCAAACCTAAAACAAAAGTTAAAAGAAAAAAAGGTCTTGGGTAGATGTTTATTCCAAGAACATCTACAAATGGCCAATGAACACGTGAAAAGATACTCAACATCATGAGTCATTAGAAAACTGCAAGTCAAATCTATGAATAAGATAATACATAATGCTCATTAGGACAGATATTACAGAAATAATAGCAATAAAATAAAAGTTATGTTTCTACTTATACTGTGGTCTGTTAAGTGTGCAATAGCATTATGTCTAACAAAACAAGCTTAATTAAAAAATACTTTATTGGTGGGAGCTAAGCTATGAGGATGTAAAGGCATAAGAATGACACAATGGACTTTGGGGACTCAGGAGGAAAGGGTGGGAAGGGAGTGAGGGATAAAAGACTACAAACTGGGTTCAGTGTATACTGCTCAAGAGATGGGTGCACCAAAATCTCACAAATCACCAGTAAAGAACTAACTTATGTAACCAAATACCACTTGTTCCCCAAAAACCTATGGAAATAAAAAAATTAAATACTTTATTGGTCTGGGGACAGTGGCTCACGCCTGTAATCCCAGCACTTCAGGGGGCTGAGGCAGACAGATCACCTGAGGTCAGAAATTAAAGACCAGCCTGGCCAACATGGTGAAATACCGTCTCTATGAAATAGAAAACTTACCTGGAGTGGTGGCACACACCTGTAATCCCAGCTACTCAGGAGGCTGAAACACGAGACCCACTTGAACCCGGGAGGCGGAGGTTGCAGTGAGCTGAGATCACACCACTGCACTCCAGCCTGGGCGAGAGAACAAGCCTCTGTCTCAAAAAAAGAAAATACTTCATTGCTAAAAAATGCTAACAATCATCCAAGACTTCAGTGAGTTCTAATCTCTTTCCTGGTGAAGGGTCTTGCCTTGATGTTGATGGCTGCTGACTGATCAGGATGGTGGTTGCTGAAGGTTAGGGTGGCTGTGGCAATTTCTTAAAATAAGACAACAGTGAAGTTTGCTGTGCCAGTTGACTCTTCCTTTCATGAAAGATTTCTCTGTAGCATGCAGTGTTGTCTGATAGTGTTTTACCCATACATTCCGAACTCCATTCAGAATTGGAGTCAGTCCTCCGAAACCCTGCCACTGCTTTATCAACTGAGTCTGTGTCATGAGATCCTTCGCTGTCATTTCCACAATGTTCACAGCACCTTCACCAGGAGGAGAAAATGCTCCTCAAGGGCTTTCTTTGCTCATCCATAAGAAGGAACCCCTTATTCATTCCAGTTTGATCATGAGATTGCAGAAATTCAGTCACATCTTCAGGTTCCACTTCTAATTCTAGTTATCTTCCTCTTTCTATCACTTCTGCAGTGATTTCCTCACTGAAGTCTTGAACCCCTCAAAGTCATCCATGAAGGGTGGAGTCAACTTCTTCCAAATTCTTGTTAATAAAGATATGTTGACCTCCTTGCATGAATAATGAGTGTTCTTAATGGCATCTAGAAAGGCAAATTCTTTCCAGAAAGTTTTTCAGTTTACTTTGGCCAGATCCATCAGAGGAATCATCATTTATGGCAGTTAAAGCCTTGTAAAATGTATTTCTTAAATAATAGGACTTGAAAGTCTAAATTACTCCTTGATCCATGGGCTGCAGAATGAATGTCATGTTAGCAGGCATGAAGACAACATTAATTTCCTTGTACATCTCCACCAGAGCTCTTGGGTGACTAGGTACATTATCAATGAGCAGCAATATTTTGAAAGGAATCTCTTTTTCTGAGCAGTAGGTCTCAACAGTGGACTTAAAATACTCAGTAAACCATGCTGTAAATAGATGTGCCACCCACCAGGCTTTGTTGTCCAATTTCTAGAACACAGACAGAGTAGATTTAGCATAATTCTTAAGGGCCCTAGGATTTTCAGAATGGCCAAGGAGCATTGGCTCCAACTTAAAGTCATCACTTGCATTAGCCCCTAACAAGAGAGACAGCCTGTCCTTTGAAGTTTTGAAGCCAGGCATTGACTTCTCTCTAGCTATGAAAGTCCTAGATGGCATCTTCTTCTAATAAAAGGCTGTTTTGTCTACATTGAAAATCTGTAGTTTAGTGTAGTGATCTTTAACAATGATTTTAGCTAGATCTGGGTAACTTGCTACAGCTTCTACATCAGCACTTGCTGCTTTGCCTTGCACTTTTATGTTATGGAGACAACTACTTTTTTTAAACTTCATGGAGCAACCTCTTCTAGCTTTGAACTTTTCTTTTGCAGCTTCCTGACCTCTCTTAGCCTTCCCAAAATCGGAGAGAGTTTGGGCCTTGCTCTGGATGAGGTTTTGGTTTAAGGAAATGTTGTGGCTGGTTTGATCTTCTAATCCATTCACACTTTCTTCACATCAGCAATAAGCCTGGTTTACTTTCTTATTATTTGTTTGTTCACTAAAGTAACACTCTTAATTTTGTTCAAGAACATTTCCTTTGCATTCACAGCTTGGATGACTGCTTGGTGCAGAGGCTTTCAGCCTGATTTGCCTTTCTCACTAAACTGAATCATTTCTAGCTTTTGATTTCAAGTGAGAGACATGTGACTCTTCCCTTCACTTGAACATTTACAGGCCATCGTAGGGTTATTAATTGACCTAATTTCAGTATTGTTGTGTCTCAGTGAATACGAGGCCAAGGAGCAGGAGAGAGACAAGGGTACAGCCAGTGACACACAATCAGAACACGCACAACATTTATCCATTCAGTTCATCATCTTGTCTTATGTGGGTGAGATTTGTGTAGCCCTGAAACAATTAACAATAGTAACACCAAAGATTGCTGATCACAGATCAACATAAAAGATATAATAATCATGAAAAGTTTGAAATATTGCAAGAATTACCAAAATATGACAGAGACAGGAAGTGAGCCTCTGTTGTGAAAATGGCACTGACAGACTTGCTTGTTGCAGGGTTGCCACAAATCTTCAATGTGTGAAACACACGATCTCTGCAAAGTACAAGAAAGCAAAGTGCAATAAAATGAGACACACCTGTACACAAATGTTCATAGCAGCATTATTCATGAAACTCAAAAGGTGGAAACAACCCAAATGTCAATCAACAAACGAAAGAATAAGCCAAATGTGGTATACACATACAAGGGAGTATCATTCAGCTATAAAAAGAAACAGGACAGGAGCAGTGGCTTACGCTTGTAATCTCAGAATTTTGGGAAGCCGAGGCAGGTGTATCACTTGAGGTTGGGAGTTTGAGAACAGCCTGGCTAACATGGTGAAACCCATCTCTACTACAAATACAAAAATTAGCTGAGTGTGATGGCACACGCCTGTAATCCCAGTTACTCGGGAGGCTGAGGCAGGAGAATTGCTTGAACCTGGGAAGCAGAGGTTGCAGGGAGCTGAGATCATGCCACTGCTCCAGCCTGAGTGACAGAGTAAGACACCGTTTCAAAAAAATAAAATAAAATAAGATATCCACAACAGGCAATTTCACAGAGACAGAATTAGTGGTTTTTAGGGCTGGTGTAAAGGGGAGGATGGGGGGTGGCATAGCTTTGGAGGCGATGGGCATGTTTTCTAAATGATTTGTGGTAATGGTTGCACAACCCCGTGAATATACTAAAAAGCCCTGGGTGGTGCACTTTAAATGAGTGAATTATATAGTATCTGAATTATATTTTAATAAAGCCGTTACTCTCCCCCCCCCAAAAAAAACCTGAATAATAAGAGAATTTATTTCTTTTATAACAGGAAGTCCAGAATGAGGTCAATTTTACAGTTGATTCATTCAGTGGATTAACTGAATGTTAAGTAAAGACTTCAATTTCTCCATCATTTCACTCTTCATCTTCAATTAGCTGCCCTCATGGTTTTAAGACAACTGCAGTAGCTTCAAACATGCTGGAGACAGAAAAACAAGAGAGTTCTTTCCTAATTCCCTTTATTTGGGGAGGAAAAGTCTTCTCCTGTCAGTAGTCCACAAGCGAATCATCCATCATATCTCATTGATTAGAAATGGTCTCCGGCTGGGCAATGTGGCTCACGCCTGTAATCCCAGCACTTTGGGAGGCCGAGGCTGCCAGATCACCTGAGGTCAGGAGTTTGAGACCAGCCAGACCAACATGGTGAAACCCCATCTCTACTAAAAATACAAAAAAATTAGCCAGGCATGCCGGCAGATGCCTGCAATCCCAACTACTTGTGAGGCTGAGGCAGGAGAATTGCTTGAACCTGGGAAGCGGAGGCTGCAGTGAGCCACTCCAGCCTGGGCAACAGAGTGAGACTCCATCTCAAAAAAAAGAAAGAAAGAAATGATCTCCTATCAAATACTGAACCAGTCCCAGGCAAGGGTACTGGGGTCACCAGGACTGACTTAGAACAAACAGATTTAATTCTGAGTCCTCAGGAGGAGAGATGGAACTGAACTGAATCAGGACTCTGTCACCACAGAAGAAGGGGACAATGGCTGCCAGGTAGGCAACCCCAGTGCCTGCAGAAAATGATAGAAAATTTTCTTGCAGGAAGAATAAAATCAGAGAGTTGACAGAGAATTTACATCTATCTATCTATCTATCTATCTATCTATCTATCTATCTATCTATCTGTCTATCTATCTATCATCTATCTATGTATACATCTATCTGTTAAAGCAAACTAAATATGGCCTGAGAAGTGTAGGGTCCAGCCCTACAGGGCCTGTGGGTTTTCTGTTTGTGTGCGGAGACGAGAGATCTTAGAAAAATAGACACAAGACAAAGAGATAGAAGAAAAGACAGCTGGGCCCAGAGGAGAACTACCACCAATGTGCGGAGCCTGGTAGTGGCCCCGAATGCCTGGACGCACTGCTATTTATTGTATACAAGGCAAGGGGGCAGGGTAAGGAGTGTGAGTCATCTCAAATGATTGATAAGGTCAAGCAAGTCACATGTCCACGTGACAGGGGGCCTTTCCCTTTGTGGTAGCGGAAGCAGAGAGGGAGGACAGCATACGTCAGCATTTCTTCTATGCACTTATCAGAGAGATAAAAGACTTTAATACTTTCACTAATTCTGTTACTGCTATCTTTTAAGAACTTAAAAGGAGGAGCCAGGTGTACAGGTGGGATATGAAAGTGGACAAGGAGCGTGACCACTGAAGCACAGCATCACAGGGAGACGTTCAAGCCTCTGGATGACAGTGGGAAGGCCTGGCTAATGTCAGGCCTCCCACAAGAGCTGGTGGAGCAGAGTGTTCTCTGACTCCCCCCAGGGAAAGGGAGACTCCTTTTCCCAGTCTGCTAAATAACGGGGGCCTTCCCAGGCACTGGCACTACCGCTAGACCAAGGAGCCCTCAAGCGGCCCTTATCCGGGCATACAGAAGGCTCACACTCTTGTCTTCTGGTCACTTCTCACAATGTCCCTTCAGTTCCTAACTCTGTATGGCCTGATTTTTCTTTGGTAATAATAATAATACAAAGATTAATACTAAAAACTAATGATTTATAATATCCATATATAATCATCTCTATATTCTATTACTCATATAACTTTCTCTTATCCTAACTATTTTCTTTATTATATTGGAACAGCCTGTGCCTTCAGTCTCTTGCTTCGGCACCTGAGTGGCTTTCCGCCCACAGAGAAGGACTCCATACTTCTATATTTGAGTCCTTGTGGATGAACTGCCACCTAGCTTAATAGGCAGACAAGACTGAAAACCTAACTTAGTAGTATGCACCTGTAACAGTAGCTGAGTCTTGGCCCATCCCAGTGGCCACACTTTAACCACTCATAGACTGCTAAGTGTTCAAACTGTGTTCAAATAAGGCAAATGCCAACCTGTAACCAATCCAGCTCTTTCTTTACCTCACTGCTGATTTCGGTATATCATTTCCCTCTTTTATTTGTCTATAAATGTGTTCTGGCCACGAGACATCCCTGGAGTCTCTGTGACTCTGCTGTGACTCTGGGGGCTGCCTGATTCACAAATCATTCATTGCTCAATTAAACTCCTTTATATTTTACATCCATCCATCTACCTATCTACTTACCTACTATTTATCATCTACTATTATCTACTCTCATTTACCTATCATCTATGTATTATTTATCACCTATCAATTTAACTATCGTCTATCTATTACCTATCATCTATCTGTCTGTCTGTCCATCTATCTATTCATCTCTATCATTCATCTGCGTGCTTACCTATATACCTCTACGCACGGGTGCACAAGCACATAGATTTTAAATGCCTATACTTTTGACTTCTTGTAACTAAGGAGTATGAATTTTACTTTTTAAAAAAAACCTGCAAAGACATGCATTTTCTTCCAAGTGTCTCAAGTCTGGGAAGATAAGAAAGAGCCAATTCGGCTGGCATACTCCTCACCTCTGGGAGACAGTGTGGGCCTGTGCCACGTTGCCCACCTCTCCATCCTGGTAAAAGTTCTGGCTACCCAGAAGCAGGCCAGGAGGAGGAAGCCTTTGGCTGAGGTCTCCTCGGAGTCGGGGGCACACCCTTGATCTTGGCATCGCTTGCCTCTCTAAAATTTCTGATCCCTGTCTTGCCTTTGCAGACATTGGCAAACAGGCCACAAGAGCTGCCTCAGTCACATGTGGTTGTGTTTAACTCTATAGAACTTTGAACCAACCTCAAGCTGTGCCAGTGGGGAGATCAAAGTCAATAAAGTGTATGTATTTTATAAACGGTGAACTTTAGTGAAGAAACAAAACTCATTTAAGCCAAAGCCAAAGGGAGTGTTATGTTTTGACTGATGCATAAAACACAGAAAGAAGATTGCTTTCCCCGTGAGTTATTTGGTTTTTTTTTTAAGACTGTTTATTAAAGTCCATACTTTAAAATAAACATAGAGAACTCTCGTGTTCTCTTTGTAAACATGTTGAGTCCTTTGAAGCCAAGGATAATGAGTATGATAACAGATACTGTTTATCCTCTCCTGGGCTCCATGTTTAGTTAGCTGGGTCTTGAAGACTCTTTCCTCCAGAGAGAGCTTTTCAGAATTGACTCTGTTAGAAAAGAGGGAGAGAGAGAAGACTTGGAGAGTTAGCATCTCTATTCAAACTTCTCTGCCAATGAAGTCCTTCCACTGGAGGACACAGCCTGGGCCAAAGGCTCGTCTTCCTGGGCATCCACAGTCAAGCCAAAACCCACTAGGAGTGAAGTCCTGCCACCTGCTGGGATGTGCTGGGTCCCTTACTGGTCTCTCCGCCCAGTGACGTGCTGGTAAACGTGGAACTGTCGGTCCTGTGGTGGTGGGGAGAGGAGCCCTCCTGTGTGACACTTGCCCATTTCTGCAGTGCGGCTCGTCTCATCGTGGCCTATGTCAAGCTACCCACAATCTGTCACGTAACCCAGAGCTGAGGATCAGATTGATGGGCACGGTGGCTGGCTCCCCGGCAGGGGAGAGCCGGCCTCCAGCACCCAGACCTCTACCTCTGCCCTGGAATATTTCCTTCCTGGGCTTGGAAGTGAATGCACAACTTTGTCTCAGTAAATATTTATAAATGGCAGCTTCCTCTGCTGTGGGGAAACTGTCTTTTCTTTTTTTAAATGTCCCATCTCCTTGTGCTGGACAGACCCCGGCTTTCATTTTCTTGACTCTCCCAGCATGCAGGGATGTGCTGGGCTATTTTGGTCCCTTCCCTTGGACATTTCCTTGAATTGTTTGGATGGCATTGTGTGATTCACAGAGCCCAGCTTCCTTTCCCCTCTTAGCAGCCGGGAAAATCAGGCCCCTTCATGTGTTTCTTTGTTAAGCAGTGGATCCTGAAGTCATTCATTCTTCACTGGGCAGGGGCTGGTGAGCAAGGGGCTCCGGTGCCCAGGTCTCCCAGGTATCAGAGATGTCCCTTGATGGGACAGAAGGGGGTCCCAGGAGGAGGCTGGGCTGCTGGGGGTGAGGACGTGCTCTGCTCCACAGGGGTCTCAAGGGTTTCGAGGTCACGGTGAGTGAGCAGAGCCCACGTCTCATCATACAGCTGGAGGCACCTATCCAAAGTGACGAGAGTTGTGTCCAAACACAGAAACACAGATTTTGTGTTTCTATTGTTTGAAAGTTGGAAGAATAAGGAGTACCTCGCAAAGAGGCTGGGAGCTCAGCAGGTGATGCCTATAGCTAACGGGGCATTTGTGGGGCCAGGGAGCGTACTTAGACCCAGGTGAGGCTAGGAAGGGCCAGGAATAGACTCTGAGCTGACAGTCCCGACCTCGTGGAGCCTGACTCTCCTTCCACCCCGTTGGCTTCCCAGGATTGACTCAAAGGGGCCCACGGGACTCTTCTGAGAAAATGGCCTTAGAAATCCGAGGCAGCTTAGCTTTATTACGGCTATTTGGATCAAGGGACCCACAGCAGCTCTTCTGGCTGAGGCAAGAACTGAGGTGAGAGTTGGTTGTGGGAGAAGACCTAGGGCTTCCTCCTGAGCCACCACCCTGCTGTCCCTTAAGCACCTGGCATTTGCTTGGGATTCTGGGGGAGGGGAGATCCTTTGGAAGGGCTCATATCCAAGTAGTTAGAAGTAGAGGAAGAAAAGAGAGCCCCGCAAACAATTAGAAGGATGATTTAGCTCAGTCCTGCCCTCTCCTTGCCACCTTCCAGCCAATAACGTTTGTTATTCCTGACACTGATAACAACAGCAAATAGAGGTATCATTTAGTGCAAGTCAACCCTTCTGCAAACTATCCTGCACCTCTTATGGCATTTAACTACTACATTAACTTGGTTAGTTACATGTTTTATTAATATTCCCATTTTATAACTGGCAAGACTGAGGCTTAGAGGGAGGTTATAGATTTGCCCAAGGTCACATAGCTAAGAGTTAACGGAGGCCAAAGTCTGAGCCCAGGTTTATCTGCTTCGAAAGGCCATCCGTCTACCCACTATCCAATCTGCTTCTCTGAACCCAGGTGGGGATGCGGTGAGCTGGGATTCCTGTGTCCTGGTCATGTCCTAACAGAATATATTAGTAACTAGACCATATCCCAACTTCAGGACCAGGCTCTGCCAAGCCAGGAATATGAGAGGAGGAACAGCACCTCCCTCACCACGCCCCAGAGACTCCCCAGGCCTGAAGGTTTCCCGTGAGAAGTAGTGCGGCACGCTCGGAGGGCATCTGTCCCCACCTCTTCCTAGCTGCGCCTGCACGCTGGGTTCGTTTTTCCACCCTGCTAACTCACACCTGCGTTGCTCTGCCTCCTCTAATCCTCTTGGGCAGATGACCCAGCCAGACAGTCGGCCTGGCTTTCTGTTTCACTTTAGCCTTTGGACTCTGAGCTCGGTTAACATGGTACAGTCCACAATTAAGCCCTGCGGTGCCCAAGCCCAGCTCATTGTCCCTGGTCACTGCTGGGAGACTGGACAGAGCCCCCCTCCCACCCTGAATTTCCTGTTTGGTCCTTGAGTGGAGACACAGACCTCAGCTTCACATTCACCTTGCCTTTCCTGGTTCCTGAGTTCTCATCAGTCTGGGTGGACTATGATTCTTCCTCCTCATGGTGGCAGCACAAATTCGGCCACGGCTAATCAACTCCATTAATTGCCCAGAGTTCATTAAAAATCGTGGTTAGCCTTTGCCAATGTGCAAGGCAAGACAGGGAGTGAGTCTTGGGTCTATATAAGGTCCAGCTAACCCTGTGTGACCTTGGAGAAATTGCTTACCTCTCTCTGCCTAAGTTTCCTTATCTGCACAACGGGGATAACGATAAAACTCACCTCAGCCGGTTGTTTTTAGGATTAAATGAGTTAATATATGCAAAGTTCTTAGCATGATGCCTGGCTCAGAAGAACCTCTGTCTAGGTGTTAGCTGTTCTATGATTATACATAAATTACTTCACTTCTTCTGTGGGTCATAATTTGTGGTCACTAAGCAATGGCTGGCCAGATCACTGAGCCAAAATAAACTAACTCTTTCCTATTAGTTCCAAGTACATTAGTCACCAACCAGATTCATAGTATGGTACTTGGCTCAATTAGTCCCAGAGCACTCTCAAGTCCTGTTGAACCAGAATTGCCAAACAGTGTCTGAACTAGTTAAGTGAACCCCAAAAGGTGAAAAGAAACTTTTAGCAAAGATGTAGTCTGGTTTTAAATTCCTAAAATCAGCCAGGCGTAATGGTGCACACCTGTAATCCCAGCTACTTGGGAGGCAGAGGTAGGAGGATTGCTTGAGCCCAGGAGTTGGAGGTTGCAGTGAGCTGCAATTGTACCACTGCACTCCAGCCTGTGGGACAGAGCAAAACCTTGTCTCTACAAAAAAAAAATTAATAAATAAAAAGAGATCTCTAAAATTCCAGTGTAGCCAGGACAAATCACACCATCCTCCCACCCACCCAAAATTATCATATCCAGATGATCTGATGAGTGTCCAACATTTTCAGTGAACTATATGGGAATGTATATTAAAAATTAGAAAGAATAGGCCCCACTTGGAACAATCTAGTATGAGACAAAAAATAACAGTAAATTCCAAAGCAAGCACTCAGGAATAGACTGAAGAATGAGCAGTGATTGATGAGCAAGCGCCTAAGTTGGTGTAACAAAGCAAGGGGAGCTTTGATGGCTGCTTGGTGACTTGGGTTTTTTTGTTTGTCTGTTTGGGGGGTTTTTCTGTTTGTTGGGTTTTGGGGCTTTTGTTTGTTTTGGGGGTTTTGTTGTTGTTGTTGTTGTTTTTGAGGCAGGGTCTAACTCGGAGTGCAGTGGTGTTATCTCGGCTCACTGCAACCTCCGCCTCCTGGGTTTAAGCAATTCTCCTGCCTCAGCCTCCCGAGTAGCTGGGACTACAGGCACACCCCACCAAGCCCGGCTAATTTTTGTATTGTTAGCAGAGACGCAGTTTCACCATGTTGGCCCAGCTAGCCTTGAACTCCTGGGCTCAAGTGATCTATCTGCCCACCTCAGCCTATCAACGTGCTGGGATGACAGGTGTGAGCCACCTCACCTGGCCATGGTGACTTGTTTGAGCTCACCATTTGGTTTGCAATGTCTCCTGTCTTTGCTGAATTGGCTCCGGGCCTGTATGTGACAAGGGGAGTTGCTGGAACCATGACTCTCTGGCCGTGGAATTTGTGATTTGTAAGGTGGCTCCAAACTCAGGAGAGACCTGAGTGGGACAGGAGGCTCACTTCCCACCTTCCCAGCACGTGCCACCCCCACGCTCTGGTTTATTTAAGCCTACCACTCTGAGGCTATCCAGAGAGCTGAGTAAATAAATAGCCCGCCCACCAAGAAGACAAGCAGTCCCTATCCTCTTCAATGCCAGGGAAGAAGGGCAGACCTTCCCAGCCATCTGCACCTTCCCTCGGCCTGGGAAGAATTAAGGAGTTCTTTACTGCAGCATTGTAATTACTGAACTAATGTGTGTGCCTGCATCAGGACAGAGTTCAATAGCTGGCCTTGAAGTTTCTGAGGGCCCTCTGTTTTGTAAGCAACGTTGTGCCAGAGATAATAGTTACTGTTGCTACAGTGTTGCATCTGGAAGACTCATTCCCAGGAAGATGAATGGCTCCTTCCTGCACTCTGGGTTCTGATGCAGTGAGGTGCCTGCAGGTGTGTGCAGCATGGTGCTTAGGGAACTGAGGGAAGGAGTTTCCTCATCCTTTCCCCCTCAGACTCTTTCTTGCTGGTTTTGTCCTTCCTTTCTTCCTCCTGCCTTCCTTGCTTCCTTCCTTTCTCTCTCTTTCTTTCATTTTTGAGATGGGGGAATCTTGCTATGTTGCCCAGGCTAGTCTTGAACTCCTGGCCTCAAGCAATACTCCCACCTCAGCCTCCCAAGTAGTTGGTATGACAGGCTTGAGCCACCATGCCTGGCTTCACTCGCTGTCTTTTCCCAACAGGTAAAAATGACCATGTGTTCACGTTGTTGTGAGGATCCATGAGAGAAGTTATGTATTATGTTGGTGCAATTACTTTTGCACCATTTTAACAGAAGCAGGTTGAGAATAGTTAAGCCCTAGACACATGGAAATGCCAGCTGATGGAAAGTGCAGGATTTGGAAATGAGGGGGTCCCAAGCCAGACCCATCTATGAGGAATCCAGATTTGGAAACCAGCTACCTATCAACAGACGCTGTTCCCTGAAAAGCATTGACTTGAAATTGGTGGTCTCTGGGAGGAGGGAGGACACATTCTTCCCTGCTCATCTGCTCTCCCTCACCGCACAGAGGCTGGGACTCAGGTGTGGATCCCTGAGCACAGCTGGGAAGCCCAGCACATCTCTCTCTCCTGCATGGTCCCATACCAGTACTCGGCATTCTCATTTTCAGCCCTTTTTGCTCCCATGAAGAGGAGAGTCTGATGAATGAATTTCCCCAATGATGCCAATTACTGATAAAGCATAAAGTATTATTCTCTTTGAGATGATGGTGTCTGAAGAGGGAAGAAGAGAATGGCCTTTACGTGTAGAATTTCAGGCATGGGCGACCGGAGGGAAAGTGGGCTTTTGATACACACACACACACACACGCACACACACACACATGCACCATGCCCCAGTCCTGCAATCACACATAGGATGCATGCATATATCACTCTCTAGAATGGGCAGCGCTGGCTGGCTCTTCTCTCAGGAGGAGAAAATACCAAGGGCATTGTGGAAACTCCTCTTTCTCCCCATCCTCACTAAGTTTGATGCAGCTTTGATGCTTCCTTTTCTTGCTCGCTAAACTGCAGACTTGTTGAGGCTCCTGTCTTCACACTGCAACTCCTCAGCACATGGGGTACACAGGGCGAGGGAGAGTGAAGGATGGCAAATTCCTCCAGGAAGGCTGGTGTGAGTCTGGCTCTGAGGCCTAGCCCTCCCTGGCACCGGCGGACCCGGGCTGGCCAGGTCCTGCTAGTGCAGATGGCATTCCCAGCCTTTGTGCTCGTATCTCCTCTGTCGCGGGCTAGGTGTTCCTCGGGTGATGGAGCCCACCTCCCCAGCACCATAGCCCTGAAAGCCACATTCTGAGTCAGAGAGAAACCAGGCTGGCAGCAGATTCCACAGCCGCGGCTGTAGGACTGTTCTGTTTGCTCTATTAAGGGACTCTCCTCTTAACTGCCGGGTGAGTCAGAACATTCCATTTCTTCTTCCCTCTCCTGTCTGTCCAGCCCGGCCAGAATTCCTGTCTGAATTCTTCTTCATTAATAGTGATGTGCTCTCCACCCGGAAGTTCCTAAGAGCTCATTTCAGTGGATAATGATTGTTTTTGCAGGAGGGACCCCGATGGTTTTTCCATTTCTGTTTCCATAATATGTACCGAAACCCACACTTCATTGAAAGCAGATGGTGAAAGCGGCCCTCGACATGCGAGGAGACGCCAGGCTACGACGCCTCTGATTTGTCTGCCTTCTGGGCAGCCCTGGCACCGATGGGGGCCAGGACACTGGAGCCCTGGGACTCTGGACATGAGAGCAGGAAGCTGGATAATGGAAAACAAACGGCGGGCCTGGGACGGGAAGATCAAAAGGGAAGGGAAGAAAAAAGCCAATGGAAGAGATGACATCGGGACTCTCCAAGCCTCTCATTCCCGTGTCCTGAGTCTTACAGTGTCAAATTCTTGGGAAAGTAGTGTGCATCAGGCAGCCGCCCCTCCAGAGGAAATTGGTACTAAAGCCTCAGCTCCAGAGACCTGGGCCTGACCCTCAGCTTCGTCTGCCTCTGTGTAATGTAATGAAAAGCATATTCTCCAACACATCTTTCCCAAGCACATAAGCCCGATTGCTCTGTCTCCAAAAAAGGCAAAGAGGAGGCTTGCTGATTTCCCAACAAAAAACCGTCACCACCGAAGCCTGCTGTGGGAAGCAGGCTTTCCACAATTCTGCGTTGTATAGAGGTCCCAGGCACTGGCCCTATTAAGTCCCTTAACCCTAAGCTTCCAGAATGCAGACCTGGACTCTACTCGCTCAGCATATTCCTCGGTGACTGTTGCTCATCCGAAGCCACTGTCCCTGTAGCTCTGCTGGGCGCGCTGGATGGAGGGGGCAGACACCCAGCTCTCCTGGGCAGTGGAGAAACCTGCACAGCCTCAATCCTGACCCCAAACTTCAGTACAGCTGTCTACTGGTGCCAGAACCTTCTGCACCTTGACCCCAAGCCCATTACTCTACATGCACCTGGACTGGGGTCTCATCTTGGGGCCGAGTGGAGGGGTGGAGGTTTAGCCCTTACCTGGGGTGGGGAGGCCTGATAAGGCAGGTCTTCCTGGAAACTTTTTTTTTTTTTTTTTTTTTTAGTGAATATTGGAAGCATCTCTTGGGAGAAAACTTATCCCAAGAAACAAGGGAGTCTGGCATGATAACTTTTTTTTTTCTTTAAGAGATGGCATCTCACTCTCACCCAGGCTGGAGTGTGATGGCCTGATCATAGCTCCCTACAGCCTCCAACTCTTGAGCTCAAGAGATCCTCATCCCTCAGCCTCCTAAGTAGCTGGACTATAGGTGCATGTCACCACACCAGGTAATTTTTTTTATTTTTTTGAGACGAAGTCTTGCTCTGTCGCCCAGGCTGGAGTGCAGTGGCGCAATCTCGGCTTACTGCAAGCTCTGCCTCCCAGGTTCACGCCATTTTCCTGCCTCAGCCTCCTGAGTAGCTGGGACTACAGGCGTCCACCACCGTGCCCGCCACCACACCCAGCTAATTTTTTGTATTTTTAGTAGAGACAGGGTTTCACCGTGTTAGCCAGGATGGTCTTGATCTCCTGACCTCGTGATCTGCCCACCTCAGCCTCCCAAAGTGCTGGGATTACAGGCGTGAGCCACTGTGCCCGGCCGAAAGAAGTTTTTCTAGAGCATATACCTAGGAGTGTAGTTGCTGGCTCAACTTGGTGAGATATTTCCAAATTGCTTTCCAATGAGGTTTACCAATTTGCTCTCCTATCAGCAAGATATGATTCTGCATCCTCCATAACATTTTCTTTGGTTTTATCAGGCTTCTTTCTTTTTATTAAAAAAAAGGGTGTTTTTTTTGTTTGTTTTTTTCTAAGCAAAACTTTCAAGTGTGGCAAAATTCAAAACTGTAAAAGGACAGAATGTGAGAGTTCTATAACCCTGGTCTCCAGGCGGCCCATTTGCAGTTTGGAGTACCATTTTCTAATGGATCCTTCCATGGGCATTTTATATGGACACAGGCAAATGCGTGTGTGTGTGTGTGTGAGTGCATGTTTGTGTGGATGTGTGCATATGTATGTACCCTTTTTTGTTTGTTTTTTGAACACAGAGCTTCCTCAGTCTTTTGATTTGGTTTGTTTTCTTAAATCATTCACTGTTATTTGACTCTTTTTTAAATCAGAATAATAAATTTTTTGTGAAATGTATCATGCATAATAGAATAGAAAACATGTATGTACCAACAAGAGAAGAATAAAATTAATCCCTGCATACTCTTCTCTCAGGCTCAGAAGGAGGATCATGTCCGTAGCTTAGAAGCACCCTTTGATACTCTTCTCTAAGACAGCCCCTAGCCTCCACCTTCAGGAAATCCCTCTCCAGACTTCTGCGTTAGTGATTCCTTTGCTTTTCTTTATAGATTTCCAACTCATGTTTGTATCCTCAAAAAATGCATCGCTCCGTTTTGACTGAGTAGCAAACAAGTAAATTGCTGTCCTGGGAGAAGAAATTCAACTGAATCTCTGGGTTTAGATTCCCCGGATGTGTAAGAGCATCCCTTCTGGAAAGGTCAGGGACAAGGCCATTGTTGAAACCTGGAAACGTGGGAGCACATCACTGAGGCATCCATTTGTGGAGCAGGATCTGGGTTCAGCAGTGAATGGTCAGGCAAGTAGGCTACCCAGAACTTCCTGGGTCTAAACTTAACATAATCTACCTTCAGCTCCCAAGAGTAAGTCAAAGAACATTTCTGTGAGGGTGAAATGAGGATTCTCAGCTGATCCAAGTGGTAGGTCATGGAGGAGAAAGAAGAAACCTCAGTACCGGGACAAGATAAGATAACATAAATATATATGTTATACATATTAAAGTTTTAAATTATACATAAAACTTTATTTAAAAATTTTAATGTATGTTTTATATATATTTAAAGTTTTTAATTATATATAAAAGTGTTTTTCTTCCTGAATGGTCTCTATTTTCTCCAAGTTGATTCTTTTCTGTTTGTTTCAGTTTTCTCAGCTGTGTGCTAATCCTCAGCCTGCACAGTTTAAGAGCTGAGAAGGCCGGACGCAGTAGCTCACTCCTGTAATCCCAGAACTCTGGGAGGCTGAGGTGGGCGGATCACCTGAGGTCAGGAGTTTGAGACCAGCCTGACCAACATGGTGAAACCCCATCTCTACTAAAAATACAAAAAAATTAGCCGGGCGTGGTGGTGTGCACCTGTAGTCACAGCTACTCTACTCGGGAGGCTGAGGCAGGAGAATTGCTTGCACCCGGGAGGCAGAGGTTGCAGTGAGCTGAGATTGGGCCACTGCACTCCAGCTTGTGAACAGTGCAACACTCTGCCTCACAAAAAAAAAAAGCTGAGGAATACAAAACTGATTAGAAGTTCTGAGTTCATGATTGGGACTTGGTGACTTTCACACTAGAGTGTGAGGTGTGCAGACATTTGTTGGGGGACCCCTTAATGTCAGTGTCTTAACATATTGGTAAGATTCTCCCGAGGCTGTTATAATCTCCTGGCTGAAGAGGACGGGTCTGACCTCCAGCATGCTGGCAGTTGAGTGGCAGAAAAGAGCTGGATGTCTGCATTAAGCATTGAGTACACGTACCGTACCTGTGCCCTCCACTGTGACTGGCAACCCCCAGTCCCCTCACCTTCTGTCTTAGCCACTCCAGAGAGGCAAGGAAGAAGTAGAAAATACCAAGGGTATAGAACCAATGTGAAGATTTCGAGAAGAATTGCTTCTCTAACAGCTTTTACCCTGTTCTCCTTACTTTGTCATCTTCTTTACTCCAAATTCTAACTTTGTAATATCTGGACCTCCCATATTTTATTTCAATTCTACTTTTAGGCTGGAAATAGTTTTTGGTATTTATGTATTTCTTGTAGTCCCATGTCAGATGCAAGCAATAGAAGCAAACTCATGCTACCAATGTTTTGTTTTCCTGCTTCTTAACAAAAGTCACAAGTTCATTCGGTCCATTTTTCTTGTTGCAGGCAAAGCGTTGTTGCAGGAAACATGCTATGTATTTCGGGACTTTTAATAGATCAGCATCACGTTTCTGGTCCTAATAGCCACATCCATCAGCTTAAGCTAGATTATGTTGCAATAATACACGTCCTCCAAAATCCTAGTGCCTTACAACATCAAATATTTATTTCTTGCTCATATACGTATTGGCAGTGGGTCAGATTTCACTCTGCATTTTTTTGTTGTTGTTCTGCAATACGGGCTGAAGGAACAGCCTCTATCTTAGTCTTGTGGAACAAAGCAATGGCAGAACCATTCAACTCCCAGAACACTGATGGGTCTTAACACATCTGTTCAGGCATTGTATAAATTCCATGGGACAAAGAAAGCCACGCAGCAAACCCTGCCCTCAATGGGCAAGATGTGTACTCCTCCCACCAGGTGGGGTGCCAGGGAGGGGCCCCCTTGGAGTTAGCCTAGTAGACAGGAGGAACAAATATTTGAAATAAATAATGCAATCCACCACAGTTATTATTGTTGTTTGTTTGTTTGTTTTTCTACCATGACTCAAATACAAGCTTTTAAAATTTTAGTAGCTAAACTGACTAATCCCAAACTGGGATTTATCTTTTTTTTTTTTGAGATGGAGTCTCGATTTGTCACCCAGGCTGGAGTGCAGTGGCGTGATGTCTGCTCACTGCAACCTCTGCCTCCCAGGTTCAAGCAATTCTCCTGCCTCAGCCTCCTGAGTAGCTGGGATTACAGGCACGCACCAACATGCTTGGCTAATTTTTGTATTTTTAGTACAGACAGAGTTTCACCATGTTGGCCAGGGTGGTCTTGAACTCCTGACCTCAGGTGATCCGCCTGCCTTGGCCTCCCAAAGTGCTGGGATTACAGGCATGAGCTAGCACACCCGGCCCGGATTTATCTTTTTCATGCTATAATTTTCCAAGTCTCTGTCCTCACTGTCTCTGTCTGTAGTGAGCACGTGGCCTGGATCCTCAAAAGACAACTGACACTTGTGTTGGCTCCTTAACCATTGCATTTCGTGACCTGTCAGCTTTCCATCCCAGGACATAATGGAGGTTCCCACTGCTGTTCGTCCCTCCAAGGCACCCGTGTCACTCAAAAGCCCGCTCTTCCCCTGGGGTTCTTCTAAATAGAGCCCCACTGCTGCTGCTGAATGAGCTCCTAGAAATGCTTTGTATTTGTTTTTTATTTAGGTATTTATTTATTATTTTGTAGAGACAAGGTCTCACTGTGTTGCCAAGGCTGGTGTCAAACTCCTGAACTTAAGCTATCCACCCACTTCGGCCTCTCCAAGTGCTGGGATTACAGGCTTGGGCCACCATTCTGGGCCTTGCTTTGGATACAGTCTCAATTCCACCAAAGTCCTGGTATCCACTGGCTTCCGTCCTTAGGGTCCTATGAGATCCCTGCTTCTCATTTTACTCATGTATATATCCTCACGAGAGAACCCTGCTGCTTGAAGAAACTTGAGAGAATATGTTCTAGCAAGCAGAAAAATCAAACACACCTCTTGTCTCTAAATAGTCTATATTTGAACACAAGGCAGGTGCTGGATCCTTCATGTTCTCTAGCTGCTGAGTAGGCATAATTAATTTGCTTTACAGTTTTAGGAACAATAATTAGCTCATGATTCACGCTGAAGAAAACATTCCTGTCTCTTAGGCTTTATAAGGGTTTATTTCAATTTTCCTTATTGTTTATGTTGAGAGTTCCAAGATCCATTGGCTTCGTGAATTCTGCAAAAAATCCACTGTCTAAACAAACAGCACCTTTCACTGGGTCTGTCGGATACAGACTATTTATTTTTGTGTAAAAGTGACCAATATCAAGTTACACATTTGCTCCAGATGTTGCACCCAAAAAAGCTAAACTAGCCAGTGCGTAACAGTGTCAACTCGGCTCCCGAAGTGAGAAAGCTGAAGCCTCCACATGCTTGGAGAACAGTGATGCTTAGGTCAAGGGCTGGGACATTGAAGGCTGTTGTGTTTTGTGGTTAAGTGTGGCCATTGTGAACATTTGGCCCATCCAGATATTCAAACTGGTCACACACTCAGCTAGTAGCGATCTGCCGGTATGTGGGTCTCTATTGCATTACTTTGCATGTGGATGTGTCAGGGAAAGTCATAGAACTGGGGTTGCTAGAAAAACAGTTCTTCACCTGGACTCGAGCAAGGGAGGAGGAGCCTGTGGCCATCATTAAGGGGCCTCACGCACATTCCCTTTCTCTGGGGGCACACCTAGAATGGCACTGCCCTCTCACCTGGAGCTCAGGTGGGGAATAGGACTTGCTTTGGCCAATGAAATGTGAGTGAAAGCCTCAAGTGCTGGTGTGCCCTTTGCCACGACGCCTTCTCCTGGCACAGTGATGATAGACATACAGGTCAAGGCGGCCCCTGAAGCTCGGATCTCAAGAGTGAAAGCAGGCACTGATGGTCTGTACTGGATGTGTGGTGTGATCAAGAAATTAGCTTCGTTATGTTAAACCAGTGAGAGTCTGTGGTTATTTATTACTGTGGGTTAACTCAGACAATCTTGGCCAGTGAAATAACGTGGTGACTAACAATCCAAGCTTTTTCTAACTCTGATGCAAAACTCAGAAGCCATGAGAGAGAAGATTATAAATTTGACTACATTTTTTTTTTTTTGAGATAGAGTCCTGCTCTGTTGCCCAGGCTAGAGTGCAGTGATGTGATCTCGGCTCACTGCAACCTCTGCCTCGCGGGTTCAAGTGATTCTCCTGCCTCACCCTCCTGAGTAGCTGGGATTACAGGCATCTGCCACCATGCCTGGCTAATTTTTGTATTTTTTAATAGAGACAGGGTTTCACCATTTTGATATGTTGGTCAGGCTGGTCTCGAACTCCTGACCTCAGGTAATCCATCAGCCTTGGCCTCCCAAAGTGCTGGGATTACAGGTGTGAGCCACTGCACCCAGCCTAAATTTGACTACATTTTTTAAAAATCAGATTTTTTTCCAAATGGTAAGAATCTCCACACTCGAAGCAAAGGGGAAATAATAAACAGGAAAAAATATTTGCAACTCAGAGCAAAGAAAGGGCTTATTCCTCTAGGGTACATAGAGCACCCACAAACTGAGAAGACCAAAGGCTCACAGAAAAACAGGAAAATGATGAATGGACAGAAGAGAAAATCAAAGTGTCTCTTAAACACATGAAAATGAAGCCTAATGTTACTTCTAAGATAAATGAAAATAGGCCAGTTGTGGTGGCTCATGCCTGTAATCCCAGTACTTTGGGAGGACGAGATGGGAGGATTGCTTGAACCCAGGAGTTCGAGACCAGCCTGCATATCATAGTGAGACCCCTGTCTCTAAAAATAGTAATAATAAAATAGAAAATAAAAAGCCAAAACTATGCTGATGACAGTTTTTCAACTAAGAAATGGGAAAAGATTAAAAAAAAAAAAAAAACACCTTAATACTACTCAGGTGAGGGTGTGGGGGAGTAGGCTCTCTCCCATGTTGCTGGTGGGAGTGGAAATGGGTAAAATTTAATTGAAGAAAAATGTTGCATATCTATAAAAATTTTAAATGCATTACCCTCTGAGTTGTCAATTGGCTCCTAAGAATTTACCTTATGGATTGCACTCTTCTATGCAAAATGCTGTATTGTTTATAATGCCAAAGCTTGGAAACAACCACTAAAATGTACATTCCATGAAGGTGGGGATTATTTCTTTGTGTGCTTGTTTTGTTTGCTATTATGTCCCAATGTGTAGAACCGTATTAGCAGAGGCTGGGAAGGGAAGGAGGAAGAGGGTATGAAGGGAAGTTGGTTAAGGGGTACAAAAGTAGTTATAATGGTTAGGTGCCAAGGCTCACGCCTGTGATCCTGGAACTTTGGGAAGCCAAGGCAGGAAGATTACTTGAGGTCAGGAGTTCAAGACCAACTTAGGCAACACAGTGAGATACCATCTCTACAAATATTCTTTTTTAATTAGTTAGGCATGGTGATAATGTGTCTATAGTCCTAGCTATGAGGGAGGCTGAGGCTGGAGGATCACTTGAGCCCAGGAGTTTGAGACTGCAGTGAGCTATGATGACACTACTACACTCCAGCCTGGGCAACAAAGTGAGACCTTAACTCTAAAATAAAAATAAATTTAAAAATACTTAGTTAGAAGGATTAAGTTCTAGTATTCAATAGTACAGTAGGGAAATTACAGTTAACAATAATTTATTGTATACTTGAATATAGCTAGAAGAGAAGAATTGTAAGGTTCCCAACACAAACAAAAGGCAAACATGTGAGATGATGCATATCCCAATTACCCTGATTTGATCATTACACCTTGTATATATGTACAAAATATTACATGTACCCCCAAAAGATGTACAACTATGATATATCAATAAATTAAAAATACCGTATATTCAGTAATTACTTCAAAAATGAAAAAGAATAATGTTAGGCCATCATTAAATATCTGTTGAATGGATTAATGATTTTTGTTACGTGAAAAAAGCAAAATGCAAAACAGTATGAATTTTATGCTACTGTTTGTATTCAAACTGTTAGAAATTCTACAGGACAAATTGGTTTCTTCAACAAATAAATTGCAAGGAATTAAAAAAAAAAGAAAAGTAGAGGAAGAATCTACAGATTAAAAGAGACTTAAAAGACCTATCAACAGTTGCATTCTGTGGACCTTACCTGAGTCCTGATTCAAATAAACAAACTGTAAAAAAAAAAAAATTACATGTATGAGGCAACTGGAAATTTGTATACTGACTAGATATTTGATGATCGTAAGGAATTATTGTAAATTTTCAGGGGTCATTATTGTATTTAGGTTCTGTTTTAAAAGTCTCCATCTTTTCACTATATACACAAATACTGATAGATGAAATGCTATGATATCTGGGAGGGGACTATGGACTGCGGATAAAACAAGATCATTCTGGATTTTATACTTGTAGCAGGTGATGGGAACATGAAGTTCCCATTGTAGGATCCTGTTCATTTATTTATTTATTTATTTATGAGAAGGGATCTCACTATGTTGCCAGGCTGGAGTGCAGCGGCATGATCTCGGGTCACTGCAACCTCTGTCTCCTGGGCTCAAGAGATCCTCCTGCCTTGGCCTCCAGAGTATCTGGGACCACATAGGCATGCACCACCATACGCAGCTAATTTTTCATAATTTTTATAGAGACGGGGTCTCGCCATGGTGCTTAGGCTGATCTCGAACTCCTGGGCTCAAGTGATCTGCCTGCCTTGGCCTCCCAGGGTGCTGGGATTACAGGTATGCACCACCACACGGACTGATTCTGTTCACTTTTCTATATGTTTAACATTTTCCACAGCAAAAAGTTGACAAAAGGATACACACAGACATGCAGACACACACACACACACACACACACACACACACACACACTCCTCCACTGACTTGTCTATGTACACAGTATCTCTAGAAAAATCCCTAAGCAGCTCATTATGTTGGTTGCCTTTAGGGACAGAAACTGTGTGGTTCTGTGTAGGTGGGAGCTTTTATAGTAAACCTATATATACTTTTTGAATTTTGAACACTGTGAATGTATAATCTATTTTAAAAATTAAGTTAAAAGTACAATATTTGAATCCAGGTCTTGGCGTCAGACAACCTGAGATGGTGCCCAAACTCCACTATTATTAGCTCTGTGACCTCAGGCCAATATCTCAAGTCTCTCGGCCTAAATTCCCCTTCTATAAGATGAGGATAATAGATGGGGAATGTCAGACACTTAGCATAATGCCCAAGACATGGTAAACTCCTAATAAATTCAGGTCTTTTCATTTGTATCACCTTGAGTCAGGGACAGCGGGAAGCAAGGAGAGGAAATGAGAGTGAGAAGCTCCTTGGCTTGGGCTGAAAGCTTAAAGAGAGAGAACTGCTTGTTTGTTTTTGGGTGTTCGGATAGTCTCGCCTTGATTAATATCAGCTGCGTGAGAGGAGACAGACTTATTTATCTTAGAGAAGATGACTTTGGTGGGTACCCTGTTTGATTTTCATATGCCTTTATTTTGAAATTGTGGTTTGAGGCCTGCTTCAGGAATTGGAAACAGCTGGGGCCCCGTGAACCTCTGCGTGGTTCTGCCTTGGGCAATTCTTACCTCTCTGTGCCACTACATCATCTTCATCGGCAAAACGTGTGAGTGGGTCAGATGACAGTCCAGGACCCTCCAGCTCTAACACACAGTGATCCAGTTAACATCTCCTAGTTACTTCCAAGAGATATTCCCATATCTGGTTCCAGGGTTCTCTGGAGGGCACTTGGAGTTCATTCATTCATTCAATCAGTCATTCAACAAACACATGCCAGCACCGTTCTAGATGCTGAAAATTCAACAGTGAATAAAACCTATATGTTGTCTGCTCTCATGGAGCTTACATTCTAGTAGTGGAAGATAAATAACAAACAAGTGAACCCACCAGCAATCAACAAGTGTTGAACTGCTTCAGATGATCACATGTACTATTAGGAAAATGAAATAGGACAGTGGCATAGAGAACTATAGGGTGGTCAGCAAAGTTTTCATCCTAGGGGAAAATATTAAGCTAAGACCTCAAAGATAAGGCATGAGTCACGCAAAAATCTGGAAGAAGTCGTTTAGAAAAATGCAACCCAAATGCAAAATAAATGCCTTCTGCTATACCTCCCGCAGTGTCTACTTTTTTAGGAAACCCACTTTTCACGTTCCAATCCACTCCCCCAGCCTACAGAAGGGCTACATTCTAGAAGATGTTTGTTACTCTAAAAAATAATTCATCCTGAGGTTCCTTTGTGAACTTCTCTGGTGATTTGATTTTCAGAAATGCAAACGCTATATTCAGATGATAGATCGATTTCGTAATAAACACCTTATTTTGTTCTGCAGACTATCATAACAAATACTAAAAATTGTGAAAGACCCTAAGAATAGTATTTAATTTACAGGAAGAAGAGTCTTTGGAATTTGCTTTTTCTTTTATCTTATCTTGTATTATCTGTTATTTTTCTTCAAGTGCTCATGCCCTCAGAATCTTCACAGAGGAGAGAATGACAAGTCTCTGTTCCTTGATACCTTATCAGCTCCAGGTCACTTTGCTATTCTCCAGGCAGTTGTTTTATGGGACAGAAACATGCACAGGATGGAGCGAGGCTGCAGTAACCACGTGCAAAACTCTTTCTAAGTAAACTCATTCCCTCTTCATTCACCCAAGTGCTTGCTTTCATAGAACTTTTTAATTAAAATGTGCACATAGGCTGGGTATGGTGGTTCACGCCTGTAATTCCAGCACTTTGGGAGACCGACATGGGAAAATTGCCTGAGCCCAGGAGTTCAAGACCAGCTTGGGCAACACAGCGAGACCCCATCTCTATTTTTTTTTTAATTAAAAAAAAACGTGTATATATGTTCCGCTGACATTTGAGAAAAGACCTAGTGAATGAAGATCAGTTGAATTCAACCACTGGCGCTTAGCACTATAAAAGTGACCCCCCCGGTCACACACAGCATTGATCCTCCACTCCAGGCATCAGGACTCAGTCACCACTTGGTGACACATGCAAGCTACACTCACTTATCAATTGATAAAGAGTATTGTCAGAGCCAATGGCTCATTAGGCACGGTGGGGACAGAGTTTAGGGCTCACAATACTTTCAGACACCCACAAAATGTTTTACTTTCTTTTAAAGTCAGAGGAGAAAATGTTCTAATATATATTGTTGATATATTTATCTTTATACAAACATAACCTTAAAATATAATTTTAATTTTTTTTTAATGGAGGAAAGGCCTCTGAAGACAAAAGAGCCCAGGGCCCTGATATTATCCAGGGTTCATGACTCATAATGCAAGAATAAGGTTACACCACATTTATTATCTATGATCAGGAGCGGGTGTGTTAGAGGCAGAAAATTTTAAACAGATTAAGTGAAAAAAAAGTCACATTGGGAGAAACAATTTGCCGTATGATGAAAGTCTTGCTTCTGACTTGCTTTTTTTTTTTTTGAGATGGAGCTTGCTCTTGTTGTCCAGGCTGGAGTGCAATGGTGCGATCTCAGCTCACTGCAACCTCTGCCTCCTGGCAGGTTCTAGTGATTCTCCTGTCTCAGCCTCCCAAGTAGCTGGGATTATAGGCGCATGCCACCACACCGGGCTAATTTTTGTATTTTTAGTAGAGACAGGGTTTCATCATATTGGTCAGGCTCGTCTGGAACTCCTGACCTCAGGTGATCCACCCACCTTAGCCTCCCAAAGTGCTGGGATTACAAGCGTGAGCCACCACGGCCCTTACTTGGTTTTTTGATCCACTCCATCATTGTCTCCCCTTCCTTGTTTGACATCACTGGTGTCACTTCGGTCATCCTCTTTGTCACACAGCCATAAGGAGGCATGGATAGTTCAGTGGTAGAATTCTCACCTGATGCGTAGCCATTGGGAATAAGTGAGAACATGGAGGTCAAATAAGTAGCCTATGACCTGAAACACAGCAAGTGCTTAGGAAATCATCTTCCTCTCTCCTGGCCCCTCATCCTTCCTCACTCCATTTCCATCCTCCTTTCCTTTCACTTTCTGCCTCATTCTCTCCCTTTTCTCCTACCCACTTTCTCCTTCCCTCCCTCCGAGTTTCCTGCCTTCCCTTTTCTCTGGTATCATGCCTTTTCTTGCACCATGCCAAGGATGGAGCCAGAAATAACACCAAAAGCAGAAACTCAAGCCTTGGAATTACAAGGTATGTGCAAAGGAATTTTTTGTGATACGCCTGCCTTTCCCAAAGGACTCATCTGTTTTTTTTTTCTTTTTTCTTTTTTTTTTTTTAGACAGAGTCTTGCTCTTTCGCCCAGGCTGGAGTGCAGTGGCGTGATCTCAGTTCACTGCAACCTCCGCCTCCCTGGTTCAAGCGATTCTCCTGCTTCAGCCTCCCGAGTGGCTGGGATCATAGGTGCTGCCCACCACGCCCAGCTAATTTTTGTATTTTTAGTAGAGACAGGGTTTCACCATGTTGGCCAGGCTGGTCTCAAACTCCTGACCTCAGGTGATCCACCCATCTCGGCCTCCCAAAGTGCTGGGATTGCAGGCATGAGCCACCGCACCCAGCCTGTCCTCTTACATGCAAGGCAGTGTGTGTGTGTGCATGTGTGTGTGTGCATGCATGCGCACGTGTGTGTGTGAAGCCACCTGCTTTAGTTTCTCAAGAAATCTTGCCACAAATTTTGTCTAAGTCTCCACACTGCTTCCCTTAGAAATATCCTAAAAATATATTTCTGTGGCTTGACAGCAAGTTGAGAAACATGACAGCCAAGGACACTGAATTAATGTAAGTCATAAAAGTTTAACCGCCATGAGATTCGCTCTCGAGACCATAAAACTGTAGTCAATGAAAAATAGCAATTGACTACAAGCAAGGGGGTAAATCAATTATTTTTTGCATTTTGCTCCAATCTTGGGTGCAGAGTGGCATCATGTTACCTTTGTTGCAAAACTGTGAGTTTGCAAATAAACATGATTTAGACTTTAAAAGAAAATAGAGTGGGGCAAAAGTTGGCTGCATGCAAAAGAAGGTCCTTGCTAAGATTTTCAGCCGCTAGATTTATGACAGTTCTGAAAGGCTGGAAAGTTGAACCATATTTAAACACTGACTCTGCCACTCGCCACAGGGGCCAGGTCCTGACCTCATCTAGAATAGTGATATTTCTGTAATTTTAGTTATCTCTACTCCAAAAGAGCACAATGTCTCAATAATGAAGATTTAGCCTGTCCATTATTATACCTAACATGGGATATAAGGTGTGTAAGGTACAAAATAAACACAGTTTATAATATTATTATTTTGAAAAACGTTTTATTTATTATAAATATATTGTATAAAGCAATTAAGGATTACACTGGTTTCTAATTACCTATGTATCATTATTTGTATAAAATATCTGCTTACTTGAAAATGGAAAAACACAAAAATACAAGGAGAGGTTAAAATAGGTGAAGCATAAGGAATTTTTTAGGATGGTGAAACTATTCTATAATGTTGGGTCTATTACATGATGCATTTGTCAAAACCCATAGAACATTACCACAGAAAGAGTTAACCTTAATCTATGCAAATTAAAAAATTATTTAGGAAGCTAGAGGATCCCAGGATGGAATGAAGACTAGGACAAAAGACGGACTGCATTACAAACATAGGATACACCCTCACTAGAGGAGGTGGGGAGAGAAGGTGCTGATTAGGTGAAGTCACTTGGGGAACGAATGCCGACTCTAGGACCAGTGGGAAAATGCACTGAGTGCCCATCAGCATTGTACTTTTTTTTTTTTTTTTTTTTTTTGAGACCGAGTCTTGCTCTGTCACCCAGGCTGGAGTGCAGTGGCACAATCTCGGCTCACTGCAAGCTCCGCCTCCCGGGTTCATGCCATTCTCCTGCCTCAGCCTCCTGAGTAGCTGGGACTACAGGTGCCCACCACTGCGCCTGGCTAATTTTTTGTATTTTTAGTAGAGACGGGGTTTCACCATGGTCTCCATCTCCTGACCTTGTGATCCACCCGCCTTGGCCTCCCAAAGTGCTGGGATTACAGGCGTGAGCCACTGTGCCCAGCCAGCATTATACTTTGGCTGGTAAGATTGCTGCGATGGGGTTATGGTTTCACAATTTCAAATCCGCTAGTCTAGTTACTAAGTCAAGTCTACTGGACTTGAACAATGAAGTAATGTATTGCAGGTTGCAGGAGTCAGGTGTCTTACTGTTGGATTGCAGGGTTACAGACAAGCAAGAAGAGCAAGCTGGAGGGCCAGGTGCAGTGGCTCACATATGTAATTACAGCACACTGGGAGACTGAGGCAGGTAGACTGCTTGAGCCCAGGAGTTCAAGACCAGCCTAGGCACCATAGCAAGATCCCATCTCTATTAAAGAAAAAAAAGAGAGACAGAGAGAGAAGGCTGGAATAATCCATGCAGTGCCAAGTTAGAGTTGGAGCCATCAATGTGAACTCATGTTTAGCTTAATTTAGATACAGATGGCTACCTACGTGGGTTAGTATACACACATATTTCTTTGCCGTCTGCTGAGTGAGCCTAGAAGGAATGACTACCCAGTAACAACACACACACCCAGCACCTAGATTGTGGTTTCTAACACCATTCTCTGATAGAAGGGACCAGGGTGTCTTGAAGAAATGGCTGTTTCTAGAGAATATACAAGAAGAGCCAACATCTTATAGTGCCAGAAAGTAAGAATGGGCTCAAAACCAAAACAAAAGCAATAAACACCCCCCACCCCTGCAACAAACAAACACATGAACAAAACACGTGCATGGAGTGAAGACACTGGAGCCAACTGAAGGAGCTCGCAAGCGCCAAAGCTGATGTACTTTAAGCAACAAAATAATTAACATACTGGTATTTATAAATATTTATACAAAGTATAACATAAATGTCCACAAGCCCATGCTGATATACATTCATGATCAAATTTTTTTTAAAAAAGGGAGGCCGGGTGTGGTGGCTCAAGCCTGTAATCCCAGCACTTTGGGAGGTCGAGGTGGGCAGATCATGAGGTCAGGAGTTCGAGACCAGCCTGGCCAATATGGTGAAACCCCGTCTCTACTAAAAATATGAAAATCAGCCCGGCGTGGTGGTGTGTGCCTGTAATCCCAGCTACTCAGGAGGCTGAGGCAGGAGAATTTCTTGAACCCGGGAGGCAGAGGTTGTAGTGAGCTGAAATTATGCCACTGCACTCCACCCTGGACAACAGAGCAAGACTCTGTATTGAAAATAAATAAATAAATAAATAAATAAATAAATGGGAGAGTATAAACACATCTCCCACGCAGAAAAGTTTCAAATAAGTAGATAGACTCTTCTAAAGGGGGAAGAGCCTAACTTTCCATGCCTTAAGTGTGAGTCATGCAGGGGGACTTCCAGAGTATAGGAGGAAAAGGAGGTAGGGGAGAGTAACTTCACAGATGGGAAACTGATGAGCTCTACCTTACCCAGGTGATCAAGGTCAACAGCCATATAAATGGAGTTGATGGCACGTGCCTTTGAAATGATGTGATGAGAACAGCACTTTACCTCTTTCGTCTTCCTCCTCCAAACCCATAACCTCTGTCCACAGGAAAAACGTCAAACTAAGCCAAATTGAAGAGCATTCCTTAAAATACTTGACCTGTACTCCTCAAAGCTGTCAAAGTCATTGAAAACGAGGAAAATCTAAATAACCATCACAGTCAAGAAGAGCCTAAGGAGACATGATGACTAAATGCTATGCAGTCTCCTGGGTGAGATCCTGGAGCAGAAAGAGGACATAGGGCCGGGCGCGATGGCTCATGCCTGTAATCCCAGCACTTTGGGAGGCTGAGGTGGGTGGATAGCTGTTTGAAACCAGCCTGGACAACATCGAAAAACCCTGTCTCTACCAAAAATACCGAAAAAAAGTTAGCTGAGCATGGTGGTGCGTGCCTGTAGTCCCAGCTACTCAGGTGACTGAGGGAGGAGGATCACTTGAGCCCGGGGAGTAGGGTGAGGCTGCAGTGAGCCAAAACTGCACCACTGAGCTCCAGCCTAGGCAACAGAGAGAGACATTGTCTTCAAAAAAAAAAAAAAAAAAAAGCACCTAGGCCTGTAATCTTCACTCTTCGGGAGGCTGAAGCAGGAGGATCACTCAAACCCAGGAGTTCGAGGCCGTCCTGGGCAACATAGCAACATGCCATCTCTACAAAAAATGAAATACAAAAATTAGCTGAGCATAGTGGCATGCACTCATAGTCCCAACTACTTGCTGGGCTGAGGTGGGAGGATCTCTTGAACCAAAGAGTTTGAGACTGCAGTGAGCTGTGATTGCGCCACTGCACTCCAACCTGGGTGACAGAGTTAGACCTTATCTCTGAAAATAAAAAATAACTAAATAAATAAATGTTCCTGTCAAAAACAAAAACAAAAAAACAAGGATACAGTTTATCAGTTCTCTCTCCAAAAAAAACCAGAAATTCACCTGCCTCCTCCCTTCTTTTAATGCCTTACGTGGGTCCCTCCGTGCTGAGGGCACTGGTGGTTCTCACCATCTCACCATGCCTTTCTTTCTGGGATGTCTCCTCCAGCCCATGGATCTACAGTAACTCCTATTCAATTATAAATGACCTTTGTTCCATGAATTTCTGAGATTTGCACAGCACAAAGTATCCTCTGACTGAGTTATTTGTGACGCATCCATGGATGCCCCCTGCCCCCACGCCATCCCTATCTCATGGTCAAAGCCACCATGACCTCACTGGCCAGAAGCAGAGTGCACCACTGCCACGCACCACACACCATCGCGGATTGTTCCTCGCTGAGTACAATGGCCCGATTTCTTGAATGGATAATCATACAGATGTCCTCTTAGTGCGGTTTGATGTTTGGACGCTTCCAGTGTTTGAACCTTGCAGTGGCTGCAAATGACTTCCTCTCACATCTAAGGGGAAGGGTTGATGACGCCTAGCTTGCCAGGTTGTTGGGAGCTTACATACGTGGTAATGCCTGCAAAAGGCATGGCATAGCTCTTGCACATACAGACACGCAGTGACTATTATCTTCACCATTTTCCCACTGTCCTGAGGACAGAAGAGGTGTATGGCGTGGTGCAATGCTTTCCAAATTGTGTCCTTGGTATCACTAGCAACGGGCGTGCTCTATCTCATGTATGTTTTGGAAGTTCTGTACACCACACCTTCTCTCAGAGCTGTAAAATATAAATTAGTCCGTTATGAGGTTGGACAAGCCCTGCAGTAAAGCAAGGCTTAGGCCAGGTACGGTGGCTCATGCCTGTAATCCCAGCACTCTGGGAGGCTGAGGCGGGTAGATAACGAGGTCAGGTGTTTGAGACCAGCCTGGCCAACATGGTGAAACCCCGTATCTACTAAAAATACAAAAATTAGTTGGGTGTGGGATAGGCGCCTGTAATCCCAGCTACTGGGGAGGCTGAGGCAGGAGAATAGCTTGAACCCTGGAGGCAGAGGTTGCAGTGAGCCAAGATCATGCCATTGCACTCCATCTTGGGCGACAAGAGCAAAAGTCCGTCTCAAAAATAAATAAATAAATAAATAGGCTTAATTTTGCTCACTAAAATTCCCCCCACCCACTGGACTCATTGTGTGTGAGACATCAACCAGCGAACCAGTTAGGGACCCAAGGGACCTAGTCTCCGGGCAGAAGGTAGGAGATGGAAGTTTGAAAAGTAAACATCTAAAATGCCGATGAGGCCAGGAGTGGTGGCTCATGCCTGTAATCCCAGTCCGAGGCAGGAGAATTTCTTGAGGCCAGGAGTTTAAGACCAGCCTCGGCAACACAGTGAGATCCCATCTCTAGATAAAAATTAAAAAACTACTGGGTGTGGTGGCGTGTGCCTGTGGTCCCAGCTACTTGAGAGGGTGAGGTGAGTGAATCACTCGAGCCCGGGAGTTGGAGGCTGCATGAGCTGGGTTTTGAGCCTGGGCAAGAGTAAGACCCTGTCTCTAAAAACTAAATAAATAAAAACAAAATTAAAAAGCAGGTGAAAATGTGGGCTGCCAGCTTCTCATAGGGCATTTGGAAGACTGGCATGAAACAGAGACCTTCGTGTGGCTCCCTGCAGGACTCGAGGCTCTTCTCCCCTGCAAGCATGAAAGGTTACCAAGATAGTATTTGTAAATTCAGAAATGGGACTGTATTAATTTTATAGGACTCAGAAGCTACTGTTTTAATCATTCTTAACATTTATAAAAACCAAAACTAATATTTATCAAAAATGTAATAACAGTCAAGGTTTTCCTTCTGGTTTCACTAATTGCTTTTTTTTTTCCTGGCTATAATCTGTAAGGCACAATCCCAGTGAATGATTTATTTTGTGCCCGGAATTGGTGGGTTCTTGGTCTCACTAACTTCAAGAATGAAGCCGCAGACCCTCGCGGTCAGTGTTACAGTTCTTCAAGGCGGCCTGTCCGGGGTTTGTTCCTTCTGATGTTCGGATGTGTTGGGAGTTTCTTCCTTCCGGTGGGTTCGTGGTCTTGCTGGCTCAGGAGTGAAGCTGCAGACCTTCCCGGTGAGTGTTACAGCTCTTAAAGCGGCGCGTCTGGAGTTGTTCGTTCCTCCCGGTGGGTTCGTGGTCTCGCTGGCTTCAGGAGTGAAGCTGCAGACCTTCATGGTGAGTGTTACAGCTCATAAAGGCAGTGTGGACCCAAAGAGTGAGCAGCAGCAAGATTTATTGCAAAGAGAGAAAGAACAAAGCTTCCACAGTGTGAAAGGGGACCCGAGCGGGTTGCCACTGCTAGCTCCCGCAGCATGTTTTTATTCTCTTATCTGGCCCCACCCACATCCTGCTGATCGGTAAAGCAGAGTGGTCTGTTTTGACAGGGCGTTGATTGGTGCGTTTACAATCCCTGAGCTAGACACAAAGGTTCTCCACGTCCCCACTAGATTAGCTAGATACAGAGTATGGACACAAAGGTTCTCCAAGTCCCCACCAGAGTAGCTAGATACAGAGTGTCGATTGGTGCATTCACAAATCCTGAGCTAGACACAGGGTGCTGATTGGTGTGTTTACAAACCGTGAGCTAGATACAGAGTGCCGATTGGTGTATTTACAATCCCTTAGCTAGACATAAAGGTTCTCCACGACCCCACCAGACTCAGGAGCCCAGCTGGCTTCACCCAGTGGATCCCGCACAGGGGCTGCAGGTGGAGCTGCCTGCCAGTCCCGTGCCATGCACCTGCACTCCTCAGCCCTTGGGTGGTCGATGGGATTGGGCACCGTGGAGCAGGGGGCGGCGCTCGTAGGGGAGGCTCCTGCCGCACAGGAGCCCACGGAGGGGCGGGGAGGCTCAGGCATGGTGGGCTGCAGGTCCGGAGCCCTGCCCCGCGGGAAGGCAGCTAAGGCCTGGCGAGAAATTGAGCACAGCCGCTGCTGGCCCAGGTGCTAAGCCCCTCACTGCCCAGGGTCAGTGGGGTCGGCCAGCAGCTCCGAGTGTGGGGTCCGCAGAGCCCACACCCACCCAGAACTCGCGCTGGCCGGCAAGCACCTCACGCAGCCCCAGTTCCCGCCGGCGCCTCTCCCTCCACACCTCCTGGCAAGCTGAGGGAGCCGGCTCCGGCCTTGGCCAGCCCAGAAAGGGGCTCCCACAGTGCAGTGGCGGGCTGAAGGGCTCCTCAAGTGCCGCCAAAGTGGGAGCCCAGGCAGAGGAGGCGCCGAGAGCAAGCGAGGGCTGTGAGGACTGCCAGCACGCTGTCACCTCTCAATTTCATTTGAGGGAAGTTTTTTTTTTATTTTAGAAACCCTTAAATATCAGTTTAATGATACAAGGTAAACCTAACACTAATCTTTAAATGTCATGAGGCAAATGAAAAGAATGCTAATTCTAAGGGGAAGGGGATCAAACCCATGTATGTTTGAACTCTTATTTTCCTTATCTGAACAAAACAAGACACAAAACACAAACATAAATCTAGTTATCTCATAAAAATATTCTATAGGCTGGGCGTGGTGGCTCATGCCTGTAATCCCAGCACTTTGGGAGGCCGAGATGGGTGGATCACCTGAGGTCACGAGTTCGAGACCAGCCTGTCCAACATGGCAAAACCTTGTCTCTACTAAAAATACAAAAATTAGCCAGTTGTGATGGCGCATGCCTGTAATCCCAGTTACTTGGGAGGCTGAGGCAGGAGAATCTCTTGAACCCAGAAGGCAGAGGTTGCAGTGAGCCGAGATCATGCCATTGCACTCCAGCCTGGGCAACAGAGCCAGACTCCATCTCAAAAAAAAAATATATATATATATATATAAAGGTAATCTTTAAGCTAAGTAAAGTCTTTATCTGAAAAGTAATTTTTAATTTTTACAGCATTCAGAAGCTGTCAGCTCCTATTTAGGCTACTAGTTCAGCATTTTTTAAGGTGATCATATTTATGAGACTACTTATACCTTTCTCTGAAGTTCTGCCAGGTTATAAGGTAAGGCCCCCTCAGCCAATGGGGCTATTCTCTCAATATCTGCCAAAGTCAAGTGCCTTCAGGAAAAATATAGGAAAGAATTGTTAGACACTGACAAACTCCTCACGCCAAAATCATCTTTTCTCAAAAAAAAAAAAAAAAAAAACCCGGAACTATAGTTTGAAATCATTACTTCCCTATTTACACAGATCATTTTAGTGACAAAAAACCTTTTAACTCTGTTTTCATCAACAAAAACCAAAAGACTCCAGAGAAATAATGTAGAGTGCATGAATTTAGTAAGACTCCAGTGATAGATATTAAAATCAAATAATTATTGCCAGAAGCAAAAGTAGAGAGGTTGACTGTCCCTACCCACTAAATGTGTCCCCTAAGGATACCTATTTAAAGCACAGGTGCAAAGTATCTGGGAAGGATACATAGAAATCTGATACTGGTTGCCTCCAAGGAAAGGAACAAGGGTAGGAGGGAGACTTCTTTTTTTTTTTTTTTTTCAACGATATGTTCTTTCCAACCCTTTGAGTTTTGACCCATTTTTAGGCAGGAGAGTAGGGTCTGGAGACAGGGAGCCTTCACTTCAGCCTCTGATTGGTCATGGGCCAAGTCTTCTTTTGCGTAGGATGCAACTTCAGCCTCTGATTGGTTGCAGGCTGAGCCTTCACTTCAGCCTCCGACTGGTTGTGGGCCAAGTCTTCATTTATATAGGGTGTAACCAATAGGAAACCTCTAACGAGTACTTAAACCCCAGAAGATTTGCAGCTACGGCTCTCGAGCTGCTTGCTCAAGCCTGCTCCTGATCTGTGGAGTATACTTTGCTTCAATAAATCTATGCTTTTGTCTTCTGGAAAAACAAACAAACAAACAAACAAGAAAGGTGGGGGCTGCACTGGAGCCGAGGCAACCAGGGACTCCTGTTTTCCAGTTATGTGCGGTGAAAGATGCTTTCGCCCGTGCCCACTCTTCTGCTTCAGGAAAAAGTGGAACTGGCTTCTAAAGGCCCTTTCTGGTGAAGGCCCCTGTATGCACAATGGTTTGGGGTGACCTGAAACTTCTCCAGGAGGCTCCAGCCTAGAATGGCTTCCCTTGCTCCCTGGAGACTTTCCAACTCTTCTGGGAGGTGAGTGGCTGTCCTTCTAAGATCACTGTGCTTACCGAGATAAGATAATCCCTGGTTTATATGCTTAAGAGGAGATAACTTCAGGGTGTGTGTCTGCCCAGATCCCAAAAGCCTCTGAGAGGAAAAGCAGGCCCTTTCAAAGCAGTCACAGGGAGACTGAAGTGCAAATGTGGCCCAGCACTTGGCTGGAGGAAGGTGGAGCCCCGCGGTGTTTTATTGGCAGAGTCACAAAGAGTCCTAAGTCCTCTCTTTGGTCGATTTAAAAACCTCAGGAACAGACAAAACTCAGAGTGAAACACAGAACTGTATGTTCAAACATGTCTAGGGAAATTTTTCTCACGGGAGACAATTCATCTCATCAGCCCAGTCTTCTAGAGCTCAGATTCTTCTTTTGTATAAATATGAATGTAAAAAACCTAGAGACAGTGCATTTTAGTTATTCCCATAGTCTAGTCCATATCCATAATAATAGAGCTTTTCAGAACCTGCTTCTAGTCCAGTTGCTCCACTGAATGACTCTATGCGACAAAGATGCTCTCTGGTCTTTCTTCTTGTGACAGTGATTTGTTGTTACCAAAAAGTATCTTATTGTGAACATTTAGTTGTGTAGGCAGAAAACAGGGAGTGGTTCTTGAAGCTGTGTGACCCTTTTCTTTTTCTCTTTTTTCTTTTGAAAACTTTTACTTTAGGTTCAGGGATACATATGCAGGTTTGTTATATAGGTAAACTCATGTCATAGTAGTCTGTTTTAGAGATTATTTAATTGCCCAGGTAATAAGCCTAATATGCAGTAGTTATTTTTCCTGATCCTCTACCTCCTCCCACTCTTAACTCACAGGTAAGCAGGCTCCAGTGTCTGTCATTGCCCTCTATGTGCCCATATGTTCTCATCATTGAGCTCCCACTTACAAGTGAGAACATGTGGTATTTGGTTTTCTGTTCCTGCATTAGTTTGCTAAGGATAATGACCTCCAGCTCCATCCATGTCCCTGCAAAGGACATGATCTCATTCTTTTTTATGGCTGCATAGTATTCCATGGTGCATATGTACCACATTTTCTTTATCCAGTCGGCCATTGATGGGCATTTAGGTTGATCCCTGTCTTTGCTATTGTGAATAGTGCTGCAGTCAACATATGCATGCTTGTGTCTTTATGACAGAATGATTTATATTCCTCTGGGTATATACCCAGTATTGCTGGGTCAAAGGTAGTTCCGTTTTCAGCTCTTTGAGAAATCACCTATGTGCCCTTTTTTAAACCTGAGTTTCTCATCTGTAAGCTACTTGGTTTTGAATTTCTGGCCTCTAGAACTGTGAGGGAATAGACTTCTGTTGTTTTAAGCTACCAAGTTTGTGGTAATTAGTAACAGCAGCCCTAGGGAACTAATATATCCCTGAAGTGGTGAAGAACTGGGTTTGTTCAGAGATTTGAAGGAGACAGGAGAGCAAGGTGGAGGGTGGCCCCACATGGGGTTGGAGCATCAGAGTCTGGGTCACACCAGGTCTTAGAGCCCCCAGGAAGAAGTCTGGATTGTTCTAAGGACAACAGGAAGCCACTGAGAAGCTTAAAGCGACCCACTTTTTGAAAGGAGACCAGGGCTGTGTGGAGAGTGAATGAAAGCAGGGAGGCCATGCAGAGGAGTGAGTGAGAGACAACAGCAGCCTGGACGAGGAGGGGAAGTGGAGGCAGAGGGCAGCAGAGCCAATCAGGGAATATTTGGTAGATAAAGTTGACAGGACTGATGACAAATTGGATATGGGGGAAAAAAACAAGAAGAAAGGAAAAAGAAACACCCAAGGATGATGTGTACGTGTATGGTCTGGGCCACAGGAGTGACAAAGAGAGAGAACAGGTTTGGAATACAGTCTGAGAATCCAGGCTTCCTTCTTGAACATGTTAAGTTGTTCAGTTGAGATGGCTGTAGATTATCCAAAGAGAAATGTTAGGTGAGTATCAGAATGTACAAAACTGTAACTTGGGAAAGACATCTAGGCTAGAGATGTAATGAAGACATCATTATAGAGATTATGTAAGGCTTGGATTCCCCAAGGGAGAGACAGAGAAGATAGCTCAGAACCAAACCTTGAGAAATACCCACACTTAGAGATTAGAAAGAGGAAGATGACTCAATAAAGATAATAAAAGGGACCAAGGTGGCCAGAGAGATGAAGGGAAAGTGAATTAGTCTGTTTTCACAATGCTACAAAGACATACCTGAGACTGGGTAATTTTTAAAGAAAAGAGGTTAAATTGACTCACAATTCCTCATTGCTGGGGAGGCCTCAGGAAACTTACAATTGTGGTGGAAGGGGAAAAGGCACGTCTTACATGGCAGGAGGCAAAAGAGAGTGAGTGAAGTAAGCAAAGGGGAGGAGCCCCTTATAAAACCATCAGATCTGGAGAGAACTCCCTCACTATCACGGGAACAGCAAGGGGGAATCCACCCCCATGACCCAATCACCTTCCACCATGTCCCTCCCTCAATACCTGGGGATTACAATTCAAGATGAGATTTGGGTGGGGGCACAAAGACAAACCATATCAGAAAGCTAGAACAATATGCTGTCCCAGGGGCCAAGAAAGGGTTTTAAAAAACAAATGATGTGCTCATTGCTGACAAATGCTATTGAGAAATTAAAAAAAAAAATAGCATGAGGCTGCAGAACGTTTTTTTAAAAAATATTTTTGGAGAGAGAGTCTCACTGTATTGTGTAGGCTGGTCTTGAACTCCTGGACTCAAGTGATGCTCCTGCCTCACCTGCCTCAGCTTCCCAAGTATTGGCATTACGGGTGTGAGCCACTGCACCTGGCTTTAAAAGTGTCTTTTTGATTCAGCAATGTAGAAATCACTGGGACCTTGCCCAACACAATATCAGGAGCGATGATAAGGTTGGACTTCAGCTTGGGGTAAGTAGAAGAGTGGATGACTCTAAATCAACTCCATATGGAATGAAAGTGAAGACATTAGAACAAATCTATTAAAATATTGTAAGAAAATATAGAATAATATTTTTTACAATCTTGGGGTAGGAAGGACTAGCAAAATAAAATAAAGCACCAAATCAAAACACATAAACATTAATAAATGTGACTACATATAAACAATTAAAAGCTGTATGTCAGAAAAATCATAAACAAGTTTTAGAAAAAGTATGAGTTACAGATTTCGAATATGACATATTTGCAATCTATACAATAGGAAAAGGATTACTATTCAGGATTTACAAAATGATGTCTATGAATCAACTTAAAAAAGGATAAATAACCCTATAGAAAAATGGGCAAAAGATATAAAAAGGCATTTCACAGAAGAGGAAAACCAAATGGCCAAGAAATATAAGAAAGAAGCTCAACTTCATTAGTAATTAGAGATATGTTCATATCAAGCGCTGGTAAGAGGTGGAGGACTGGACATTCCCAAACATGGTTGGTCATGCTTGGTCATGGTACATTCCTGTACCAGTAGTGTAAATTGGTACAGCCATGAAGGGCAACTGGAAATGTTCATTAACAATATCCACTTTGTATACTCTGCCCTTGAGGAATCCATGCATGTAGGCTGGATGTGGTGGCTCATGCCTGTAATCCCAGCAATTTGGGTGGTGAAGGGAGAGGATAGCTTGAGGCCAGGAGTTTGAGACCAGCCTGGGTGACATAGCAAGATCTCACTGCTACAAAAAATTTAAAAATTAGCCAGGCATGGTGACATGGGCCTGTGGTTCCAGTTACATAGGAGGCTGAGAAGGTAAGATCACTAGAGCCCAGGAGATTGAGACTGTAGTGAGCTATGATCACAGCACTGTACTCCAGCCTAGGAGAGACAGCAAGACCCTATCTCTTAAAAAAAAAAAAAAAAAAAAAAAAAAGAAATGCATGCATGTATCAGGTGGTTCATTGCTGCATTGGTAGCAGAGAAATATTGCAATCAAGGGATCAGTGGCCTTACATTCCTTTCTGGAGCTCCGGGTCCTCTTCCAAGCTCACATAACATTGAGGGTTTTTTGGTTTTGATTTTTTTTTTTTTTTTTTGAGATGAAGTCTCACTCTGTCACCAAGGTTGGAGTGCAGTGGCATAATTCCGGTTCACTTCAACATCTGCCTCCCGGGTTCAAGCTATTCTCCTGCATCAGCCTCCCAAGTAGCTGGGATTATAGATGCCTGCCACCACGCCCAGCTAATTTTTGTATTTTTAGTAGAGACGAGGTTTCACCATATTGGCCAGGCTGGTCTTGAACTTCTGACCTCAGGTGATCTGCCCACTTCGGCCTCCCAAAGTGCTGGGATTACAGGCTTGAGCCACAATGCCTGGCCTCAATTCTTTGAGATTGTAGGACTGAGGTCTCCATTTTCTCACTGGCTGTCAGCTGGGGGCCACTCTGAGCTTCCAGAAGCCACCCATAGATCCCTGCCACATGGTCCCCTCCCCACACAACAGTTCCCTCCTTCAAGGCTAGCAGGATAATCCCTCACTGCAGTCTGCTAAGATGGTCTGTGTCATATAATACATTCAAAGAAGTTACCATCCCATCAGCAAGAGGGAATAATATCTAAGAAATCATTAATAAAGTCATGGAAGTTATTCTGGCCTTGTGTGAAGTAGATAAGCCTTTGATAATTTCTGCCCATAAATTTAGTTTATTTTATTGGAAATTAGAAACTGCTTAATTATGTGGCCTCATTATAGTGTGTGTTCTTTGACTTCTAAAAAAAAATTGACTTACCAATCAAAAACTTTACTTTTTGACCAGCCCAAAAAGGTAACCAAAATGAACTCAACTAAGTAATAAAAATAAAAACAATTCCTTCAACGCCAGGCTTCCCGCAGCTCTCTGCCCTGCTGCTACTTGTACTAAACATTTCCATAGCTTCCTCTTTCCTGGAGAACGCTGGGATGTGCTGTCAAAAGCAAGTTGTGTGCAGGGGTTTGCAACCTGGGTTTTGTTTTTCTTCTTTGTCATTGTGGATAAGCTCATTGATGATATGGTCCTTGATTAGGACTGAATAGGACCAGCGGTGGGGATATATATAGGTATATAGGACCCAGGATTTCCTGCAGAGCTTGTCATCTTTGGATCACTCACTGTGGAAAATAAAAGAATTCCTCGCCCAGTAGTTCCCTGTGGCTACAGTACCACAAAGCTGTGTTCTTTGGACAGGTTTGGCTGCCCCAGCAGTCCATGAGCGATTTCCTCTTTGTCACTGAGCCACCATCATGAACAAATTGTTTTGTCAGTTGGCCCGGACCTCCAAAGACTCAAGGGTCACGTTAGCAGGAAACTCCAGCTGTGAGTGTGACTGTGAGGTGGCCATGCCTTAAAGAAACTTTCATTTTTGTTTTGAGTTGTCATCATCTTTTCTTGGGTTCAACAACTTTGGATGAAACTGCATCTATTGTTGTTTCTACACCTGGAATTAAGCTGTCCCACTGAGGATAGTCATGGCAACTCCAGGGAAAGACCATGGAAAATAATCAGAAAATCCTTCTGAGAGCCAGAGAAAGAACTCTGCTTTGCATGAAGATGCTCAAAGTGTATCGGAGCCTGTGTCAGCCTTGCATGTGTACCAGGAGTAATCAGACTCCACCACGGGCCCAGTTCTCTTCACCTCTTTCAGCTATAGTTCATCTACTATTCATTTCTTTAGACTTGGGCCAGCCCATCCCCTATCCAGTACTTGCCCTGGGAGGAAGTATATAGAAGGTCTTCAACCCAGATGTGCTGATCATTGTACTCAGATAATTAGTGCTGCCTGGGACTTGATTTGTTTAACTCTTTGAATTCCCCACGTGTTCTTGGCTAATGCTAACTGATTTGATTTGGATTTGTGTCCCCACCCAAATCCCATGTCACACTGTAATCCCCAATGTTGGAGGTGGGGCCTGGTGGGAGGTGACTGTGTCATGGGAGAGTGGAACCTTCATGAGCAGTTTAGCACCATCTCATTGGTGCTGTTCTTATGATAGAGTTCTCATGAGATCTGGTCATTTTAAAGTGTGTGGCACCTCCCCACTCCCTCTCTTCCTCCTGCTCCAGTCATGTAAGACGTGCCTGCTTCCCCTTTGTCTTCTGCCATGACTGAAAGTTTCCTAAGGCCTTCCCAGAAGTTGAGCAGATGCCAGCACCATGCTTCCTGTACAGCCTGTGGACCTGTGGGCCAATTAAATCTCTCTCTCTCCTTTTTTTAAAATAAATTACCCAGCCACAGGTATTTGTTTATAGCAGTGTGAGAAGACACTAATACAGTTTAGTACTTGATCTTGGTTCAGCCACCAATGCTCTGTCTTGTCAATCATGGTTGTCATACTCTTTCTAACCCTAAATGTAAATGTTCCCTTTTAGAGTCCAGACAGTGGCCCTCCCCCAATCCCAGTCCCACTGATACCCAAAGCCCACCTGCCCACGGACGGCAGCTTTTTAAATCAAGGCACCCTGACCCTGTCTGGGCTTCACTCCACCTTCCCTCAGGATAAGACTCAAGCTCCAGGAGAGTGTGGGGCAATGGACAAGGTCAGACTCCAGAGCAAGATAAGCGATGGGATGGGGGTGGAGATGATGACGGTGTCTGTTGCTTTCATTTCCTGGTAGCATACAAATCACTCCAACATTTAATGCTGTGATTAAAGCTATGAAAAATTGTCAAATGAGGTCAAAATGAACTCATCAAAATGACTGGGTCAAAATGGCACTGATATAGGGGTTAAAAAGAAATCACTTAGGCAGATAGGGTATGGGAGTCCTCAGTGAGGCTTTTGTTTTTAATGAAAAGCAGCCCCAAATCATTTTCTAACGAAGAGCAGCCCGTAAAGTTGAGCTGCAGACACAGACAAGCAAGTTGGGAGCTTGCATGGGGGAATGCTGGCAGGAACTAGGGACTGGACATGTTCAAGATGGCGGCTCCATCTTCCCTTTTCAGCCAGCCACGTGTACAGTAAGGAGCAGACAAGAGGGCGCCAACCAAGGGAAGAGTTCACTTGCATAGTAAGATTAGGGTGGGATGACCAGCCTTCCCGCCCCCGCCCCCGCTATGTAAATGTCAAACCTGATCCAACCGATCTGTGAGCCCTATGCAAATCAGACACTGTCTCCTCAAGCCAGACTGTAAAATTGGGTTCATCCGCTACCAGATGGTCTTTTCCGTTCGGAAGACCCCTCTCTCTATAGAGAGAGCTCTTCTTCTTTCTCTTTTCTTCTGTCCGTTAAACCTCCACTCCTAAACTCCTCGTGTGTCCCTGTCCTAAATTTTCCTGGCATGAGAGGATGAATCCAGGGTATATACCCCAGACAACATAGCCACTTCAGCACAATATACATACACACGCCAACTGCTCAGTCCTGGGTGACAACAGCTGTTACAAGGCCACATTAATAACTCCTCATTTAGCTGTGTTTCTAAGTTTAAAGAGCACCTTCATATCTCATTTTTAAATTAATTCTAAAATTATATATTTTTAGATGTTTCAATGCTTCTGAAATTTATAGATGTCTTACATTCAGTGTTTTATAGTCACTGTTGGCTAGACATCAGCAATTATGTAGCTGTCATTGCCTAAGCTTAAAAAAAAACAACAAAAAAAACCATCATCAAAGTCTGAAGGGCAGGTGGCAGTCACCTGGAAAGGTCATGGAACAATCAGGGAGCACTCTTATCATCCGTAGGGACTGTTATTTGGTGAGGGAGAAAAGAAGCAAAAAGTGAATCAGATGAGTATAGCAATTCCTAAAGTAGAAGTCAAAGAAGTCAAACTCTTCAATAATTACAGGGCCATCTTAAGAACTTAGCACCATTGGCTTTAGCTCTTTCATGGGTTCTTTCAAGAAATGCTGTATCGGCCGGGCACGGTCACGCCTGTAATCCCAGCACTTTGGGAGGCAGAGGCAGGCGGATCATGAGGTCAGGAGATGGAGACCATCCTGGCGAACACGGTGAAACCCCAGCTCTACTAAAAATACAAAAAATTAGCCTAGTGTGATGGCGGGCACCTGTAGTCCCAGCTACTTGGGAGGTTGAGGCGGGAGAATGGCGTGAACCCAGGAGGCAGAGCTTGCAGTGAGCCGAGATCACGCCACTGCACGACAGCCTGAGCGACAGAGCAAGACTCCGTCTCAAAAAAAAAAAAAAAAAAAAAAAAGAAAGAAATGCTGTATCATTAAAACTCTTCATGGCACAGAGGACAGCTTATGTAGAAAAACACAGCTATTGGCGACTCTGTATCAAAAAAGCGATTCAGATTAAGATGGCAGATAGGAGGCAGGACTAGCTTGCAGCTCCCGCTCGGATGGACAGAGCAGCATGTGGAGACTCACATCGTGAACTTTTGCTCCAAGAACTACCACTGGAACATACCAGGAAAGCCAAGAGAATCCAAATACCATTTGAAGGAACTGGATCACCAGTGAAGTCTCCCTGAGACGCCAAAAAACTGTGAGTCTGCTTGCTTTCTCAATGGGGAGGCTCATGGTCTGGGGAAAGTTCTCAGCCCTGGTCACTGGCTGCCTGGAAATAGACTCGGTGCTGTTGCCGGGCGGGGCACAGTAGAAGTGAGACTGACTTTTAGGACTGTTGGCTGTATGGGAGCAGGGTGAGGCCTGTGACTGCTGGCTTTCCCCCGCTTAGCTGGCCACTTGTATGACTCAGCAGAGGCAGCTGTTATCCCCCTGGCAACATAACTCCATTAGACTGGGAACCACACTCCTATCGCCCACAACAGCCACAGCAAGCCACGCTCAAGGAGAGACTGAACTCAGACCTGCCTATCCCTGCCACCACCTGGTGGCCTTTCTCTACCCACCCTGGTAGCCAAAGACAAAGATCATAATCTCTTGGGAGCTCTGTGGTCCTGCCCACCTCCTGAGAAACCTGAATACTTAGCAAGGTGTCCTTAGGGCAAGTTTGCATTCCCCCCATAGGACTGCAGCTGATGTGCTTTTGAAAGCAACACCTCCTGGCTGGAGGGCAACCAACACAAAACCAGCACACTAAACAAAAACATAACAAAGGACGCTCAGAGTCTACTTCACTCCCCTGCTACCTCTACTGGAGCAGGTGCTGGGATCCATAGCTGCAAGACCTGAAGACAGGACTTTTTGCAGACACTCCCCCGTACAAGCCCAGAGCCCTGTAGCTCCACTGGGTGGCTAGACCTAGAAGGGCAAAATCAATCACTAGGGTTCAGCTCTCAGGAAACCCCATTCCTAGGGGAAGGGGGAGAAAACCACATCAAGGGAGCACCTCATGGGACAAAAGAATCTGAACAGCAACCTTTGAATCCCGGATCTTCCCTCTGACTTAGTCTACCCAAATGAGAAGGAACCAGAAAAACAATTCTGGTAAAATGATTAAAAAAAAAAAAGGTTATTTAACGCCCCCAAAAGATCATACCAGCTCACCAGCAATGGATCCAAACCAAGACAAAAATCTCTGAATTGCCAGAAAAGAATTCAGAAGGTCAATGATTAAGCTAATCAAGGAGGCATCAGAGAATGGTGAAGTCCAACTTAAATCAAAAACATGATACAAGATATGAAAGGAAAATTCTTCAGTGAAATAAATAGCATAAATAAAAAACAATCACAACTTCTTGAAATCAAGGATGCACTTAGAGAAATGAAAAAGGCATTGGAAAGTCTCAGCAATAGAACTGAACAAGAAAGATTCTTGAAATTCTTTCCTTCTTCTTGACTTTGGATAACCTGATGACTACGTGCAACTCTGAAGAAAGAACTTAAGAGCTCAAAGACAAGGCTTTTGAATTAACCCAATCCATAACAGACAAAGAAAAAATAATTTAAAAATGAACTAAAGCCTCCAAGAAGTTTGGGACTATGTCAAATGTCCAAACCTAAAAATAATTGGTGTTCCAAGGAAGAAGAGGAATCTAAAAGTTTGGAAAACATATTTGAGGGAATAATGGAGGAAAATTTCCTCAGCCTTGCTAGAGATCTAGACATCTAAATATAAGAAGATTAAAGAACACCTGGGGAATTCATTGCAAAAAGATCATTGCCTAGGCACGTAGCCATCATGTTATCTAAAGTCAAAATGAAGGAAATAATCTTAAGAGCTGTAAGGCAAAAACATCAAGTAGCCTATAAAGGAAAACCTGTCAAATTAACAGGAGATTTCTCAGAAGAAACCCTACAGACTAAAACAGATTGGGGTCTTATTTTTAGCCTCCTTAAACAAAACAATTATCAGCCAAGAAGTTTGTATCCAGCTCAACTAAGCTTCATAAATGAAGGAAAAATACAATCTTTTCCAGACAGACAATTGCTGAGAAATTTGCCACCATCAAGCCAGCACTATAAGAACTGCTAAAAGGAGCTCTAAATCTTGAAACAAATCCTCAAAATACACCAAAATAGAACCTCTTTAAAGCATTAATCTCACATGACTTATATAACAATAACAAAATTTAAAAAATAAGGTATTAAGGCAACAAATAACCCAATGAATATAATAGTACCTCATATCTCAATACTAACATTAAATGTAAATGGCCTAAATGCCCCACTTAAAAGATACCAAATGACAGAATGGATAAGAATTCAGCAACCAAGTTTTTCCTGTCTTCAGGAGACTCACCTAACACACAAGTACTCACATAAACTTAAGGTAGGGGGGTGGAAAAAGATATTCCATGCAAATGGACACTGAAAGTGAGCAGGAGTAGTTATTCTCATATGAGACAAAACAAACTTTAAAGCAACAGCAGTTAAAAAAGACAAAGAGACATTACATAATGATAAAAGGATGAGTCCAACAGGAAAATGTCACAATTCTAAATATATATGCATTTAACACTGGAGCTCCCAAATTCGTTAAACAGTAACTACTAGACCTAAGAAATGAGATAGATGGCAACACAATAATAGTGGGGGACTTTAATACTCCACTGATAGCACTAGACAGGTCATCAAGACAGAAAGTCAACAAAGAAACAATGAACTTAAACTATTCCCTACAAGAAATGGACTTAACAGATATTTATAGAACATCCTACCCAATAACTGCAGAATATACCTTCTATTCATCAGCACATGGAACATTCTCCAAGGTAGACCATATGACAGGCCACAAAACAAGTCTCAGTCAATTTAAGAAAATCTAAATTATGTCGAGTACTCTCTCAGACCATAGTGGAAAAAAGTTGGAAATCAACTCCAAAAGGAACCCTAAAATCTTGCAAATACATGAAAATTAAATAACCTTCTCCTGAATGATATTGGATCAACAATGAAATCAAGATGGAAATTTGAAAATTATTTGAACTGAACAATAATAGGAACACAATCTATCAAAACCTCTGTGATACAGCAAAAGTGATGCTAAGAGGAAAGTTCATAGCATTAAATGCCTACATCAAAAAGTCTGAAAGACCACAAATAGACAATCTAAGGTCACACGCCACAGAACTTGGGAAAGAAGAACAATCCAAAATCAAACCCAGCAGAATAAAAGAAATAACAAAGATCAGAGCAGAACTAAATGAAACTGAAACAAAAAAACAAACAAACAAACAAATACAAAAGATAAGTGGAACAAAAAGCTAGTTCTTTGAAAAGATAAACAAAATTGATAGACCATTAGCAAGATTAACCAAGAAAAGAAGAGAAAATATTCAAACAAGCTCAATTCGAAGAAAAATGGGAGATATTGCAACTCATACTACAGAAATACAAAAGATTTTTCAAGGCCTCTATGAGCACCTTTACGTGCATGAACTAGAAAACCTAGAGGAGATGGATAAATTCTTGGAAATATACAATCCTCCTAGATTAAACCAGGAAGATATAAAATCTCTGAACATACCAGTAACAAGCAGCGAGACTGAAATGGTAATTAAAAAATTGCCAACAAAAAAAGTTCAGGACCAGACAGATTCACAGCTGAATTTTATTAGACATTCAAAGAAGCATTGGTACCAATCCTATTCACACTATTCCACAAGGTAAAAAGGGAATCCTCCCTAAATCGTTATATGAAGCCACTATCACCCTAATACCCAAACCAGCAAAGGACATAACAAAGAAAACCACAGACCAATATCCCTGATGAACATAGATACAAAAATCCTCAACAAAATACTAGCAAACTGAATCCAACAGCATATCAAAAAGATAATCTACCATGATCAAATGGGTTTCATGCCAGGGATGCAGGTATGACCTACATACGTAGGTCAATAAATGTAATATACCACGTAAATGGAATTAAAAACAAAAATCACATGATCATCTCAATAGACACAGAAAAAGCATTTGACAAAATTCAGCATCCCTTTGATTAAAACCCTCAGCAAAATCAGCATACCAGGGACATACCTTAAGGTAATAAAAGCCGTCTACAACAAACCCACAGCCAACATTATACTGAATGGGAAAAAGGTGAAAGCATTCTCGCTGAGAACTGGAACAAGACAAGGATGCCCACTTTCACCACCTCTATTCAACATAGTATTGGAAGTCCTAGACAGAGCAGTCAGACAAGAGAAAGAAATCAAGGGCATCCAAATCAGTAAAGAGGAAGTCAAACTGTCACTGTTTGTTGATGATATGATCGTATACCTAGAAAACCCTAAAGACTCATCCAGAAAGATCCTATAACTGGTAAATGAATTCAGCAAAGTTTCAGGATACAAAATTAATGTACACAAATCAGTAGCTCTGCTATAGACCAACAGCAACTAAGCTGAGAATCAAATTAAGAATTCAACCCTTTTCCTAATAGCTGAAAAAAAAAAAAAAAACTTAGAAATATACCTAACCCCAAGGACCTGAAAGACCTCTACAAGGAAAACTACAAAATACTGCTGAAAGAAATCATAGATGGTACAAACAAATGGAAACATATCCCATGCTCATGGATGGGTAGAATCAATATTGTGAAAATGACCATACTGCCAAAAGCAATCTACAAATTCGATGCAATTCCCATCAAAATACCATCAGCATTCTTCACAGAACTAGAAGAAACAACCCTAAAATTCATATAGAACCAAAAAAAAAAAAAAAAAAAAAAAAAAAAGAGCCTGCATAGCCAAAGCAAGACTAAGCAAAAAGAACAAATCTGGAAGCATCTCATTACCTGACTTCAAAGTGTACTATAAGGCTATAGTCACCAAAACAGCATGGTACTGTTTTAAAAATAGGCACATAGACTGCTGGAACAGAATAGAGAACCCAGAAATAAAGCCAAATATTCATAGCCAACTGGTCATCAACAAAACAAACAAAAACATAAAGTAAAGAAAGGACATCCTATTCAACAAATGGTGCTGGGATAATTGGTAAGCCACATGTAGAAGAATGAAACCGGATCCTCACCTGTCATACAAAAATCAACTCAAGAGGGATCAAAGACTTAAATCTAAGACATGAAACCATAAAGATTCTAGAAGATAATGTCAGAAAAACCCTTCTAAACATTGGCTTAGGCAAGACTTTATGACCAAGAACCCAAAAGCAAATGCAACAAAAACAAAGATAAATAGATGGGACTTAATTAAACTACAAAGCTTCTGCACAGCAAAGAAATAATCAGCAGAGTAAATAGACAACCCACAGAGTGGGAGAAAATCTTTACAATGTATACATCTGACAAAGGACTAATATCCAGAATCTACAACAAACTCAAACAAATTAGCAAGAAAAAAAAGACAATCCCATCAAAAAGTGGGCTAAGGACATGAATTGACAATTCTCAAAAAAAAAGATGTACAAATGGCCAATGAGCATATGGAAATATGCTCAACATCACTAATTATCAGAGAAATGCAAATCAAAACCACAATGCGATACCACCTTACTCCAGCAAGAACAGCCCTAATCAAAAAATCAAAAAGAAAGTAAATGTTGGCGTGAATGCCGTGAAAAGGGAACACTTTTACACTGTTATCGGGAATGTAAGCTAGTACAACCACTATGGAAAGCAGCGTGGAGATTCCCTAAAGAACTAAAAGTAGATCTACCATTTGATCCAGTAATCCCACTATTAGTTATCTACCAAGAGGAAAAGAAGTTATTATATGAAAAAGATACTTGCACACGCATGTTTACAGCAGCAAAATTTGCAACTGCAAAAATATGGAACCAGCCCAAATGCCCATCAATCAGAGTGAATAAAGAAACTGTTCTATGTATCTACCATGGAATACTACTCAGCCATAGAAAGGAGTGAAATAATGGGATTCACAGCAACCTGGATGGAATTGGAGGCTATCCTAAGTGAAGTAACTCAGGAATGGAAAACCAAACATCGTATGCTCTCATTCATATGTGGCAGCTAAGTTATGAGGACGCAAAGGCATAAGAATGATACATTGGACTTTGGGGACTTAGGGGAAAGGGTGGGAGGGGTTGAGGAATAAAAGACTATACACTGGGTACAGTGTACACTGCTTGGGGGATGGGTGCTCCAAAATCTCAGAAATCACCACTAAAGAACTTATTCAAATAACCAACCACCACCTGTTCCCCAAAAACCTATTGAAATTTAAAAAAAAATTTTTTAAGTGATTCAGCAGAGTCACGGTGTGAATCCAAAGTTGTCTGCAATTTTTCTTATGTTTCCCTTTTAGTATGTGCGTAAAAGCAATCTATTATAAAACCTATGTCGAAATAAGACCAAAACATCTTTTTCAATATGCATAAGAGAAAATTCCTGCATAATACAAAAATATTGTCTCATAGCTTGGCAGTGTTTTTTCTTTCTTACTAATGGTGCATCTCATAGACATTGGCTCTCAGATCGTGTGTCCTTTGGTCATTGAGAAGTGGAAGACACTTTGCCCTCTAGTGTGGCTCACTTGTTCTCCTTTTGATGTGACATGGATTCTACTTGGAACAGATGGATCCATTTTTTCTGTTCTGATAGATTTATCTGTGACTGCAGAACATCCCTTACTTCTCTGGGACATTCACAGTGGCCACCGACATTAAGATCTAGGTTAATAAATGCTTGTAAAATCATCATGACTTGTAAGAAGCCAAGCTTGAAGATGGGATAGAAAGAAAACTGCCAAAGTACAACACAACTGCCAATGCTGCCAGTTGAATGGCGAACAGGAGGGATGCCAAGCAATTCACTGCTCGGCCAGCAGCCTTGAGTAGGAAAAGTGTGGACAAGGAAAAGTTGCAATCCAAGCTCATGGAAATCAAGCTTAGTGGGACCACAATTACCCTTCATGGGTTGTATATGGGTGCTCGCAAAAGTTCTTATGCCACATTGCACATGCCAGGATTTGATTGCAACTACATATTCAATGACTACCTTCCTTTTGGGGAAAGACACGTATGTTATTGCTGTGGGTGACAGTATATCCATTTTCCTTCCCAATAGCTACCTAATTTCCTTACTGGGAATTACATTTCTGTTGAGCATTGTCTTGGCCCAAAGGCATCCTGGTTCCTGCCTCCCACTGCCTCTTCCCTCTCCATCTGCCTCAAGCTCTGGTCAGGTTGAGTGGCTCGGTGACCCAAGCTTGGCCACTCAGTTTCTTGCTCTTGGGAACTTTGGATTTGGTGCATGTGAAACAGGGAAGGAGAGGAATTTCAGAGGTTAGACTCCTCACAGTAGTGCCAGGCATCGTCACAATGCTTATTGCAAAGCTGTTGCTCTGTTTCACTTAGCATGACCCTCCTCTGCAGGTCTCCCATGGTTTTTGCTGTGCCAAACCTGTTCTTTCAGCTTCCCAGCAATTCTGAGAGCCCCAGATGATGTCCCCTTAAATCTCTTATTGCTTCAAGTCAGAGCCAGTTTTTGTTACTTGCTACCAAGAACCCTGGTTGATTCAATTGCATTTCATATGGAATTGGTTTTCTTAGTCTGCTAGGGCTAAAATCCCATAGACTGCATGGCTTAAACAACAGAAATATATTTTCTCACAATTCTGGAGACTGGGAAGTCCAAGATCAGGCTCCAGCAGTGTTTCGTTTCTGGTGAGGGCTGTTTCTGACTGACAGACAGCAGCCATCTCACTGTGTGCTCACAGGGCCTCTTCGTGCATGTACAGAGGGAGTGTGTGTGTGTGTGTGTGTGTGTGTGTGTGTGTGAGAGAGAGAGAGAGAGAGATAGAGACAGAGCACCCTGGTGTCTCTTCTAAAAAGGACACTAATGTTGTTGGATTAAGGCCCCACCCTTATGACTACATTTAACCTTAATTACTTCTTCATAGGCTGCATATCCAAATACAGTCACACTGAGGATCAAGGCTTCGGTGTATGAATTTTGGAGAGACACAGTCAGTGTGTTAATAACAGTGGTACCACAAAGGAAAATAGAGGCTGCAGAATTTTCCCCAGAGTGTCCTCTTTTGTGCCATTAGAGAGAAGAGATGAAGGAATGAAATCTTTCTCTGGAGATCTTTAAGAACACAATGATGTTACTTTTGACATAGGGTGGTCCTGACAAAAGGCAGAGTGGCATAATAGATGTGACTGTTGCAAACTTCTCCTCCTCAGGACTTGGTGAACTGTTTGCTGCGAAAGTTCAAGAGGATAATATAGGCTAAGAACACAGAACTCCCCTCCAACCGTCCTCCTTCCTACTCTGTCTCTTTGAGCCACCAAAGGGGAGACATCCAGATTACTTTCATATCTTATTCATTTGTTTGTTTGTTTACTTTAGAGACAGGGTCTCACTATATGGCCTAGGCTGGCCTGGAACTCCTGGGCTCAAGTGATCCTCTCATCGTGGCCTCCTGAGTAGCTGGAGCTACTCATGTGCACCACAGAATCTGGCTTTAATATTTTAATGTTAAATTTTCTTTCATGGCTCCATACTTATTTTAGGCTTGTCAAATCAATATCCCCCCAACAAACCCTGTTAATACATATCAATATTTTTATCTTGGAAACAATTTTGCTAACAGGCAGACATGCCACCTGGAAGAAGGTGATGAGGTATGTATGTGCATTTATTTGGCATTCAAAATGAGTGCTTCCATTGATAAAATTATCTCAGACATTTCTTTACATATTTATTTATTTAGAGACAGGGTCTTGCTCTGTTGCCTAGGCTGGAGTGCAGTGGTGCAATCATGGCTCACTGCAGCCTTGAACTCCTAGTCTCAAGTGATCTCCCACCTCAGCCTCTTGAGTAGTTGGGATCACAGGTGTACACCACTGTGCCTGTCTAATTTTTTAATTTTTTTTAATAGAGACAAGGTCTCACTATGTTGCCCAGGCTGGTCATGAACTCCTGAGCTCAAGTAATCCTCCTGTCTCAGCCTCTCAAAGTCCTGGGATTACAAGCATAAGCCACTGAGTCTGGCTCATTACCCAATTAATAGAAACAGACAAAATTGAAGTGGCAAGCAATGTCACATTTTAGGAGAAATATATGCTAGTCTCTGAAGGTGAGTCTTTCTTGGTGCTCTTGGTTGCCTCTACTAATAACATTCACCAATGCAGGAAGACTCAGAATTGCCCATATGTGCAGGTGGTTTTGGAGGCTTTCCGTGGTACTGCCCTGGCTATTCTCTGTGGTGCAGTGGGGTAGGGATGGGGTACATTTGTTCTGGTTTCCTGAGCCCTGATCCACTGGATTCTCTAAGTAGGCACTATGCTTCCTGTGAGAATTAGACTTCTGAGTCCTCAGTGGAAGAACCCATAATATGAATTACACTGCAAGTAGAGGTAATAAATTTAACTGTCTGAATATATTTTTCATGCAGCTGGCTAGGCTTAGCAGTTCTAGTTAGGATGCTGAATTAGCCCTCGAAGCACCCAGCAGGTGTTCATGTGGTGTCAGCAGTGGGAGTCCAACATACCAGTCTTTAAGTTCCTCCTACTTTTCCTGGGTGTTATAAGAAATGGCTGTCGGGGGATCTGTCTAGTAAATCTTGGTCTAAAATTCGGCAGGAAAAAGGAAGGCAAAGGGGCAGTGCTCACATACCCAGTCATGAAAGTTTCTATCAGCTTTGCACAAGCTAATGTGAGATTAAATGTAAATACTTTCAAAAAGAGATGAAACTATAAAAGAAATGAACTTAATGGTAAGCATCATGGGTTAAGAGAAAAGCTAAGGTATTCAGTCTCTGGGCAGCACCTCTGAGTTCCACACTTAAGGATTTCTTCTGAAATAAAACTTGATACCCGAAGCCTTATTTGCTCACATTTCATTTGGGAAAGGGTTGGCAGCAAGATATAAAAATGAGGTCCTGTCTCCTGTGAAGTAGGAGAGATGGCTGGGAGCTGAAGAACCCATTGGGAAACGAAGAAGATACCTTGCAATAGTACATGGGAAGGTGACAGACAAAACCTCTTGCCCCTTTTCATCTAGAGTAGTGGTTCTCTAACTTGAGTCGGCATCAGAGTTAACTGGGGCCTTGTTAAAACAATCTGGCCAGGCGTGGTGGCTCACGCCTGTAATCCCAACACTTTGGGAGGCTGAGGTGGGCAGATCACTTGAGATCAGGAATTCAAGACCAACCTGGCCAACATGGTGAAACCCTGTCTCTACTAAAAATACAAAAAAAGTAGCCAGGTGTGGTGGCAGGCAGCTGTAATCCCAGCTACTCGGGAGGCTGAGGCAAGAGAATCTCTTGAACCTCGGAGGCAGAGGTTGCAGTGAGCTGAGATCGCACCGCTACACTCCAGCCTAGGCAACAGAGTGAGACTCTGTCTCAAAAAAAAAAAAAACAAAACCCACAATCTGCTGTCCCCCCACTATGAGTTTCTGATCCAGTAGGTCTAGGGTGGAGCGATAGCATTTGCATTTCTAGCAAGTTCCCAGGTAAGGCTGAGGCTGCTGGTTTAATAAACACACTGTGAGAACTGTCAATCCAGAATACTCTATTGGTAAATGCAGTGTGTGAGGTAGAATTCAGAGCCTCATGCCACCTCCCAGGTGCTAACACCGCTGGCTCTCTTAGTGCCTGATTTGCAAACCTATTTAGCTCGTTGCTTGGGTCCAACTTTTATAGACTCTGTTTAAAATATCTGCAGGTAAATCTTGAAAGAAAGGAAGTCAAGTATCTATCTTGACTCTCTAGAATTTATTCCCTGCTTCCATCAGACAATATTTCTGCATATAGGAGATATTAGTGGAAGCTTTCTCTTGGAGACTAAAGAATAAACACATCAGGAGAAAGTCCAGGCATGGATGTCCTTGGCATTAAACATAAAAATTAGGAAATTTGGCTCCAAGAACAGATAGTACAGAACAGCTCCTGTAATTCAGAGCAGTCTTGATAGTGTCAAGGTCCCAGCAGTGTCCATGATTTGAGCCTCAAATCTCTTTTCTTTGGCAGGCTCCTCCAGGCTGCCCCAGCAAGCTGCTAGTGCCATTGTGGCGATGTGGGCCTCACTCTGGTTCTCACTGGTCTAGATAAATTCTTTTTGTTACAAACAGTTCAAGGACTTCTGCTCCTCAGTGAGTCAGGCAAGGTTTTGGGGCTAGTAAGTCAGCGAGTTTTCAACTATTCTGTTCTGAGAACCCCTTTACACTCTTAAACATCATTAGGGACCCTAAAGGGCTTTGTTTATGTGAATTGTACCTATCAACATTTACCATATAAGAAATGACAAGTGAGAAATGTATAAAATATGTATTAATTCATTTAAAGATAACTACAAAACAATACATGTTACCTTTCAAACATTTTAACATATTTTATAATTTAAAAAACCCGTATTTTTCAAAACAAAGAAAATTAGAAGGGTAGTCTTGTTTTATGTGTTTGCAAACCTCTTTAATGTCTAGCATAATAAAAGACTACTGGATTCTCATATCCGCTAAAGTCACGGAAAAGGAAGGAGCATTTTATTAGTCTTTTCAGATAATTATGGATATTTTTCCTGGTTATTACATCAAAACTCAACAAGTGGTAGTTTCTTGGCTGGCACGGTGGCTAACACCTGTAATCCCAGCACTTTTGGAGGAAGAGACGGGCGGTTCACTTGAGGTCAGGAGTTCGAGACCAGCCTGGCCAACATGGCCAAACCCCCATCTCTACAAAAAAAAAAAAAAAAAGTAAATACAAAAAGTAGCCAGACATGGTGGCACGTGCCTGTAATCCCAGCTACTCGGTATTACAGTAGATGGGTAGGGGAATCTTTTGAACGTGGGAGGTGGAGGTTGCGGTGAGCTGAGACCACGCCACTGCACTCCAGCCTGGGTGACAGAGCAAGACTCCATCTCAAAAACAAACAAACAAACAAACAAACAAACAAAAACAAGAGGTAGTTTCTTTAAGGTTTGTTGCAATGTGGAATCCAAGACCATATCAAGGAACTATTCATACTTTTGTTTCATAAAGTCCATGGGTCTTTCTTGCACCTTGAATGAATCTTTTCCCATACTCAATGTTTAAGATGTAATAAAATTTATAATATTTACTGCTCATCTAAGGTGTCCTTTTTTTTTTTTTTCTCTTTAGAGACAGGGTTTCACTCTGTTGCCCAGGCTGGAGTGCAGTGGCACAATCATAGCTCACTGCAGCCTCGAATTCCTGGCTCAAACGATCCTCCCATGTCAGCCTCCCATATGTTGGGATTACAGGTGTGAGCCACCACACTCAACCCTAGGGGGTCCTTAAGTGAGACGTTTTCCCCCTCTGAATGTGTGGTGGCAAAAACATAGTGACTACTAGTAAAGTTTGGTGCCACTGCCTTGGTTTATGCTAAGATGCCAGCAGTTTTACCCATAGTTTCTGTGTGAATGTCAACACAGTGGAAAGGTAAATAATATTTACTATCATTGAAAATAGTTTTGGTGCCATGGAATCCCTGGAAAGGTTTCAGCAACTCTCAAAGTGTCATGGACCACAACCTGAAAACAACTATGTTAGGAGAATGAGGTAAGAATTGCATCCTACAGTTTTTTCTTTTGTTTTTTTCTGAGACAGGATGTCACTTTGTCACCCAGGCCAGAGTGCACTGGCATAATCTCGGCTGACTACAACATTTGCCCCCTGGGTTCAAATGATCTTCCCACCTTATCCCCCTAATAGCTGGGACTACAAGCGAGTGCCACCACACCTGGCTAATTTTTGTATCTTTAGTAGAGACAGGGTTCCACCGTGTTGGCCAGGCTGGTCTTGAACTCCTAACCTCAGGTGATCCACCTGCCTTGGCCTCCCAAAGTGCTGGGATTACAGGTGTGAGCCACTATGCCCAGCCCCATCCTGCATTTTTATCTTGCTGCCTTTTTTATCCTTTTATCTTTCAGTGGGATTGCTAAAGACAATCCCAAGATCACTTTACGACTCTTCTAGGTCTGGCAAGGTGGCTAAGACCGTAATCCCAACATTCTGGGAGGCTGAGGCAGGAGGATTGCTTGAGGCCAGGAGTTTGACACCAGCCTGGGCAATATAGCAAGACCCCATCTCTAAAAAAAAAAAAACCAAAAAAACCCCCCACTCTTTTTGTTTTATTCACAGCATCTAATTACAAGGCAAAACAAATCACTTAAAAGAAAATTGCAAAGTCTTTTAAATATAATAAAAATAGTAATAAGTAACCCAATGAGGAGTTGCTCTCCTGGTAGTCAGATCATGAAAGACAGTGCACTTTAGAATACACAGAAAAATATAGGCTTTACTTGCTGTAAATGTATAGAAACTTTTATGAGAAACTTAAAGGAAGAGAATTCAGTGATGTCCATCAATTGACGTCCATTCTCCAGAAACAACAGCTGCAGTTGTTTCTATTTGGTGGAAGCAGTGGGCAGAGCTGGGAATTCTGGGAACCTGGTGGTGCTGAGGAGCCGAGGTGCAGGGAATGAGCACAGAACTGGGACTTAGGGGAGCATCCTAGAGCAGGGGCGGGTGCCAGGGAAGCTCAGATGGAAGGAGCCCCGGCCGCTCTCCCTCCTGCTTAGCCAACCCCTGTGCCGTCTGTCCCTCCCCAGCCACATGACACACCAACTGAACTGGGTCAGTCACTCCAGAGTCCTGAAAGATCTGAGAGCCCCAGAGCCTTGCTCCCTGGCCTCAGACTTGAATTGAGACCCAGCACTTCCTTGAACTTGGCTTTTTTGACCAGGTTTCCTGGACCGTGTGATATTTTGTTGTGGATATTCCATCAACTTCATAGGGTAGAGTATGTCCAGCAACCAATTCCTGGGGCCAGAGGGATTCCTATGGAGACTTAAGATCCCCAGAGAACATGTTTGTGGTACAGGCATGGCCTGGATGCCTTATTCATTGCAGTCAGGGATCCCAAAACATGCTTTATTAAAAAGTCTCTGCTCAGACAGCGTATTGGCACCATCGGTGCTTTTGATGCTTAGAACTGAGGAAACTTGGCTGGGTGTGATGGCTCACACCTGTAATCCCAGCACTTTGGGAGACCCAGGCAGGAGGATCCCCTGAGGTCAGGAGTTCAAGACCAGCCTGGCCAACATGGTGAAGCACCACCTCTACTAAAAATACAAAAATTAGCCAGGCATGGTGGTGCCCACCTGTAATCCCAGCTACTTGGTGGGGCTGAGGCATGAGAATTGCTTGAACCTGGGAGGCAGAGATTGCAGTGAGCCGAGATCGCACTACTGCACTCCAGCCTGGGTGACAGAGCGAGACTTTGTCTCAAAAAAATATATAAATAAATAAAGAACTAAGGAAACTCAGGCCGTCCAGTGCAGCTGCCCATCATCCCCATCCCAGTAAAAATGGAAGCAGCCGTCGGAGTCTTTTCTTAGGGTTAAACTCAGTGTTTGACACTTGGGGCAGAGACCAAAGCGAGTGGAAGAGAAACTTTTGTAAAAACATCAGAATAAGTTATGATAGAAGCAAGACTCTCTGGTGACTTGTGAAGGAACCCCAGAGACCACCAAACAAAGCTACTTCCCATGCAGTGGGAGGCAGAGATGTTGTTCCATCCCTTCATCTTCAGCCCCCACCCAAGTATCCAGCACATAGTAAGTACTCAGTAAATATCAGGTGAGTAAAGGAATGGATTGCTGGGTCATCGGAAGCAGAGCAAGGGGATCTTGGCTGTGAGGGAGAGGGCACACTCCTCTCTGCATCTCCTGTCCCTGAGTTTGGAGTCTGAGGTGTCTAGACCTGACTGATGATGTTTCCAGGCATTGCCAGACATTGCCAGGCATTGCAGATGGACTTGGCCCCTTCCAGGCAGGGAGCAGGATAAAGAATCAGGCATCCCAGAAAGGAGAGGATGGCATTTTGATGCCAGACTCTCTGATGGCATGTTGAGTTTCTTTGTTTCTTTCTCTTCCATGATTCATAAACATTTAATGTTCCAGTGCTATCAGAATTGTCTTGTGGAAAATAGACAGGAGTTTATCTCCACACTGGGGCCAGAAGTTTAAAGAAGAGTAGATCCTTAGAGGCTGGCCTGAAAAAGCCCTAAAAGGAAGATTTTTCAGGAAGCCAGCTGTCAGGATTACAAGGGCCCAGTTGTCCCTCTTCAGAGGTTATTACTTATTTGATTCACCTTTTTTTTTTTAAGAAGAAAGTCAAAATTTTGTCTGAGTGCAGTGGCTCATGCCTGTAGTCCCAGTGCTTTAGGATATGGGAGGATCACTTGAGCCCAGGAGTTAGAGACCAGCCTGGGCAACATAGCAAGGCCTCCATCTCTACAAAATAAAAATTAAAAAATTATCCAGGTGTGGTGGTCTGTGCCTATAGTCCCAGCTATTTGGGAGGCTGAGGCAGGAGGATTGCTTGACCCCACTAGTTCAAGGCTTCAGTGAGCTATGATTGTACCACTGTACTCCAGTACTCCAGCCTGGGTGACAGAGCAAGACCCTGTTTCTTAAAAAAAAAAAAAAAAAAAAAAAAAATAGCCAGGTGGAGTGGCTCATGCCTATAATGCCAGCACTTTGGGAGGCCGAGGTGGGTGGATCATTTGAGGTCAGGAGTTCAAGACCAGCCTGACCAACATGGTGCAACCCCGTCTCATCTCTACTAAAAATACAAAAAATTAGCCAGGCATGGTGGCAGGCGCCTGTAATCCCAGCTACTAGGGAGGCTGAGACAGGAGAATCACTTGAACCTAGGAGGCAGAGCTTGCAGTGAGCCAAGATCACGCCATTGCACTCCAGCCTGGGCGACAGAGCGAGACTCAAGTCTCAAAAAAAAAAAAAAGAAAAAGATAAAAAGTCAAAGTTTTGCCTTGCCATGTTCTCCTTGACCAACTTGATCGTTACTTCCTGTAGCTTAGCATGAACTGAAGTCCTGCAGGAAGCAGCATCTGTCAAACACGCATTTAACATTGACCCAAGCCTCTACCTGTAACATCTGATTGCAGCACATCAGAGCATTGTCCCTACTGGGTCATCAGCCTCAAGACAGGCTGGAGGAGATGGAGCCACCCATGTGGCAGGAGCCGATGGTCTAGCTGCTTTGAGAACATGTCACATAAGTGTGTGCTGCTGACGTCAATATCACACTAATAACACAGGGTATCAGTTAAGTGCAAAATATTTTCACAGGCAGCTTTCTGAGGGCCACTAGTTTCTATTTATTTATTTGTTTGAGACAGGGTCTCGCTCTGTCACCCAGGCTGGAGTGCAGTGGCGCAATCTTGGCTCACTGCAGCTTCAATCTCCTGGGCCCAAACGCTCCTCCCATTTCAGCTTCCCAGGTAGCTGAGACCACAGGTGCACACCACCACGCCCAGGTATTTATTTTTATTTTTTGTAGAGATGGGGTCTCACTATGTTGCCCAGGCTGGTCTCACACTCCTGGGCTCAAGTGGTCCTCCTGCCTCAGTCTCCCAAAGTGCTGAGATTACAGGCATGTGCCACCACACCCTAACTACCCACTGGTTTTAAGTCAACTTAAAAACCCTTCAGTTGATCCTCCTGTCAACAGATATTTTTCAGTAAGGGGCCTCCACAAGAAGAGAGTAGGTGAGCTCTCCTGGTTACTGACTGCAGCAGCCATGGGGAGTTCCAGGGCTAATTCAGCTCCGTAGGTGGGTTTCTACATTTAGATATCTACAAAGGCAGTCTGTATTTTTATAATTCTCTGATTAATTGGTGGTTGTGGCTGGCATTTGGATTTTTTTTTGGGGGGGGGGTTTGCAACTCTGTATATAATAATGTTTTAAAAGTTTGTGTCAGATTTAATTAGAAACAAATTTCACAGCACATTCATCTGCTTGGTCTCACTCCCCTGGACTCCCACTAGTAATTTTGTCGTAGATCCTTTTCTCAATGGCAGCCAAAATCTCCCAACACAATAGACGTATAGTTTCCAGGCAGAGAACTTGAGCTCTGGAGTTCGATGGACCCACTCAAGCCCTGTTTGAACTCTGTAGCCACGCCTTTGGCCGGCTACTTAATTATGCCGGCCCTCATTTTCTGATCTATAAAATGGGCATGGTACTACCATGGCTCTAAGAGCAGCTGTGAGGACTATTGGGTGGTCATCTATGCAGGGCATCTAGCAAAGTGCCCAGCCCAAAGTAGGGGCTCAACAAATAATAAAAACTACTTTTAAAAATAATTTTAACCGCCGGGCACGGTGGCTCACGCCTGTAATCCCAGCACTTTGGGAGGCCGAGGCTGGTGATCACCTGAGGTCAGGAGTTCGAGACCAGCCTGGCCAACATGGTGAAACCCCGCCTCTACTAAAAATACAAAAATTAGCTGGGCGTGGTGGCACCTGCCTGTAATACCAGCTACTTGGGAGGCTGAGGAAGGAGAATTGCTTGAACCCAGGAAGCAAAGGTTGCAGTGAGCGGAGATTGTGCCACTGTACTCCAGCCTGGGTGACACAGTAAGACTCCGTGTCAAAAAAAACCATAATAATAATATTAACTATTTTATTTAATGGTATATGTGTGTCTGAGGTATGGGATGTATATGTGTCAGTGGTGTGTGCATCTGATATGTGTGTGTGTTTGTGGGAAAAGAAAAAATGATGTGTGTGTGTGCATGCGTGTGTGTGTGTGTGTGCACACATGCATGTGTGAAGTTCTTGGCTTTGTAAAGAAGGGGTCTTTCCTGACTTTCTCACCGTGGGCCTGCATACAGCCATCTGTCCAACCCAGGTTGGCGTCCAGCTAGCCTTGTTTAAGTACTTCAGCCCCTCATACCTGTGCTTCCTGGACCTTAGATCCACATCTCGGGGAGAAGGAAGACCAGCTGCATTCCTTGCTTCAAAGCAAACCAGCACTTCCTGAGCTCCACAATGACAGGCCCACCCTTTTCCTGGCCCGAGTGTTTATTACTCCTTTTTCTGGTGTCCAGGGACTTCGACTGAGCTCTCCCCACCTAACTCTCTCCAGCAGCAGCCTGGGTGGCACCATTATCCCCTGTCCTCACTGCACCCAGGGACCAGTGGGCCCTGCCATTCTTGCCTGCTACCTTGCAGTCTCTAGAGTAAACTTCCCTGGGTCTGTGTGGGATCAACTGAGCCTTTTGTGAATAACTCATTCACAATGTCATTTGCAGTGTGCAGGGCCTTACAGAGCACCTGCTAGAATATTCAGCGTCAAATATTCTCTAGTTGGGTGCTCAGCGTGACAATGCTGCATTGGCAAATGAACTGTCAACACTGGGACAGACGTCTGTAATTAGACAAACTCAGCAGGGAGCTGCCTTTCGTCTCCTGCCCTTGGTGGGTTTGGATCCATGCCTTTTAAATCTCATGTAGCAGATTTAGAATGAGGACTCCAGAACGAAATGCATGTGTCCCATGAATTATAGCCCTACCGCCCCACTAATTCCAAGCCATACATTTTATAATTTTATACTTCTACCTAAGTGTGGCCAGCGTGTGTATATGCCACCAGCTGGAGACACCGTCTGAAGCAAGTTTGGCACCGAATGGAGTTTGGCCTCATCCCACCCAGATGACAACAGAGAGTAATGATTTGATCACTATCAGATACATTAATTTGGCTCCAGGCTGAAATTCTTTTATAGGTACTTATAGTTTGAGGATAGCACTGCTGAGTCTGGAACTAGAAAACCACAGGCACAAAATCATAAGAACCCCTAAACCTAGTGAAAGAACATTCTAGACCAAGACTGCGAGGTAGGAGGGGTGCCTTTCCTCTGTCTCCCTCCTCACCTCTCAGGTCTCAATACCTCGGCCTGTGACTGTCTTAGAAACAAAGAGAGCATGGGAGACGTGCAGCCTGTGTTGATAGCACTATCAAGGACTTATTTTAAAATGGAATATGTTGGGTTGTGCCTATGGAAAAGGCCGTAACAGCATGAACTACAGTTTCCTTGGTTCCTGAGGTTTTGTGACGATCCCTTTGGAGCCGTGGCAGTGTGGGATTCAGGGCACCCTCAGGGGGATGCAGTCACCAAAATGCTGCAAAGAATCTCATTACAGCACATTTTCCCTTTTAATTTGCTCTCCTGGCAGATTGCAAACTGGAACTGCAATGTTGGTTCTTAGGTGTTTCTACCACGTCAGTGTATGTTACTTTGACATGTAACTAAAAATTTTTTTGCTTTGATCTTTCTTTCTCTTTCTTTCCTTCCTTTCCTTCCTTCCTTCCTTTCTCTCTTTCTTTCTTTTTCTTCCTTCTTTCTGTTTTTTCCTTCCTTCCTTCTTTCCTTCTTTCTTTCTCTCTTCTTTCTTTCTTTCTACAGGGTCTTGCTCTTTGCCCAAGCTGGAGTGCCAGCCATAGCATGATCATAACTCACTGAAACTTCTGCTTCCCAGACTCAAGTGATTCTCCTGCCTCAGCCTCCTGAGTAACTGGAATTACAGGTGCCCACCACCATGCCTGGCCAACTTTCGTATTTTTAGTAGAGATGGGGTTTCACCATGTTGGACAGGGTAGTCTCGAACTCCTGACCTCAAGTGATCTGCCCACCTCAGCCTCCCAAAGTGCTGGGATTACAGGCATGAGCCACTGCGCCTGGTGCTCTCATTGTTCAGTTGTGTAAAATTGCCCCAGAATTTGAGGTTTCCCTACACATTCCGTCTCATCAGAGGGTGGGTGCTTGTGGCTCACAAAAGCACCCACTCTTGTCATGCACAGAGGCTATGATTGACAAGGAAACCTGTCCTGAGAGTGAGATGACAGGGTTCCTGTCATCTTTGGGGTCTACCAATGGCAGTGTCTCTCAATCTCAAGCCCTGACCATTGAACATCACTGTGTGGAGGGCGTGACTTATGCCTGGACCTGGAGCAGACAGGGCTGGCCCCAGCCCTCTGTCTGCCTCCACTGGGATGACATGTCTGACCATATTGGGCAGCGATTATTTGCTGGTGCTTTTGCCACATCCACAGCCAGGCTTCAGGTTGCCAGCAAAACCCCCCTGTGACTGTGTACAAGATGTTGTAAGTATGTGTTGTGAGGTTTTTTCACGATGTGATCATGTCATTCGGGCATTCTTAAATGGTTAAAAACGATGTTTGTTTATTTATTTTAATAGAGACAGGGTCTTGCTCTGTTGCCCAGGCTGATTTCAGACTCCTAGACTCAAGCTCCTAGACTCAAGCTATCCACCTACCTCAGCCTCCTGAGTAACTGGGACTACAGGTGAGCACCAGCACACCCAGCTAATTAAAAAAAAAATTGGAGAAACAGGATCTCCTTATGTTAGCCATGCTGGTCTCAAACTCCTAGGATAAAGCGACTCTCCCTCCTCAACCTCTCAAAGTGCTGGAATTACAGGCGTGAGCCACCACACCCAGATGATAACATTAAGAACTTCTGACATTGTGACTTTAGGTTGTGTCCATTTACATCCCTGCCCTTCTTCTAGATTTTCTCTGGATGTCACTTCCCCCGTCAATTCTGTCCACTCATTTTGTTAAATTCTTAGGATCCCGATCCTGGGCCTATTGGGTGGTCACATGAGGTGAATAGACCTCTGAGGCGTCCACCCATGACTGTCCCAGGGCACGTGTGTCTGGCGGCCACGTTCCTTATGACATGTGCGGAAGTTCAGGGGGTGCTGGACCATCCCTGAGTGGAGAGTGGAGACACTGGGCTCTGAGCCTGAAGAGGTTCCTTGCAGTTCATTAAGAGATGGTTGACAGTAGGGCATGAGGATCCGGTTTTACTAGTGGGCTCATGCGTCAGCTAAGTCAGGGGTCCCAGCTGCTCTCTGCTGGTCTCTCACTGGTAGCTTCATTTTCAGTCACGGTGTGTGTGCGGGTCGGGGGGTGGGGGGCAGGGTTTGCCCACCCTTCAGGCAGAGCCTTGGAGTTCAGAGGCCTTCCAACAACAGGGCTAGCGTTGCCCTGTTCAGCAGACAAAGTGGAAGAGGGCAGGAGTGAGACTGGGCCTTGGTTTTTCTAACCCATTTTTCTGAAATGAGAGCCAAAAGAGGCCAGGCGCGGTGGCTCACGCCTGTAATCCCAGCACCTTGGAAGGCCGAGCTGGGCAGATCACAAGGTCAAGAGATCGAGATCATCCTGGCCAACATGTTGAAAGCCTGTTTCTACTAAAAACGCAAGAATTAGCTGGGCGTGGTGGCGCACGCCTATAGTCCCAACTATTCATTCAGGAGGCTGAGGCAAGAGAATCGCTTGAACCTGGGAGACAGAGGTTGCAGTGAGCCAAGATCGTGCCATTGCACTCTAGCCCGGCAACAGAGCGAGCCTCTGTCTTAAAAAAAAAAAAAAAAAAAAAAAAAAAAAAAAAAAAAAGAGCCAAAAGTTGAATTCTCACATGGAGCTAACCTAAGCAGCAACACTTCAGGCAGACAAAGGGGTGCAGAGATGAAAACCCCCAACACCCAAATTTCCCAAGTTGTAAATAGTTTTCTTCTGAATACACTTTATGTCAGAAATAAAATCCTCTGGATTGTAGACGGTCACAAGCACCCTGGAACCAAGTTATTGTGGTCCAACTTAAGAGGAGCCTAGACTAAAACCTGGACATTCACTTCCCAAGATCTCTTTTCCAGAACTGTCCAGAAAGCTATGAAACCTACCATCAATTTTTCCATCAATCTTTGGTTGAGGAAAACTGGCCTAGTAAGTTAAGGAGAAAGTTCTTTTTTCTTTTTTATTTATTTATTTATTTTTGAGACGGAGTCTCGCTCTGTCGCCCAGGCTGGACTGCAGTGGTGCGATCTCGCCTCACTGCAAGCTCCGCCTCCTGGGTTCACGCCATTCTCCTGCCTCAGCCTCCCGAGTAGCTGGGACTACAGGCGCCCGCCACCACGCCTGGCTAATTTTTTTGTATTTTTAGTAGAGACAGCTTTTCACCGTGTTAGCCAGGACGGTATTGATCTCCTGACCTCGTGATCCGCCCGCCTCCGCCTCCCAAAGTGCTGGGATTACAGGCGTGAGCCACCGCGCCCGGCTGAGAAAGCTCTTTTTAATCATTTCTTGTTCTCCCATCCCCACTCCGACCTGAAAATAGCCTTCCCTTTAGTAGATCAAAGACACCTCTTGACAATTACCAAGATGAGGGTATATTATTCTTTTGCTTAACTTGTTTGGTTGTACCCAAAACTGGAAGAGGGCTGTGTTTTCTGCAGCATCTGATTAACAATGAGTACATATATCCAAGGTCCTCTGGGGACTCAGAGTAGCAGAGGTATTGAAACTAAGAAGGGATTTTAGCCTTGAGCTGCCTTAAATCCTTGTCAGAACAGGGCAGTTGGGGAGGAAAATTAATAAAGGATTTGAAACCCGTTCACAACCAGAAGTGGACCCTGAGCCGGGGCCAGGAAGAGAATCTGAGAACCCCAGCCTTACTTAGTGGCCCTACTCCCACCAAGCCGTGCATCCTGGGGCACGCCACAGTTGCGTGTTTACTGCTTGGCTAGAAGCTGAAAAAGATGCTGAAAAATGTTCTGGTCTTAAAAGAATTCCTTCCTTCGATCCCAAGTTTTAAAATTTATGAAGAACAGAATATAGTGATTTGTGACAATGTGGGTGAACCTGGAGGACATTATGCTTAGCGAAATAAGCCAAGCACAGAGAGACAGAAGCTGCATGCTCTTTTTTATTTGTGGAATCTAAAACACTTGAGTTCATAGAAGCAGAGATTAGAATGGTGGTTACCAGGGGCTCAGGGTGTGGATGGGGAGGGGAGGACTGGGAAGATGTGGTCAAAGGATACAAAATTTCTTTCATACAGGAGGAATAAGTTCAAGAGATCTACTGTACAATGTGGTGACTATAGTTCGTCACAGTGTATTGAATACTTGAAAATGGCTAAGAGAATAGATTTAAATGTTTTCAATATAAAAAATAACTGGCTGGGAGCAGTGGCTCACACCTATAATCCCTGCACTTTGGGAGGCCAAGGCAGGTGGATCCCTTGAGGTCAGAAATTCCAGACCAGCCTGGCCAACATGGTGAAACCCTGTCTCTACTAAAAATGCAAAGATTAGCTGGGCATGGTGGCAGGCGCCTGTAGTCCCAGCTACTCCAGAAGCTGAGGCAGGAGAATTACTTGAGCCCAAGAGGTGGAGGTTACAGTGAGCCGAGATTGCGCCACCGCACTCCAGCCTGGGTGACACAGCGAGACTTCGTCTCAAAAAAAAAAAAAAAAAAAGAGAGAAACGATGTATGTTAATTAGCTTGATGCAATCATTTCACAGTGCATGTATGTATCAGAACATCACATTGTGCACCGTCAATATACACAATTTCTATTTGTCAATTAAACCTTAATAAAGCTGAAAAAAATATAGTTCAAATAAAGCACTTCAACTTCTCTTGCACAGTAAGTTAGATATAGGAAAGGAGATTGCCTGTTTAAAGCCAAAATGCAGGTACCAGTTCTCATGGCAAGTTCAGAGACCCACTCTGGGCCCCAAACCTGGTTAAGCCCTCATTGATGTGACTTTGAACAGATGACTTAACCTCTGTGTGCCTCAATTTCCTCACCTGCACTCTGTAGATAGTAACTTGCCTCAGGGGGTTGTCATGAGGATTAAAGGGGTTAATATATAGAATGGCTAGAGTACTAATTGGCTCACAGTAAGCACTAGATAGGGGCTAGCTATGATTGCAGAAATCCCTTTCTTCATCTTATAGGATACCAGAGTTGGAATTGCTAGACCTTTAAGGGTGCAATCCACCCCACCTCTTCGTTTCCCTGCCAGAATTCTATTCCAGACAAAAGTCTGTTTCTCTGCATCTTAAAAGTCTCTAAGAAAAGAGAGTCCACAAATTCCTCAGTTATCTGATCAGTAATAATCCTTCCTTCCACTCAGAACGTTTTCCTTATAAGTAAATTAACCTCTCTTCTGGAAATTAACGCCATTTCCTCTCATGTAAGCCATGCTAAGATAGAGAAGTGCTTTTCTCCTTAAAACAACTCTCCTATATTTAAGTGCTCTATTAAACCCCATTTTCTGGTTTTTCTTCCCCTGGAAAGAATAGGAATCAGTTACCTTTTCTCTGGGGCACATTCGTATTACCTACTTGACATGCCCTTGTTTCTTGCTTTCTTGTATTCTATAACATCACTCTTAAAAACCAAAGCCACAACTGAAATGAGTCAATTCTGACAATTTTTGTTGATGCCCCAGGTGAGGGAGAGATGCCTGCATAATTCTGGCCCATTTCACTGCTGCTTAATTTTGGTGTTATATATACTGTTTTCACGCCCATGGTCAAAGATACCAATAAATGGCTCCCACATCCCAACTACAGGGTGAGTTCTTGACCTTTTCCCATGTTTTACTGTTTTATTCTACTTGTCACTCTCCATTTCTGGATCTTAGGATACATTTGAGTCTGTCTGATATGCTAGAATCACATCTAAATTTGGACTCATTCTTTTTTTTTTTTTTTTTGAGATGGAGTCTCGCTCTGCCGCCCAGGCTGGAGTGCAGTGGCGCGATCTCGGCTCACTGCAACCTCCGCCTCCCAGGTTCAAGCGATTCTCCTGCCTCAGCCTCCAGAGTAGCTGGGACTACAGGCATGCGCCACCACGCCGGGCTAATTTTTGTGTTTTTAGTACAGACGGGGTTTCACCGTGTTGGGCAGGCTGGTCTTGAACTCCTGACCTCATGATCCACCTGCCTCAGCCTCCCAAAGTGGTGGGATTACAGGCGTGAGCCACCGCTCCTGGCTTGGACTCATTCTTAAATCTGAAGGGCAAGACGGTAAGTTTCTTGAGGCAGAACATTTTATTATTTATCTCATACTCCTCATGGTGCCTGGCTCAGAGAAGAGCCTGTGAATACACCATTAGAGACATTTTCTAAGTCACCTCTAACAATTTTCAGTGTTAGGGATTATTAAGACTAGACCAGAATAGGCCCCATAGTAAGAGTCTTTGGTAGGCTTCCCCTCTGCCATCTCTCCAAATGGACATGGCTGTGGAGTGTGTCTGAACGGGAACTCAGGTGGTGCGTGCCCACAGGGAAACATGGTGCTTAGATTTTCAGCCCAAGTATTATTTTATCTTAGAGTTGGAAATTCTCAAGAAGCCTTTGCAAAGCCCCACAAAGGGAAAACTTGATGTGTTCAGGACTCAGATGCCATTCTGATGAGCTCTTTGGAGAGATACGGAGGGGGAAAGTGGAACGTTGTGAAATCAAACCAACAATTACAATGTCTCGGAACATCAACGTGGTTGGAAATTATTGATTCAAGTCACGCTCTCCACCAGGCCACTGTCTGTGAGCAGTGTTCTTTAAAAAGAATTATACAGCCACTTACTAAGTATCTATAAGTCAGATTTATTTCCAGCTACTCCCATATGTGTCCTCTCCGCCCCAAATGGCTGGCCGTCCTCCCTGCTCTTGGCTTAGCCTCATTTCTGTGGCTTTGCTGAAGCTGCTTTCTTGCCAAGTAGGCCGTGCCTGTTCTCCAGTCTAGGGACATCCGACGCAGCATTCAAATCCTTCCTGAGTCCTCCTTTCTCACGTCTTGGTCTCTCCTTGTTCAGAGGTGCAAGTTTGGTCTTCCCAATTACATATCACTGAAGGTGAACCACAGTCTCCCCTTTTCTTCCATCCCTTAATTCCCAGCAAAGTTTAACGAAGAAGAAAGAGCTTCAGATCAGTGTAGTCAAAACCCCACCAGTTTCCAGAATCACCCAATGACATTTTTAAAAAGATCTACTGAGGCCAGACACAGCAGCTCACACCTAGAATCCCAGTGCTTTGGAAAGCCAAGACAGGACGATCGCTTGTGCCCACAGGTTAAAGACCAGCCTGGGCAATATAGCGAGACCCTGCCTCTACAATAAAAAATATGTTTAAAAAAAACTAGCCAGGTGTGGTGGTGCATTCCTATAGTCCCTGCTTCTCAGGAGTCAGAGGTGGGGGGATCGCTTGAGTCCAAGAGTTGAAGGCTGGAATGAGTTATGATTGCACCACTGCATTCTAGCCTGGACAACAGAGCAAGACCATGCTTCTTTTTCTTTTCTTTTTTTTTTGCGGGGGAGGGGGTGTGGTGAGGGGAACTGAGTTTCACTCTTGTTGCCAAGGCTGGAGTGCAACGGTGCCATCTCAGTTCACTGCAACCTCCACCTCCCAGGTTCAAGCAATTCTCCTGCCTCAGCCTCCCAAGTGCTGCGATTACAGGTGCCCACCACCACGCCTGGCTAATTTTTGTATTTTTAGTAGAGATGGGATTTCACCATGTTGGCCAGGCTGGTCTCAAACTCCTGACCTCAGGTGATCCACCTGCCTCAGCCTCCCAAAGTGCTGGGATTACAGATGTGAGCCACCTTGCCCAGCCAAGACCATGTTTCTAAAAAAATTAAAAAATTTAAAAAAGATCTACTGAATCAAAATTTCTAAAGATGAAACCCAGGAATCTGCTTTTTACAAAAGCTTTTCAGGGGTAAGTCTGAGAATAAGTCAAGTTTCAAGAACTACCAACAAGATCTGAGAGGAGTTTGTGTCAAGTCAAAATCTTGGTACCTAGATGGTGGAGCCCAAGAACCCTGGGTGTGGTCCCATGAATCCCAAAAAGCTTTCTTCCCAAGAAGCACTCTGCAAGGTCAAACCATTGGAGCCGTGGGCACATTTTGCTGCTATGATGCTGTATACACTGAAATAGTGGCTTTTTGCTCCCTGGAGATATTTACATTTTTATTTTTATAGCTACTGATTTTTATATCCTGCATCACATCTACTTCCAAACTAAATGCCACTGCTTTTATGAAGAGCACTTACCACTGGTCACCAGTTTTGTATTGAGAAAAGCAGGCTTGACTTGGCAACTCTCATTCTTTATCCCTCCTACTCTGAAAGATGGTGCTTCCTTGGCCAACACAGGGAACAGATTCTATTCTGCTTAGTGCTTAGCCGTGGTTTTGTTCATGACAAGCTCATCAGTTCTCAGAAAGCACAACCCCCGACAACTGTCATTACCACATGCATCCTTCTTTCCCAGGCAGGGTCTATTCAAGGGTGGTGTTGGGCTGGGTGTCCATGCATTTATTCAGCCATTGTCTAGGCTGTGGGCTCCAGGCTTTAGATTTGCTGTGATGCTTGCCTGCAGCCTTCCTAATCTGTGGCTTGAACTGCCCCATCAGCCACTAATCATGGGTCTTGGATACGCTTTAATATGTCCACATGACCATTTTTGTTGTTGTTGTTTGAAGGCACCAAATTTTACTTCCCATGTAATATCTTCTTGTTTTATTTCAAACTACTGGGATGATGTGATATCAATATCAATAAAACAGTTTATTGATAACCTAATACGTCTATGGCAATGTACTGGGGCACTGGGCCTTCAAAGATGAACAAGATAAGGATTTTGCTCTAGAGGGGGCCATATTCTGATGAAAGAGACAGAAAATCATTCAGAAAAAAAGCAATTTACAAGGCCAAACAGCAGACAGCAAGTACAAAAATGAATGGCCCACCACTAGCCCCTGTTTGACTTTGGAGGAAGGCTTGACCATGGAGTACTTGCAAACATCATGGGGAATCCACATAGCTCAGGGCCTGCTATACAGCAGGGGAAAAATAAGTACCTACCAAGTGAATACACAAATGACTAGATGATGCTAAGTTGTGTGAACCCCGAAAATTTGAGACAGGTCTCAGTTAATTTAGAAAGTTTATTTTGCCAAGGTTGAGAATGCGCACCCGTGGCACATCCTCAGGAAATCCTGATGACGCATGCCCAAGGTGGTCAGGGAACAGCTTAGTTTTATACATTTTAGGGAGACATGAGACATCAGTCAATATATGTAAGAAGTACATTGCTTCAGTCTGGAAAGGCGGGACAAACTTGAAGCAAAGGCAGGAAGACTCAAAGTGGAGAGACACCTTCCAGGTCACAGATAGGTGACAGACAAACGGTTGCATTATTTTGAGTTTCTGATTAGTCTTTCCAAAGGAGGCCATCAGATATGCATCCATCTCAGTGAGCAGAGGGATGACTTTTAATAGAATGGGAGGCAGGTTGGCCCTAAACAGTTCCCAGCTTGACTTTTCCCTTTAGCTTACTGATTTGGGGCCCCCAGATTTATTTACCTTTCACAGTTTTAAACTGTGCCCTGAAATATAGTAATGTACACTCAGAAAAGAAACAAACCACATACCACACACAACACACACACAGACACACATATTCTTCACCAAGGAAGCCTGAGTCTATTTTCCCAGAGAATAACATAAGGGAGAAATTTAGAAAAGCACACCCTCTTGTGAAAGTTAATCTTTATGGTATTGGCGGGAGTCACTTATTGAACAGTAACTAAGTTAATAGGACCTACCAGATATTGTTTATACTCAGTATATGGATTAAACACTCGTGGTGTAAATTTATTGATTCACAATATAACAAGGAGACAAGGGAGATGACCCTTCTGTCAGCTGAGCTATGCACAGAAACTACCTGATTTATTTCATAATCAACTAACTTATATCCCATCTCCTCCCAAAAAAGATTTAATGTCAAACTATTTACAACACCCAAGGTAGGAGGCAAGTTATTAAAAAGGTGAGAAATGGGACATCAAAAAAATGACAAGGCTGGGTGCAGTGGCTCATGCCTGTAATCCCAGCACTTTGGGAGGCCAAGGTGGGTGGATCACCCTGCAGTCAGGAGTTCGAGATCAGCCTGGCCAACATGGTGAAACCCCATCTTTACTAAAAATACTAAAAATTACTAAAAATTAGCCAGGTGTGGTGGGATGTGCCTGTAATCCCAGCTACTTGGGAGGCTGAGGCAGGAGAATCGCTTGAACCCAGGAGGCAGAGGTTACAATGAGCCAAGATCACACCACTGTACTCCAGCCTGGGCGACAGAGTGAGAGTCCATCTCAAAAAGAAAAAAAAATGACAAGAAGCTGAATTAATTGAGTCTCCTTGCAACTTTGGCTAAAAAGAAGTCACATGGGGCCGGGTGTGGTGGCTGATGCCTGTAATCCCAGCACTTTGGTAGGCAGAAGTGGGCGGATCACAAGGTCAGGAGATTGAGACCATCCTGGCTAATATGGTGAAACCCCCTCTCTACTAAAAATACAAAAAATTAGCCGGGCGTGGTGGCGGGCGCCTGTAGTCCCAGCTACTCCGGAGGCTGAGGCGGGAGAATGGCGTGAACCCGGGAGGTGGAGCTTGCAGTGAGCTGAGATCGCGCCATTGTACTCCAGCCTGGGCAACAGAGCAAGACTCCATCTCCAAAAAAAAAAAAAAAAAAAAAAAAAAAAAAAAAAGTCACACGGGTTAGTTAGAATGTAAGTTTTGGAAAGAGAAAAGAAGAAAACTTTCTCCTAGTCCTAATTTCAGAAGGAAATTATGTCATCGGGCTATTTCTCTAACCCTAGCCCCTTAATGACTTGCTGCTATCCCTATTTTTATGACTAGTGGGACTCTTACTACCAGCTAGGTAGCTAACTTTCTATGTGGTAGGCGTTGCATGAATTCCTATACACATACTTTAAAAACATTTAATCCTACACCTGTCCTGTGAGGGGTCCTATTGTCTCCTATTATCTTGCAGGCAGCCTTTTTTTTTTTTTTTTTTTTTTTTTGAGATGGAGTCTCGCTCTGTCGCCCAGGCGGGAGTGCAGTGGCGCGATCTCGGCTCACTACAAGCTCCGCCTCCCGGGTTCACGCCATTCTCCTGCATCAGCCTCCCGAGTAGCTGGGAAACTACAGGCGTCCGCCACCACGCCCGGCTAATTTTTTGGATTCTTAGTAGAGACGGGGTTTCACCATGTTGGCCAGGATGGTCTCGATCTCCTGAACTCGTGATCCGCCCGCCTCGGCCTCCCAAAATGCAGGCAGCCCTTTTTACCTGTAGCCTTCCTAAAGCAGCTGATGTTCTCCATGAGCAGGTTTTCTGCAGCCTGGGAATTAACATGTGGAGAGAGAGCTACTGCAAACAACCGGAAGCCTCCCCAGCAGCACATAAGAAAATCCTGCTCCAGAGACAACTTTTATCTAGAGAGAGAGGCAGGAACACACTGCTGTGTTCTGCCAAAGCAACTCAAGGACACTTAGAAGGATGTCTCAAGACTGATCAAGGGGCAGTGCCACTTCTGACCATTGGGGACATTGATTTTGATCAACCACTACCTTAGTTGTTTAGAAGCAAACATGGTGTGGAAGCCAATACGTTAGACTTGAAACCCAAGAAGTTATTTCCAGGCCTAGCTCTGCCATTGCTAGTGGTATAAATTTGAGCAGGTCACTTAACTTCTCTTAGCATCAGTTTTTTCACCTGGTCATTGTGGCAAGAAACAGCTTCACCATCTGCTATGCCGATAACATGGAAACTGTAAAATATTGAAAATGAAAGCTACAATATGTTATTGACATGGTTTGGATTTGTGTCCCCACCCAAATCTCATGTTGAACTGTAATCCCTAATGTTGGTGGAGGAGCCTGGTGGGAGGTGATTGGATCATAGGGGCGGACTTGCCCCCTGCTGTTCTCTTGATAGTGAGTAAGTTCTCACAAGATCTGGTTGTTTAAAAGTGTGTAGCACCTCCCCCATTGCTCTCTTTTCTTCGTGCTCTGCACATGTAAGAAGCGTATCCTTCCCTTTCACCTTCCACCATGATTGTAAATTTCCTGAGGCTTCCCCAGCCATGCTTCCTGTACTGTCTGGGGAACTGTGAACAAATGAAACCTCTTTTCTTTTCTTTTCTTTTTTTTTTTTTAATAAATCACCCAGTCTCTGGTATTTCTTTATAGCAATGCAAGAACGAACTAATACAGTTATTTAGCCCAAATTTTAAAATCCTACATGTTCTTCTTCCTCCATAGGCCCTAAGAATCACTAAAATTTCATATTATCTAGTTTCTGCTATTTTAATTTTCTTCTTCTTAATACTCTTTGCTGCCTCCATGCCCTCTTCCCTGTGCCCTAAATCCTGGTGATTGGCTGCCTCTCAGCCCCGACTCTTTCCTTCTTGTTATCACTTAGTATTACAAGACCCTAGATAAGAAAGGAAAGGAAAAGGATGGGAAGGCATATTAGTCTGCTTTCATGCTGCTGATAAAGATATGCCCAAGACTGAGTCATTTATAAAGAAAGAAAGATTTAATGGACTCACATTTCCACGTTGCTGGGGATGCCTCACAATCATGGAGGAAGTCAAAAGGCACATCTGACATGGTGGCAGGCAAGAGAGAGTGAGAGCCAACCAAAAGGGGAAAGCCCTTATAAAACCATCAGATCTTGTAAGACTTATTCACTACCATGAGAACAGTATGGGGGAAACTGCCCTCATGATTCAATTATCTCCCACCGGGTCCCTCCCACAACACGTAGGAATTACGGGAGCTACAATTCAAGATGAGATTTGGGTGAGGACACAGCCAAACCATATCAGAAGGGAATGGAAGAGTACTTATTGTTGTACAAACATCCTATACAAAAATTAGCCAGGCATGGCAGCACGCACCTCTAGTCCCAGCTACTGGGGAGGCTGAGGCTGGAGAATCACTTGAACCCGGGAGACGGAGGTTGCAATGAGGCGAGATCATGGCATTGCACTCCAGGCTGGCTGACAGAGAGATTCCATCTAAAAAAAAAAAAAAACTTTACAAAAACAAAGGCACTTTCATAAAAACCAATACACCTACCATCACATCACCTTCGCATATCAACTCCTCCTTCTCCTACCCCATTTCCAGTTTATCCATAGACATTTATGCTTCTAAATGGCTGTGATCACAGAGCCGATACATTGTCTGGTTCTGCTAGTTTTATTTATTTAACATTGCTGTAACTATTTCCTCAGTTGCTACATCCCTTCATAATTAACCCTGCTATTGGTTGTAAACTATTCCACGGGGTAAAATGTATTACGATGAAAATCATAATTTTCTTAGTGTTGGACATCGAGGTTTAATTTAATAAATAATGCCACAACAAATACTTTGCATACTTAGTCTTTTTCCCCTCTCATGAATTAGATAGAAAAGTGCGTATAATTTTTTTTCTAAGAGCTGACGAAATTTTCTAAATTCCCTGCAGGCTGAATATTTATCACCCCTTTTTGGTCCCTCTTTTCTTTACCTTGCTTTATTCCTTGTGGGATCTTCTGGTCCTTGAGGCAAGGATTCAGCTAGCTGCTGTTTCTTTTTTTTGAGACGGAGTCTCACTCTGTCACCCAGGCTGGAGTGCAATGGCTCGATCTCAGCTCACTGCAACCTCTGCCTCCTGGGTTCAAGCAGCTCTCCCGCCTTAGCCTCCTGAGTACCTGGGATTACAGGTGCCCACCACTACACCCAGATAATTTTGGTATTTGTAGTAGAGATGGGATTTTGCCATGTTGGCCAGGCTGGTCTCAAATTCCTGACCTCAGGTGATCCACCTGCCTTGTCCTCCTAAAGTGTTGGGATTACAGGCTTGAGCCACCACACCTGGCCTTTTTTTTTTTTTTTTTTTTTTTTTGATCAGCTGCTGTTTCTAATCATGACTTTTTCCATCAACAAATCTCTCTGAAAGCTGTTTCTTGTTCTCCAAAAAGGCCAGAAGAGTTACGTAGATGGCTTGCTAACACTTGCCTCATTGTAGTCAACTCTGTAGAAGTGATCTTGTCCAAAGCAAGAAGGGGAATTCTATCAAATAGCACAAAGCTCTGCCCAGACAGTCTCGTCTCCAGCCGACAGGTGTATGCTGGTTCTTTAACCTGGACCGGAGTGGTATAGAGAACTGTACCAATCAGGGTCCAACCAGGAAAATGGGATCTGCTCTAAACATTAAAATAGAGGAAATTTGGCTGGGTTTGGTGGCTCACACCTGTAATCCCAGAACTTTAGGAGGCTGAGGAGGGTGGATCACCTGAGGTCAGGAGTTTGAGACCAGCCTGGCCAACATGGTGAAACCCCGTCTCTACTAAAAATACAAAACATAGCCGGGCGTGGTGGCAGGTGCCTGTAACCCCAGCTACTTGGGAGCCTGAGGCAGGAGAATTGCTAGAACCCAAAAGGCAGAGGTTACAGTGAGCTGAGATTGTGCCACTGCACTCCAGCCTGGGCTACAGAGTGAGACTTCATCTCAAAAATAAGTAAATAAATAAATAAATAAAATAGAGGAAATTTGGTAAGTGAATTGGTTACACAGATGAAGGAAAAGCAGAGAGGTGCACTGGGGACAGTGAGGCAATGCAGAGATCAGACATAGCAGGAAGCCACTACCTCACCTCCCTTCGAGGCTGAAGGACAGAGCCAGAAACACTTGTCAGAAGCTGAGCCCAGGGGACCTGTCCCAGCAGAGCTCAAGTCCCAAAGGAGAGGACGTAGCCCTGCTGGAGACACTAACTGAGGTTGGGTGGGGAAGAATACCCTGGCTTCTCCCTCCCTCCTGCCTTTTCCCCTGCCACCATGTCTCCCATTGGTGGGACTCAAGTGGAAACCACAACACAGTCTACAATACCCAAGGAGCAGGGCCAGCCCACTGCCGGTCCCCAATGCCATGACACAAGGCAAAGAGGAAGAGAGTGAAGAATAAGCCCAAAGGCAAAGGAGCCAGGCATTAGTACAAAATCACATTGACAAATATTCATTCAAAACTGCATCAAGGCCAGAAAGACAAATCCTGAGAGTTGGTCAAGAAAGCAAAAAGAAACTATACAGTTTTGTTTTCAGTACCTGTATCAACCATACACATTTACATCCTTAGTTGCAAATGATACCACTAGCTTGTTGGAGAAAAAAAAACGTTCATCAAAGGGTATCACTAGGTCACAGAAATTCTGGGAGACCAGAGGCAGGCATGGGAACTGCACAACCAGGAGCACTAAACAAGTGACACACTGAGTCCCCTGTGGCCACAGAGGTGGGGCCAGGCAGACACCAAACAGGACACCAGACTGGCCCTTTCTGAGACCAGCCAGAGAGTTGTGTCCCCCTGCCAGATGGCACTGGCCTCCCATAGCATAGATTCGCTCCCTTTTCTGCCTCCTCCTGGTTCTTACTAGTTGAGTCTCTTGCAGTGCCCCTGCTGTGCGGCCTGTAGCACTTGCCTGCACCCCAGCTGCAAATAAAGCTGGAAAAGAGAGTCCTGGCTTCTACTGTGGGGAAGGGGAACGCAATGGCGGACGTCCAAGTTTACCAAAGGGAAATCGTTCACCAGATGTGAGGTGGCCATATGTGTGATAACTGTGCAATTTTTGTTCACTACAGAATGTTCCCAAGTTTGCCACAAAGTGACCATGAAAATGGATATGAATAAGGGGGGTAATGTCACTCACTGAAATAATGGCACAATGCTAATGACAACACCACTTGCCATGCCCGGGCTGGGTCCTTTCATGCCCTGGGCCTGATGGGGACAAATCTGCATCCCGTGGCCATGTGATCGCTTTGTCTTCTGAGGGTGTCACATCAGAGAACCCAGGCTACTACCAAGCCTTAGAGTTCGTTATTATAGAAGGGAACTCAGGGGACACCCAGCCTCCTTCCCACCAAACACGACCCTCTTCAGAGTCTCCTGACAACTCTAGCTGTTAGAAAGATCCTTTTCCTAACTGCAGTTGATGCGTATTTCTGCAATGAGGCTCTTCTTTCTGAAATTCAAAATTCAATGAGTGACTGCCAAAAGAATGCATAAAAGTCAGCTCCACCCAGGGGCAAGAGTTAGAAGGATAAGTCCAGGTTCATCCCTGAGGAAGACCATTTTAGGAACCTCGTCTTCAGAGACCATCAGGCAACCCTTTTATTCACCACCCTTGAGATTACATTCTGGTGGAGTAAGACTGATTGAGTTATTTTTGTCATAACCGTTAATAGAGTATCCCCTCTATGTCTTTGACTGTTTTAGATTCTAGGGATAAAAAGATGAATAAGACGTGGTGTTTGCTCTCAGCAAGCCCACAGTGTAGTAAGAAAGGCAAAGACAAAAATAGATAATGGGGGTGTAACTAAGGTAAGAACTACAAAAAGAGAATTAGCAAAATATGATAAGAGAGGCTGAAGGAAGAAGCTGAGAAGATCCATAGAGAGCTTGAAAGACAAGGTACCCTTGGGAATGACAAGGAGGAGGCCCTGACAGGGCTCCAAGGCTTCTATATGAGAGACCAGTTGAGAGACAGCCATGTTGAGTTCTTAGAGGTGAGGTCAGGTACACTGTGTCTATCCATCAGTGTGGCTATGCAGGAATGGGAGTACCTGTGTAAAAGACTTTCTCTGATGAGTGAATAAGAAAATTGGAGACTTAAGGCCTGAATATGGGTTGGTGGTGTAAGTAGATGTTCTCTCCATAGTATGATCTTTAGGAATTATTGAAAAAAAAAAACCTGCTTATTCCTTTCTTCCACCCATTTAAAAATAAAAATCATGCAAAACAAAACAAAAAACCCTCTGTAGCAGAAATTTTTCTATGAAGAACCAGTTAACAAATAGTTCGGGCCTTGCTGGGCCTCACAGTCTCTGCCGCATCTATTCCACGCTGCTGCTGTCATGCAGAAGCAGCCAGATACAGTGTGTAAATGAGTGTGTGGTTGTAGACCAATAAAACTTTATTGACAAAAATAGTCAGTGGGCTGCCTTTGGCCCAAGAGCCATGGTTGGCCAACTCTTTTTTTTTTTTTTTTTTTTTGAGACAGTTTCACTCTTGTCGCCCAGGCTGGAGTGCAAAAGTGTGATCTTGGCTCATGGCAACCTCTGCCCTCCAGGTTCAAGCGATTCTCCTGCCTCAGCCTCCCGAGTAGCTGGGATTACAGGCCCCCGCCACCATGCCCAGCTACTTTTTTTGTATTTTTAGTAGAGACGGGGTTTCACCATGTTGGTCAGGCTGGTATCAGACTCCTGACCTCAGGTGATCCCCCCTCCTCAGCCTCCTAAAGTGCTGGGATTACAGGCATGAGCCACCACAACTGGCTGGCCAACTCTTGATCTACAGAATCAAATTTGCAAACCATCGCCTACCACTTTGTTTGCCAGCTCTTTTCTAAGTGCACATTTTGAATTTGTGTGTGTAGGTAGGATGGAAAGAGTCCTCTGTGGGAGGGCATAGGGCGACTCTGGAAGAGAAGTGATGGGCAGAATGAAGAGGTCCCACTGAGCTGTGTGAAGAAAAGGATCTGCTACCAGAGAGAAGGACAGGCCCACTCATTCCTCCTTGAGGAGTGCCTCCTGGCCGCTTGTCCTGCTGTCTAACCGTGGCTCCAAACTGACTGGTTGCATCTTGGCCAACTGCTCCTAGGCAGGGCTGCATTTCGTCCCCGAGGTGACAGTGCACATGATAATTTATATTTTGGTGCAAAAGCACCTCAAGCTCCTTTGAGATAAAAGACTCTATATAAAACTGAGTTATGACCCTGCTTAATAGGAGCACTGTTGCCTTTTTCCAAAAGTGGAGTTAAACCCCTCTGGCATCTGCAAAGGGCTGGCTGTAAAGGATCGTTGGCCCTTTCAGCCGCCCTCATTTTTGCTGTTGATTCTGTGTGCCATAAATCATTCTCTTCCAAGTCCAAAGGCGGCATTTGTATTTGCCAAAATACTAAGGAGGAGGATCTCCAACTGGTTGAAGCTGAGGTTGGATCTTTGCTTTTTAAGTTGTGTGGGAGGTGGGGAGCACGCGTGCGTGCTCACACACACACACACACACACATTAATCCTCCCTTAATAACATTCCAGAATAGCTATTCCCTTACCCTACAACTTCCTATGGATTCTCATGACACTGGTTTTGTTTTTGCACAAAAGATTTGACTTGGTCAGTCACACTCCTTTGTTATTTTGTACTTTTAACCCCCTTTCTCTGTGGAGAAAGGCTACCACGAGAAAGGTAACTTTCTCTTGTCCAAAGCCCAGGACCACATAGGCTCGGTACCAAGCTTCTTTTGGGACAGTATTTGACAGGGCATACCAACACGTCTTTTTTTAGAAAAGACCATAAGTGTCTTATCTTACTCCTTCGGAATTTTCCGCAGTTATTTAATCTCTAGTTTAGGAAAAGTTGGTTTGAGGGTTCTTCAAATCTCCTCGAACCTCTTACATCAGATCTGTGAGCTTGATTCACTTGAGGTGGATGGGGGCTGTGTTTGCCAGCATACCTCATTTCCATCTCTCCTCCCTACTGACTAGAAACCTTGTGGTTAAAATAACACACAGCCTCTATTCAGAGCTCAAACTTAGAGCTGCTATCGGAGGAGGATTTTAGATTTAGGAAATTCTCAGCAGAGCATCCGAGGGGCTTTTGAAAAATTCAATTCTTTAGACGCTCATGAAGAAATCAGGGATTTCCTCAGGTAAATATTTTCTTCCCTTTTCCATTGTTTTGTTGAAAGGATGATTAAGAAAATAGGGCCGGTAATCACTGAAAAACGGCAGCTGCTTTCTAGCTTTGTGCTGGTGAACAGGGCTTGTGACAGTTTCTCTGAAAGGGGAATAAAGTGATAAAACAAGGATCTCCTGGAGAGAGAGCTGCAGAATCAATTCTCTGTTTGTGGAGAAAGCGCTGGGTGTTTGAGAAAGAGAGATGCTTCGTTGGAGTCGCCGCATCGCATTTGGTTGTATATAGATTACAAAGGTAGAAAACAGTCGGTTGGTCTTATTCACTGTCTGGGGCAGTGGCTCTGAGGTTGGTCACGTGACCAGCTCATACAGAAGCGGTTCCCAGCACTATCTTAGCATCATATGTTCTTATTGAATAAAACTAAACTGGTTCTCCTTCCTTGTGGCTGCTCTTCAAGTAATCAGGTGCCACTGTTTTTATCTGTTTATATTTCTATCTATCTATCATCTATTATGTATCTATCATCTATCTATCTATCTATCTATCTATCTATTCGGCTTTAAAATTTTTGTGAAATACAGTTCTATTATCTCATATTTTCATATTTTTTAAACTCATGACTTTCTAAGTGATACATCATTAGAGACTTGTCTTAAATCTAGCGCAAAATGTGTTAACATTTTCTTCAAATACCAGTAACTATGGTCTCCTGAACTAAAAGAACAGTTCATTTACAGAATGAGTCATTTTTCTGAAAAACCTGCCACCACACCTCCTGGTTTTTTTTTTTTTTTTTTTTTTAATTGTGCTGTTTTGTGTTTTTTGGCAAACATCTGTGCCTATGAAAGCTTTCAATATATCTCATTGTGGCTGGACCAGGTATTTTCTAGTTTGCCAATCCATAACTCTCCTGAGACATTATTATTTGTCCTTTGCAGTTGCATTTGAAGAAAATTTCCTACCTACTTGATGATAAAGCCAAATCAATCAATCAGTTGTCAGTCAAACATTTATTCATGTGCATTATATATGCTCTGCATCAAATAGTTACCAGGGTTGGGGGAAGACAGTTTCAAAGAAGATAAATATCACCCTTGGTGTTTATCCTGTATCTCCCACCCACATTTATCAAATAATTACAAAACATTATCAACAGCACAAAATGAAGTGCCAAATTTCAAGCTTCAGATTACGGGTGAGGTTGAAGTGGCCATAGAGCTACCATTCAGGAGAGCCCATTGTGCACGGGGAACTAAGTCAACCACTTTGCGATCATCTTATTTTATTCTCTCAATAGCCCTTATTTTACATATGAAGAAAGAGAAACTTACAGAGGGGGCTAAGTGCCCAGTGTCATAATGCTGACGAGTCGTAGACACAATGCTCAAATCTTTAATGCACCCAACCTTTACGAGGCTGAGGCTGGAGAATCATTTGAGGATAGGAGATCAAGACCATCCTGGGCAACATAGCAAGATCCATCTATTAAAAAAATTATTTTTAAAGGAAAATGCACCTAAGAAGAAGTGGTCCCTGGGCAGGGTGCCAAAGGGTGTTCAAGTATTCAAATGGCCAGGAGGAGCAGTGTGCAGGTGAGGAACAGGTTGGAAGGGTCCAGGGTGTCTGGGAGACAGTGCAACAGTGCATGCCCTGATGAGAGGTAAAAAGGAAGTGCTAGGTGAAGAGAGGTGGAGGGAGGTGGGCCCAGAAGTCGCCCTATGAGGAGGGTGGAGCCAGGTTCTGATGAATGCTGCTCTGAGCCATCTGTCTGTTTTGTGCTTCCTTCTTCTCTGCTGGGAGGCTTTTTTTTTTTTTTTTTTTTTTTTTTTTTGACAGTGTCTCGCTCTGTCGCCCAGGCTGGAGTGCAGTGGCACGATCTTGGCTCATTGCAACCTCCACCTACTGGGTTCAAGCGATTCTCCTCCCTCAGCCTCCCAAGTAGCTGGGATTACAGGCGCCTGCCACCACGCCCGGTTGATTTTTGTATTTTTAGTAGAGACAGGGTTTCACCATTTTGGCCAGGCTGGTCTTGAACTCCTGACCTCAGGTGATCCACTGGCTTTGGCCTCCCAGAGTGCTGGGATTACAGGCATGAGCCACTGCACCCGGCTCTGGGAGGCTTTTTGCGTACCTCACCGAGGTTTCATATCCTCCCGCATCAGGTCTTTGCCCAAATCTCCACTCATTTGTGAGGCTTTCTTTGACCCTCCTATTCAAAGAGAACCCCATGACCACCTTCATTGACTCTCCTTAAAAATTGTGACAAAATACATATAATATATAATTTACCATTTTAACCATTTGTAAAGTGTACAGTGCAGTGATATTTCATACTGTACATTCACGATGTCATGCAACCATTGCCACTGTCTAGATCTAGAGCATTTCATCACCCAGAAAGGAAACCCTCTGCCCATTAAGCAGTCACGCCCCATTATCCTCTTTCCCAAGCTCCAGGGAACCCCTGAGCTGCATTTCATCTCTATGGATTTTTTTTTTTTTTTTTTTGAGATGGAGTCTCGCTCTTTTGCCCAGGCTGGAGTTCAGTGGTACAATCTTGGCTCACTGCAACCTCTGCCTCCCGGGTTCAAGCAATTCTCCTGTCTCAGCTTCCTGAGTAGCTGGGATTACAGGCATGTGCCACCACGCCTGGCTAATTTTTTTATTTTTAATAGAGATGGGGTTTCATCATGTTGGCCAGGCTGGTCTCGATCTCCTGACTTCAGGTGATCCACCCATGTCGGCTTCCAAAAGTGCTAGGATTACAGGCATGAGCCACCGTGCCCAGTCTGGATATTTCATATAAATGAAATCATACATTATGTGACTTTTTGTGTCTGGCTTATTTCACTTAGCATTGTAATTTTTTTCGTTTGTTTAAATTTAATTTTTCTAAAGAGACAGGGTCTCACTGTGTTGCTGAAGCTGGAGTGCAGTGGCACAATCATAGCTCCCTGCAGGCAGCTTTGAACTCCTAGGCTCAATCGATCTTCCTGTCTCAGTCTCCTGAGTAGCTTGGATGACAGGTGCATGCTGTTGTACCCAGCTAATTTTTTTTTTAAATTTTTTGTAGAGACAGGGTCTCATTTTGTTGCCCAGGCTGGTCTTGAACTCCTGGCTTCAAGTGATCCTCCTACATCAGCCTCCCAAAGTGCTGGGATTATAGGTGTGAGCCACTGCTCCCAGCCCAGCATCATATTCTTAATGTTTGTCCATGAGGTAGCCTGCATCGGTCCTCCATTCTGTTCTACGGCTGAATGATAGTCCATTGTGTGTATATATCACATTTTGTTTATGCTTTATCAGTTCATGGTGATTTGAGTTGTTTCCACCTTTCAGTCATTGTGAATAGTGCTGCCATGAGCATGGGTGGACAAGTTTTCACTTAAACCCATATTTTCAGCTCTTTGGGGGCATCTACCTGGGAGTGGAATTGCTGGATCATATGGTGAGTCTATGTTTAACTTTTTGAGGAACTGCCAAACTATTTTCCACAGCAGCTGCACTATTTCACATTCCCACCAGCACTGTAGGAAGGTTCCAATTTCTCCACATTCTTGCCAAAAGTTATTTTCCGGTTATTTTTATGATCGCCATCCTACTGGGTGTGAAGTGTGAGCTCACTGTGGATTTGAATCACATTTCCCTCATGACTAATGACACGGAGCCTCTTTTTATTTGTTTGTTGGCCATTTGTCCAGTCATTCACTTTGTATTTCCTTTATCTGGCTTTATTTTTCTTTATACATAGCTTTATGATTTATCATGTCATGTCACATCACATTTTTACTTATTTAAATGAATAAATAAAATGTAACGTATCTCCTCCTAGGACTATGAAAGCCTCATGAAGACAGAGATTCTGTCTACTATTGCATCTCAGTACTTAGGACTGTGTTCATCACTGTGGGAACTCAATATGTATTTGCAGAATAATTGAAGAGCAAATTATGGTTATTCCCCAGCCCTGGGCCTAAGGTCTCTCCAATCTTCAGATGGGTCAATGGTGGGACAGGATTGCTTGAGGCCAGGAGTTAGAGACCAGTCTGGGCAACATAGCAAGACCCCATCTCTAAAAAAAATTTTTTTGAAGAAAATGCACCCAAGAAGAAGTAACCCCTGGGCTGGGTCCCGAAGGGCTGTCAGGCACTCAAATGGCCAGGAGGAACAGTGTACAGGTGAGGAACAGGGTGGAAGGTCCAGAGTGAGTGGAGAGCCACAGCTGGTCCAAACATCAGCAGGCCCATACATCAGGGGTCCATACATCAACCAGTCCATATATCAGGTCGGGGGTAGAGGCATACATCAGCATGTTCACCCATTAGCTGGTCTATACATCAGGGGTCTATACATCAGCTGCCCCATACATCAGTTAGTCCATACCTAAGTGGGTGCATACATTAGCTGGTCCATACATCAGGGGGTCCATACATCAACCAGTCCATATATCAGGTTGGGAGAGAGGCATACATCAGGATGTTCACACATCAGCTGGTCTATACATTGGGGTCTATACATCAGCTGGCCCATATATCTGTTAGTGCATACCTGAGTGGGTGCATACATCAGCTGGTCCATACATCAGTGGGTCCATACATCAACTGGTCCATATATTGGTGGGTCACTCATCAGGAGGTTCACACATCAGTGGTCTATATACCAGGGGTCCATACATCAGCTGCTCCATATATCAGGGGTCCATACATCACCTGGCCCATACATCAGCTGGTTCCTATATCAGAGGAGGCATACATCAGGAGGTTCACACATCAGCTGGTCCATACATCAGTGCGTCCATATGTCAACTGGCCTATACATCAGCGGGTCCATACATCAGCTGTCCTATACATCAGGGAGTCCATACATCAGCTAGTCCATATATCGGGGAGGGCATACATCAGGAGGTTCACACATCAGCTGGTCCATACATCAGGGGTCCATACACCAACAGGTCCATACATTAGCCGGTCCATACACCAGCTGGTCCACACATCAGCTGGTCTATACATCAGCTGGCTCATATATCAGGGAGTCCATACATCATCTGGTCCATGCATCAGTGAGCCAATACATCAATGAGTCCATACATCAGCTGGTCTATACATCAGCTGGCCCATACCTCAGGGGTCCATACATCAGGAGGTTCACACATCAGCTGGACCATACATCAATGGTCCATACATCAGCAGGTCCATACATCAGCGGGTCCATACATCAGCTGCACACATCAGCTGGTCTATACATCAGCGGGGAGTCTATACATCATCTGGTCGATACATAAGTGAGTCCATACATCCATGGGTTTATACATCAATTGGTCCATATATTGGGGGGTCATATATCAGGAGCTTCACACATCAGTGGTCCATACATACATCAGGGGTCCATATATCAGCTGGCCCATATATCAGGGGGTCCATACATGAGCTGGTCCATACACAGGGGGGTCTACATATCAGCTGGTCCATATATCAACTGGTCCATACATCTGCTGGTCTCTAGATCAGCTAGTTCATAAACCAGGGGGTCCACACATCAGCTGGTCCATACATCAGGTGGTTCATACATCAGCAGGTCCATACATCAAGGGGCCCATATATCAAGAAGTCCATATATCAGGGAGTCCATACATCGGGGGCCTATACCATATTATTTATCCTCCCCACATCCCGCCGATGCTGCCATGGCAAATCATAGTATCCTTCCACCATCCACCCAACCCTTGGATTGTGGGGATGGAGGCTGGAGCAGCAAAACAATTATTTGGATAATCAAGGTTTGAGATAGTGAGAACCAGAACTCAGAAGCCACAAGGAGAGCAGAGTGACAGGGACAGACAGGAGAGAGACACGGAAGGAAAAAAAAGCAACAAGATTGGGTGACTGGCTGGTTGAAACAACAGGGGCTTGAGCTGAAGACAGGGCCACAGGCATCCATCAAAGATAACTTCAAGTTTTGAACTTGGAAGTCTGGGGAAATGGTGGCACCATTAACTAGATAGGGACATTAGGAGTAGGAAAAAGGGAAGGCTTGCTTTCTATTTGAGAAGAAAACAAGAGAGTGAAAGGTCCTTAATGAACCAAGCCTAGACATGCATTTCAGAGAGTCTGTGATGATGCCCCTGGTACAGGCAGCCTCAAGAATCTACTGTGGCTTCTTTGTCCCATCAAGGCCAATTCCGCTCCGCCAATCGTAGTCTCCCTGCTTGGTTGAGAAGTGGACAGAATGGCCTCAATGCACACAGACAGATTATCAAGATAACCAAGCATGGGGGCTGGGGAGGGGCAGCCTGAGGACGAGGGAAGATGCTGGGTGCCAGGGCGTGCAGCGGAGAGCAGCTCTGTGGCCCTCTGTCTCCAACTCAGGCTCCCGTTGTTTCAACCAGCAAGTTGGGCCAAGGACTCCAAGCTCCACCTCCTACAGATTCAGGACAGAGAAAAGTCTACTCTTTAAATGTTCACTGTGCAACATACTTACAAAAACTTGCCAAAAGCATGTGAGAGCTACTTTTTCCTTTTTTTTTTTTTTAATCTTGAGCACGTAGAAGGGGCCCTTATATTTCACAGGGATTTTCTCTTCCATGGGTGTGTAGGCTGAAATGTAAGTTTACGAAGAAGGCATTTGTTAGCTAGGCTGGAGAATTCTGACTTAAAGAAGAAGCATGTAGTGGCTGAAATCTCCTCCCACGGACTTAGTGAAAACTCTAGTGAGGGGATGATCACTGCCATCATTTCTTTCTGGCTTTGGATACTGCCAGGCTGCTCATGTGTGACAACTAAATGTTGGGATATCTTCAATGAATGAACAATGAACAATGAACGATGGGATATCTTCTCCTTATAAGCCCCTCACTCTGAGTGTGTACTGTGGTTCTGTTCCTGCAATCTTTCTGATAAAATTCTCGTCGCCCCATTGCAAAGCAGTGTTCCCAAACTCAAGGCTATGTGGATGCCTATCCCTCTGCAATTCTGAGCTTGAATAAAGAGAAAGCCTTGGAGAGCCAAGTTCACTTTCCTGACACCATGACAACCACCCCTGATAACGCCATCACTCTTTTTTTTTTTTTTAATATGGAGTTTCGCTCTTGTCACCCAGGTTGGAGCATAATGGCATGATCTCAGCTCACTGCAACCTCCACCTCCCAGGTTCAAGTGATTCTCCTGCCTCAGCTTCCCAAGTAGCTGGGATTACAGGTGTGCACCACCACGCCCGGCTAATTTTGTATTTTTAGTAGAGACGGGGTTTCACCATGTTGGCCAGGCGGGTCTCAAACTCATGACCTCAAGTGATCCACCTGCCTGGGCCTCCCAAAGTGCCGGGATTACAGGAGTGAGCCACCGCACCCGGCCACCATCATTCTTAAGATAGGGCTCCTGACATATTTCTGGAACATAACCTACTGACTAAGGTATCCTAGACAGAAAAGGGGCATTCCAGGATAGGGGTGCATATTTTATTAGACACTATGGCCATTTTTTTTTAAGTTTTAAGGTAGCTGTTCTTTAGGCAATTGAAAAGGAAGTAAGTTTCATCTTAATTCTGAAATGATGGGGCTTCAGGATTGACTTCCTTGGATAATGTGTTTTCCGATTTCATTCAATCATGCATTAATTTAGATACCTCATCATGTTACTTGAAAGGGGTCCCAATCCAGACCCCAAGAGAGGGTTCTTGGACCTCATGCAAGGAAGACTTCAGGGCGAGTCCATAGAGTAAAGTGAAAGCAAGTTTATTAAAGAAGTAAAGAAACAAAAGAATGGCTACTTCATAGGCAGAGCAGTGGCGACGGCTGCTCAACTGATTGTACTTATCGTTACCTCTTGATTATTTGCTAAACAAAGGGTGGATTATTCATGAGTTTTCCAGGAAAGGGGTGGGCAATTTCCAGAACTGAAGTGTCCTCCCCTTTTTAGATCATATAGGGTAACTTCTGGATATTGCCATTGCATCTGAAAACTGTCATGGCACTGGTGGGAGTGTCTTCTAGCATGCCAATGCAGTATAATTAGCATATAATGAGCAGCAAGGATGACGAGAGATCCCTTTCATCGCCATCTTGGTTTTGGCGGGTTCTGGCTAGCTTCTTTACCTCATGCTGTTTTATCAGCAAGGTCTTTGTGACCTGTATCATGTGACCTCCTATCTCATCCTGTGACTTACAGTGCCTAACCTACTGGAAATGCAGCCGAGTAGGTCCCAGCCTTATTTTACCTAGCCCCTATTCAAGATGGAGTCGCTCTGGTTTAAACATCTCTGACAATCAAATGAGTATTTGTGTAAGCCCACTGAAAACTCATCAACAGTCCCATGGGGAGGGATGTGCAAGGCTCTGTCCCAATTCTCCAGTGTTAATAAAGAATCAGGACTGCCATGGGACAGTAAGTGACAACAGAAGAGAAATGCACAGAAAGCAGTGCTGTGAGGACAGGCATGCAGGGCTGCCTGCACCCAGCCGTGGTCTCCCTACATTTGAGCTGGCAGCCTTCTTCTTGGCATGCCCAGCCAGGAGGATAATAATTGAGAAATCAAATGGGGAAATGGGCACTTTGCAAGGCATTTAAGCTCAAAGAACTACAACGGGCCAGGCATGGTGGCTCACTCCTGTAATCCCAGCACTTTAGGAGGCTGAGGTGGGCAGATCACCTGAGGTCAGGAGTTCAAGACCAGCCTGGCCAACATGGTGAAACTCTGTCTCTACTAAAAATACAAAAATTAGCTGGGCATAGTAGCATGCACCTGTAACCCCAGCTACTCAGGAGGCTGAGGCAGCAGAATCGCTTGAACCCAGGAGGCAGAGGTTGCGGTAAGCCGAGATAGTGCCACTGCACTCCAGCCTGGGTGACAAAGCACTACAACGTTCATCCAAACTAATCTTCTGTGCTACTCTAGGCTTCACAGTGACAAAGTTCTACAGGGACACATCTGCCTTTTTGCGTTGTACTTTTTTTTTTTTTAAGAGACAAGGTATTGCTCTGTTGCCCAGTGCAGTGGTGCCATCATAACTCACTGCAGTCTCCAACTCCTGGGCTCAAGCAATCCTCCTGTCTTAGCCTCCCAAGTAGCAGGGACTACAGGCACACACCATCATGCCCAGTTAATTTTTTATATTTTTTATTTTTTGTAGAGATGGGGTCTTGCTGTGTTGCCCAGACTGATCTTGAACTCCCGGCATCAAGTGATCCTCCCATCTCAGCATCCCAAAGTGCTGGGATTACAGGTGTGAGCCAATGCCCCCAGCCTGCATCTCTTTAAAATAATAAATGATGTCTAAAGCATAATCTATAACCGTGGTTCTATGGCTCTGGAATTGTGAAGGAACAAATATTGGTTGGGGTCTTAGTACTTGAAGATATTTTATCCTGAAGGGAGTGCTGTGTTCCTTCCTAGACGTGATCACTAGGAAATAAATGCTTGGAAGAGTTAGCAGAGTTACATTAATGCTGGGTCTTAACCAATTCAGAATATAGGATGCAAAATCACCATTTTAGATCTTTACACATAAATTGTAAAATCAGCTTTTGATGTTTTACACTTATCAAAAGCAGTCGTGTCAATTAATGTCAATGCTAATTTATCATAGCAGATGATAAAAAATAACACATTGGCAGTAGGCTTTGACAAGCATTATGTGAATTATTTTACAATAGCCTTATTTTTCTGATTCTTAATTTTCTGAAACTAATATGAAAATTATGTTGCATTATTTCAGTACATGCAAACAAAAACTGAGGATTTGGACTAGAAAATAGGCAGAAAGGGTTGGGTTTGTGGTTCACACCTGTAATTCCAGCACTTTGGGAGGCCGAGGCAGATGAATCATCTGAGGTCAGGAGTTCGAGACCAGGCTGGCCAACATGGTGAAACCGTGTCTCTACTAAAAATACAAAAATTAGCTGGGTGTGGTGGCACGTGTCTGTAATCCCAGCTACTCGGGAGGCTGAGGCAGGAGGATCACTTGAACCCAGGAAGCAGAGGTTGCAGTGAGCAAGAGAGCAATACTCCATCTCAAAAAAAAAAAAAAGAAAGAAAGAAAAGAAAACAGACAGAGAGAAAGGAGCCCCTTAGGGATTGAATGTCACAGTTGCAAGGCTGGTGACAGCACAGTCAATCTCTGCCTTTGTCTTCTTTTCATCTTTTTAGATATCTGCCATTATAGGGATGTTGAAAAATTATTTTCACCTCTCTCATGCATACCTGTCTCAAAGAAATCATTGCCAACTGGATTTAGTAATACAGGGCAGGACAGCAGCTCAGTGAAGAGGGTGCATTTAGGAATAAAAGTGACCTAGATGTTCCTACAACCTGCCTCTTTCTAGCAAGTAACTCAAGCTTTCAAACTCATTTCCTGATCTGTAAAGTAAAAATAATAAAAGCTCCTAGCCTGCAGGAATGTTGTGACAATTAAGTGAGCTAATGTATGCAAAGCTCTTAGCACATTCAATCAATGCTAACTATTATTATCACAGGTAACATGTGAATAACAGAATTGAGCTACCATTTTTCAGCCAACCCCCAACCCTCCGCTCTTCTCTCTTCTCTAAGTTTAATTGTAAAACACAGTTCATTTAAAAAACAAACAAACAAACAAACAAACAAAAACAAAAAACTTTTGACAAGCATATGTTTTTAATTTTCAAATAATTTCAACTTTTTTTATTTTAGATTCAGGGGCTACATATGCACAGGTTTGTTACATGGGTGTATTGTGGGATGCTGAGGTTTGGGGTGTGGATGGTCCCATCACCCAAGTAGTGAGCATAGTACCCAACAGGTAGCTGTTCAACCCTTGCCCTCCTCCCTGGACGCTCTAGTGGTCCCCAGTGTGTCTATTGTTCCTATGTTTATGTCCACGAGCACTCAATGTTTAGCTCCCACTTATAAGTGAAAACATATTTGGTTTTCTGTTCTTGCATTAGTTTGTTTAGGACAATGACCTTCCGCTGCATCCATGTGGTTGCAAAGGATGTGATTTCATTCTTTCTTATGGCTGCATAGTGTTCCATGGTGTATATGTACCACATTTTCTTTATCAATCCACTGTTGATGGGCACCTAGGTTGATTCCATGTATAAACCACAGCTCTAATAAAGTTACTCTTCTGCTCAAAAACCTGCTACTGAATCAAATCCAAACTCCCTTAACACAGCATGTAAAGCCCCTTGTGAAATTGCTTCACTCTCCCTCCCACCTGCAACCCTCTCAGGACTTACGCTCCACGACCTCTGAAATCATTTTCCTTTTCCTGAATGAGCCACATGCCCCCAGGCCTCTGTAAGTTAACTTCTCAGTTTCCTCTTTCTAGGAACTTTTTCCTCCCTCTCTGCCTTCAGGCTAGTTCCAACCAGAACTATTCAAACTAGAGTTCAATTCTTTTGGTGTATCCCCATGATACTTTCTTTGTGCCTTTGCCATAGCACTTACCACTCTCCCATTGAACTGCATTTCCTGTGTTATATGGCAAAATTAAAATAATACAAAAAATTAGCCAAGCGTGATGGTGCATGCCTGTAATCCCAGCTACTCGGGAGGCTGAGGTAGGAGAATCGCTTGAACCCAGGAGGCGGAGGTTGCAGTGAGCCAAGATTGCGTCATTGCACTCCAGCTTGGGCAACAACACAAAACTCTGTCCAAAAAAAAAAAAAAAAAGAAAAATTGACTCACTAACTGTTTATTATCAGTAGGTTATTATAGTAGCAATAGAGAAAGGGCTTATTTGGGATCAAAAGAACTGGCTGTGAGTGTGTGTGGGTGTGTGTGTGTGTGTGTATTTATACATAAATATACAGGCATTTCCTCATTTACTTTAATATTTGAACAGGTATTTTCTTATCTATTTTAACATCAATTTTAACATTTAACATTTATTTTAACATTTGACATACAACGTTTGAAGTTCCTTCCAACTCTTAAGTGTATGAATCTGAATTATTTGCCTTTATCTCCTTACATACATCTTTAAATATTATGGCAAAAGAACAACCAGGATTGCCGGATCATATGATAATTCTACTTTTAATTTTTGAGGAACAACCGTACTGTTTTTTGGTAGTCCTATTTTTGGGTATATATCTCAAAGAATTGAAGTCAAGATCTTGAAGTGATAGCTTTACTCCCATGTTCACTGAAGCACTATTCACAATAGCTAAGATACAGAAACAACCTAAATGTCCCTCAGGAGATGAATGGGCAAGGAAAATGTGGTCTATGCACACAGTGGAATATTACCCAGCATTAAAAAAGGCGAAAATCTTGCCATATGCAACAATATGAACTGGGAGGATGTTATGCTAAGAGAAATCAGTCATATGGTTTGGCTGTGTCCCCACCCAAACCTCATCTTCAATTGTAGGTCCCATAGTTCCCATGTGTCATGGGAGGGACCTGGTAAGAGGTAATTGAATCATGGGGGTGGGTCTTTTCCATGCTGCTGTCAAGATAGTGAATAAGTCTCATGAGGTCTGATGGTTTCATAAAGGGGAGTTCCCCTGCACATGCCCTCTTGCCTGCTGCCATGTAAGACGTGACTTTGCTCTTCATTTGCCTTCTGCCACGATTATGAGGCCTCCCCAGCCATGTGGAACTGTGAGTCCATTAAATCTCTTTCCTTTATAAATTATCCAGTCTTGGGTATGTGTTTATTAGCAGTGTGAGAACAAACTAATACAATAAGCCAGGCACCGAAGGGCAAATACTGTATGATTCTGCTTATATAAGGAATCTAAAATAGTCAAACTCATAGAAGCAGAGAGTAGCATGGTGGTTGGCAGGGTTTGGGGTAGAAAGCGGAAGGTGTTGTTTAACAGGTATAAATGTTCAGTTTTGCAAGATGAGTAAGTTCTAGAGATCTGCTGTGCAACATTATGCCTATAAGTTAATATTGTAATGTGCACTTAAAAATGTAAGAGGGTAGACTGGGTGCAGTGGCTCACGCCTGTAATCCCAGCACTTTGGGAGGCTGAGGCAGATGAATCATCTGAGGTCAGGAGTTTGAGACCAGGCCGGCCAGCATGGTGAACCCTCTCTCTACTAAAAATACAAAAATTAGCCGGACATGGTGGTAAGCACCCACTGTGATCCCAGCTAATTGGGAGGCTGAGGCAGGAGAATTGCTTGAACCCAGGAGGTGGAGGTTGCAGTAAGCCAAGATCATACCACTGCACTCCAGCCTGGGCGACAGAGCAAGAGTTTGTCTCAAAAAAAGAAAAAACATTAAGAAGGTATGTTAAGATCTTACGTAAAGTGTTCTTACCACAATAAAATAATAATAAAAATCATAACCAGGATTCTGTCGTCTAGAGCCACAGAAAATTGACTAGGTGGGAGATGAGTTGTGGAGTGGTCTGAAGGGTAGAGTACTAGCTTACCCTCTGGCCCTCACTGACATTTCCCAGGCAAAGACCACACTGGCATCTGCTCATTACTTCAGTCCCACCCCTGAGGTCAGAAGGTTGAAGCTTTCCTGTTCTTCATTGCAACACTGTACATGTATGTTAGAACCTTGCCCACAGTAGACACCATGCAAATGTCTCTAAGTGAATGAGTGGATAATCTCCCCTTTCACTGAAACACAGCAAAGTGAAGATAAGATTTCTTAAGATGTTTATGACAGGATTTTATGCTTAAAAGACTATGAACCAAAAATAAAATTCCAAGCCCCCCAACCACCTGAATGGACCCCTCCTCTCAGCCACAGGCATTCTAAAGTTAGCCTGAGCCGGGCGTGGTGGCTCAGGCCTGTAATCCCAGCACTTTGGGAGGCCAAGGCAGGTGGATCACTTGAGGTCATGAGTTCAAGACCAGCCTGGCCAACATAGTGAGACCCTGTCTCTAACAAAAAATTAATAATAATAAAATAAATAAATAAGTTAGCCTGAAAAACTAGTTTCATGCCATGATAGGAAAGGAGGGTCAGACATGCCTCATGACACCCTCCTCCCTTTTGGAATTACTAATAAAACAGACTCTTTTTTTGAGACTGAGTCTCGCTCTGTCACCCAGGCTGGAGTGCAGTGGTGTGATCCCAGCTCACTGCAACCTCCACCTCCCAGTTTCAAGAAATTCTCCTGCTTCAGCCTCCCGAGTAGCTGGGATTACAGGAATGGGCCACCACGCCCAGCTATATTTTTTGTATTTTTAGTAGAGACAGGGTTTTGCCATATTGGCCAGGCTGGTCTCAAACTCCTGACCTTGTGATCCACCTGCCTTGGCCTCCCAAAGTGCTGGATTACAGGCATGAGCCATCGCACCCAACCAGAACAGACTCTTTAAATCTGATAAGAAACATTTATAATCTATTCTCTCTGAAGCTTGCTACCTGAAGGCTTCCTCTGCATGATAAAACCTTGATCTCCATAACTCGTTATCTTAACCCAGACATTCCTTTTTATTGATAATAACTCTTTCAACCAATTGCCAGTTAGAAAATCTTTGAATCTGCCTGACTTGGAAGTCCCACTTCCAGTTATCCCACTTCTCTGGCTGAACCAATGAACATCTTACAAGTATTGACTGATGTCTCATGTCTCCCTAATATGTATAAAACCAAGCTGCACCCTGACTACCTTGGGCACATGTTCTCAGGATCTCCTGAGGGCTGTGTCAGGGGCCATTGGTCACTCATATTAGTCCTAATTACCCTCTCTAAATCCAATCAAGTCATTATGCCTCAGGCTTTGTTTAAGAATAAAGTAGAATAGGCCAGGGTCGGGTGGCTCACACCTGTAATCCCAGCACTTTGGGAGGCCGAGGTGGGCAGATCACCTGAGGTTCGGAGTTCGAGACCAGCGTGGCCAACTTGGTGAAACCCCATCGGTACTACAAATACCAAAAAATTAGCTGGGTGTGGTGGTGGGTGCCTGTAATACCAGCTACTTGGGAGGCTGAGGCAGGAGAATTGCTTGAACCCAGGAGGCGGAGGTTGCAGTGAACCGAGATCGCGTCACTGCACTCCAGCCTGGGCGACAGAGTGAGATCTGTCTCAAACAACAACAACTACAACAAAAACCCTCAAACAAAACAAGAACAACAAAAAGAATAATTCAGAATAAATAAATCTCTTCAAATATTTTAGAGTTCGACTCTTTGTTAACAAAACAGAGTCATAATTTCCACCAAGAATATCAACCCTTCTCTATGTTATAAATAAAGTTTCAGTGCCGTAAAAGAAATAGCACTTGAATGTAAAATTTTATTTTTAATTCTCAGCAAGGCAAGCTACTTCTATAGAAGGGTGCGCCTTTACAGATGGAGCAATGGTGAGCAGCACACTTGGACAAGGGAGGGGAAGGGGTTCTTATCCCTGACACACATGGCCCCTGCTGCTGTGTCCTTCCCCTGTTGGCCAGGGTTAGACCGCACAGGCTAAACTAATTCCGATTGGCTAATTTAAAGAGAGTGACTGGGTGAGTGGTTTGGTGGGAGAAATGGTTATGCAGGATGGAGAATGAGTCAGGGCAGAGCAGGTAGCAGGTAATCGGAATGAGTTAGAGTGGAGCCGGTAATCGCAATGAGTCAGGGTGGAGCAAGTGATTGAAATGAGTCAGGGTGGAGGAGGTAATCGAAAAAGGTTACTTTACGAGGAAGTTAAGTTTACAAGTAGAAGACAAAGAATTGAACATATACTGACATATTGATTCTTTGAAAAGAAATTTAGAACTCATATCTAACATCTGTTTTAGTATAAATTCAGATTTTTTCATTGTATATGGCATTTGGCATAAAGATTATTTGTAGATCCTGTCATTATTTAAAATTATATTATATATATTCATATGTTTATTATACCCCTTCCTGTTAAATATAATCTCCATGAGGACAGGGATTTTTTTTTCATCTTATTATTCATGCTGTTTCCCTAGCACAGTGCCTGGAACATAATAAGTGCTTCACAAACACTTACTAAAGAGGAGAGTTATTTATATCAAGAAATTGGTACTAAATAAAGTCTATTAGAAAGAGAAAATTATTTAACTAGATAAGAAACTCATTCTAAAGAAAACAAAGTCTGAGGCATAATGACTTGATTGGATTTAGGGAGGGTAATTAGGACTAATGGGAGTTTTACCCCTGATTCTTTAGGAATGAGACAGAAAATGAGAAGTTAGGAATAAATCCCCTGAAGGCTTTGGAAATAATTAACTGAGATCTTTCTTTTGCAATGATGTCTTATGTTTCAAAGATGAGGTGTAAGATGAGTTGGGATTATGTTTACGTTTCATTTTCCCCACTTTTAAATAATTTTCTTTAAAAGAGAATAAGAAATAGATTCACAGTTTAGAGAAAGTCTATGGAAAAAATAATAGAAAAATCCTGGGTGAAGGATAAACTACGAATTTCAAAAGATAATGCAGCTATCTAAGTAATAGACACCTAAGTAATTGGTAGCAAGTAAATAAGGAGCTCAGAGGCTATCAGATAAACCAAGTGAAGGAAACTGAAAAAACCAAGGCGAGTACATTGCCAAGAAAAGAACCACAGATGTGATTCAGCTTGCAACATGAGCTCCAAAGGTTTAAAAAAAATCAGGAAGTTTTTGGGGGACGATGTAGTAAGTGGAGCAAACAAAGGAGAAGTGGGTGGAATTTTAAGGTTGAAGATTTCATGATAATAAGTTATTGGACAGTAAGAACTTTGGAATGGCACTCAAAGAGAATATGAGTCATCCTAAAGCTTAAAGAGATTTTTTAGGAAGATGTGAAAGTGTTAGGGATTGGAGGACACTTGTCATGTCGAAAATCTTAGAAATAAACTGGAGTTCATTCATTCTTTCATTTTGCATTTATTGAGCACAATCCAGGAACTGAGGACACAAAAGCAAATGAATCAGGCCAAACACCATCCCAGCTTTCTTGGAGTTTACAGATGAATAAATCAGTTCATCTCACTGATGCACGAGTATATTCAAGTAGGTATTTGCTGGGAAGAAATGCAGGGCGAAGAGTGACTAACAAAGAAACCAGGCCTAGATGTGGTGGGGATGGGTTGGGGATTCAGGGGGCCTTCCAAGGAACACACTTGAGCTGAGATCTGAGGGTGCCTAGGAGCCAGCTGGGGGAGAAACAGGGGTAGCATGGAAGAAACCTTCTAGATAGAAGTCCTGTGGAGGAAGGATCACGGCACCTTCAGGAAGCAGAAGGACGATCAGCCTAGCTAGAGAACAAAGAGTCAGGAGAAGTCATATAAACTGAGGCAGGAGCTGTGGGCAAAGCTACTTTAGGCAGACCCGAGGGTCGCAGGAGTTATTTCTCCCAAGAACAAAAGGACATCACAAGGTGCTATTAGGGAGGGACTGAGACGTGACCAGCAGCTGGACTCTCCAGATAACCAAAACTCACCCATTTGGCAGCAATACCGTCCATATTTTACCACCTTTGATGGCCAGAAGTCTGGATTAGGGTTGCTCATTTTCCCTCTATCCCTTCCTGGAGCCTCTGTGGTTGAACTCTTGACGTTTCCTTGATGACTTTGAGGTATAAAGGCTGCTTATCCTTGGGCTCAGGAATCCCAGGCTGTTTTTCTCCTTTGAGTCTTGTTTCCTTTTCAAACTTTTTCATTTCTGGAGGGTGCTGCCATTGTACCCGTGTCTCTTTTCTTTCCTTTATTTATTTATTTATTTTTTGAGACGGAGTTTCCATCTGTCGCCCAGGCTGGAGTGCAGTGGGGCAATCTCGGCTCACTGCAAACCTGCGACTTCCGCCTCCTGGGTTCAAGCAATTCTCCTGTCTTAGTCTCTCGAGTAGCTGGGACTACAGGCCCACTACAGTGCACCACTACGCCTGGCTAATTTTGTATTTTTAGTAGATGCAGGGTTTCACCATGTTGGTCAGGCTAGTCTTGAACTCCTGACTCAGGTATCTGCCTACCTCAACCTCTCAAAGTGCTGGGATTATAGGCATGAGCCACTGCACCAGGCCCTGCGTCTCTTTTCTAATTGGATGCATCTGATATGCTGTAGGATGAAAAATAGAAAACTCAATGAATTGGCTTCCTTTGAGCTTTAGAGTGTGGGCTTTATGGTGCCTTGGGGGCCTTTGACATTTCCTCCTTTGTCCCACTAATACCCCAGGCTGCAGGGGGCTTAGAGTAAGCACCAGCTGGTATCTGTGCTGCTCAATACGGTGGCCACTAGCCACATGTGGCTATTTAATTTTAATTATTTAAAATTAAATAAAGTTAAAATTCAGCCCTTAGTTATGCTAGCTGCACGTGGCCAGTGCCCACCATATTAGACAGTGCAGATTTGGTTTGAGCATTTCTATTGCTGTAGGAAGTGCCATGGGCAGTACAGTCTTAGAGTACTGTGGATAGGATGGTCTACATTATTGTCATTGATGCTGTTGAGCATCATTTGACAGCAACTCCAGGCATGCTCCAAATACAGAACTGGATGTGGCCTTTCTTATTCTGCTAAGCTTACAAAAATACATCCTGTAACTTATTCCTTTCAGAATTGTTATAATTACTGTAATGCTATTGAAGAAATGCTCAGAGATCTATTTCCAGCAGAGAAATGGACTCGAAGCTAATTAAAATTCTACATTTGCTCACTGGAAAATTTGAGCTCTTGCTGGATTCACCTTCCCACACTGTCTCCAAATAGAATACAAGTCACACACGTGTCGTGCAGCCTTAATCTATTTGAGACATTCCATGACGCCACCTGAGCCTTCATCAATTTATACTTCAACCTCAGGAGAAGGGGTACATTCAGGGACCTGAGATGTTGGCACAAACAGATGCTCATTAAAAAAAAAAAAAAAATCCCAGCTCATTGAACTGATGAGCTAGTTATCCTATGTTCTGAACTCAGAATAGCAAATAAGAAGATACAGATCGAAGATACTTCAGCTGAATGTTATATAAAAGTCATGTCAAGGTGTGATGAATAATGCATTAGTGATTCCTTGATTTTCATTATGTGCCAGCTTGAGAATGTGATTCCTGCCTAGAGATTTCCATAATAATAACAATAGTAATAGCATTTTTGCATTACCACTGATCCCTGTAGCAACTCTGCAAGGTAGGTAGCATTTTCCACATCTTACAGACGAGGAAACTGAGGCTCAGGGCAGTGGGGTTGGTGGTGCAGCAGGAGTTGAGCTCCAGGCTGATTTGGTGGGGCCGCCCATCATCAGTGTTGGTCTGCAATACACATGCCTCTGTCCCCAGCACCTGGGGCGGTGGGGCAGGTGAGTCAGGAAGACAGAGAGGCAGGGTTACAGAGAAGACCTCAATGGCCCAGGCTGATGGCATCTTTCCTGGCAGCTTCTCCACACACTGGCCCCTCTGATGGCTGTGTGGATCCTGTGGACTGAACCTTGACTTTTACTGACAATAAAACAAAAAAAGCAAAATACTGCATTTTTTCCCTAGCTTGTGGTCAGTGGACTTAACATGCCACAAGCTTCAAAGAGAAGTTCCGCCTTACTGAAAAACAAATGAGCAAATAGAAACACACAAAGAACCCCTGCAAAAAGTCTCTGGGATGAATAGGAACAGCCTGTCACTTACTAATGTGGTCATTTTTTATATTACCACTGCTCCAGGAGTGAAGTACTGTCTATGGCAAGGCTGGGCTTATAGAAGGCTCTAAGGCTTCCCCTCTGGGGAACTCAGCTGCTAACCTCATCAATATCTCCTGAGCATCTCTCATGAGCCAGGCACTCACGATTCTAAGATGAGCGAGACACAGCCCTTGACCATGAGGAGCTTGTGATCAGGACTGGGAGTTCCACAGGTGAGCAAATAATTAAAACATAGCAGGATAAATGTTCCAATACTCAGATACATGAAGTGCAAATGAGAAAAGAACAAAATGCACAATTCCAGCCCCAAATTCAAAGTCAGAGCAGGTCGAACGGGGAGGCAAGCTCAGCAATGGGATAAGATGAAAAGTGGGCTGTAGGTTGTTGGGTGGAGCTGAGAAAATACCTCCAAGGCACCTGGGACACTGGTGCCCATTGTTGAGGCCACAGGGCCATTGCAAGGCTGGCCCAGGAATTAATTTAGAACAATAGGTTAAAAAGCCATGACTCATTCCCCCAGGGGTAGAATCAATTTTAATGATCAGTAAATATCTATCAACAAAACTGAAAGAGAAGTGAAGAAATGGGTCAGGGTTCAGAAAATAACGTTAAGAGACGAGAGCCATGAACTTGTCCATCATGGGCAAAATTGGGAACTGCAAGTTCTATGCAGGAAAGAAAAATAGAGGCATGAACCAGGGAAGGACCCAGAGTTCTAGGGCACAGAGAATAAACATAAAGTTCGTCCAAGGGCCAGAGGGATGCTAAGGAAAAGGATGAGGTGACCAAAGGGACTCAGAACTACACCCTAGCTGGAGGTGCACCGGCCAAGATCCACCCCGGGCTGAAATCTGAATCACTGGGTCCAACAACCTACTCAGACAATTAATAAAACTAATTTCTGGTGAGAACTAGATGTCCTCCTTTGCACTCCCAAATGGGGGACTTGGTGTGCTTGTTTCAGAGAGAGTGTAGGAGGAGGAAAAGAAGGGAAATGACTCCACATCTCAGCGAGATCAGGGAGACAGATATTCGGGAGGAGGTGGGAGAATGAAAATGACTGGGAACAGGTGGGCTAAATCGGTGAGGTGTGTGGGGAAGAAGCTAAGTTAGGAGTGGGCGGCTGGTTTTTCCAAAGGCAAAGATGGTGTCTTAGTTGGGAGCAGGAAGAGAACTGATTTCTTTCCATAAGGCTGCCATGCAGTCTCCTCCAGACTGCATAAGGGAAAATGCAGGTAGAAGTAGCACTCGTCTGCTTTCAACAAAAGATGAATATTGCATGCACTGTGGCAGCAGCCCCACGGCACCTGGGAGGCTTTGTTCCTTTGTATCTCCCATATTTCATAACAGCCCTCTGTAAGCAGTTTTTTGTTGTTTTGTTTTTGTTGTGGTTTTTGTTTTTGTTTTGAGATGGAGTCTGTCTCTGTCACCCAGGCTGGAGTGCAATGGCATGATCTTGGCTCACCACAACCTCCCGCCTCCCGGGATCGTGGGATTTTCCTGCCTCAGCCTCCGAGTAGCTGGAACTACAGGCACCCACCACTATGCCTGGCTAATTTTTGTATTTTTTTTTTTTTAGTAGAGACAGGGTTTTACCATTTTGGCCAGGTTGGTCTCGAACTCCTGACCTCAAGTGATCTGCCTGTCTTGGCCTCCCAAAGTGCTGGAATTATAGGCATGAACCACTGTGCCCAGTCTGCTGTTGATGAACTTTCATCTTGACTTAACAAAGCAATGACAATGCAGGGAGGCAAGTTCCTAATGATTTCCCTTTATCAACCCCCAAAGAGAATCACACTCTTTTCCTTCCTGCGGCATCAACCATCTCATAGTTAAGTCCTCATGAGCCGAGCAAAGTGTTATGTAACAAAGACAGAATCCCATGAAGGCCCCAACCTCTTTAGAACAAGATATGCAAGCTTTCAGGAGAGGACCCAATTAGTGTGGGCAATAGTCAGTCATCCAATATTCTATACAAGCAAGAAGTTTGGCGTTTAATTTGGAGACTCTTGCAAAAGGACTTGGATCTGCAAATACTTACTGAATCTCTGAGCTAGACTCTATCCCCGGGATTCCCGTGACTCTCTTGCAAAAGGACTTGGATCTGCAAATACTTGCTGAATCTCTGAGCTAGACTCTATCCCCGGGATTCCCGTGGCTTTAGTGGTGCCAACCAGAGTTAAGTCCTGAGGATCAGAGTGTGGCTCTGATAATAAAAAAGAGCCACATGCGGGGGGCTAGAGCTCAGGACATATTTGGCAGGATCTCAGGAACAGAAGGCACCAAGCAATCCTATAAGAGACTCATCATTAATGCAGCGAGCCAGCAAGCCTCTTTCTCAGTTTGTTCTGCAGTCCTGCAGGGGGCCAGCTGTGAGTCTTATGTCTGTCTCGTACCTCTCCACAGGCAGCTTATGTGCACTGAAATGCCAGTTTCAAATTATCCAAACTGATGTGGGTGCCCAGATGTGAACACTATCTTGTAAGCAACACGAATATGTGGACACCAAAAGTTATCATAGAATGAGTATGCCATTGGGATTTCCATGGAAAAACCAGGAGATTGCGGGTTTTATCAACATTTAAACCACACCCAGTGTGAATCAATTCCCTTGCTTATGGCTAAAGGTAGATTCCTTCCCTGGCATGGTCTCAGTATCTACCTCAAGAACACAGCTCTTTCCCATCTCAAAGTTAGAAAACACATTGGTAGACTCAATATCTAGAACCTTAGTGTATCTGCAAATTTTGAATTCCTTCCATAGTCTATTCTATTCTTTTTTTCCAATTGTTTATTGTGGTAAATCCATTATTTTAAAATTTATCCCAAAGCTCTATTTTCTGGCTAAAACCCATGGCCTACTTAGAGCATTCTGCCGTCTTTTCACTTTCAGAATAAGCATAATTTATTTAGGGATCTTTTACTGCCACAGAATATTCTATTTTTCCATAACACCCCTCCAGAGGTACCAAGCAGAAAAACAGTGAATCCTGAGTTGGAGATGCTAAGCAGTAAGCGAGGTTCCTTCACTAGCTAAATGATTCACTCTCACCCTCAAACATTGCTCTTGTACCATTCTAGTCCATGCTCCGGTGGAAGTACAAATTATTACATGTCACAGGTTTGGGGGGTTGTTCAAAGATAGTCAAAGCTGGGAACGTTAAAGCTCCCAATGCCAAGCATCCAACGTGCTGGCTGGGTGCTGTTATTCATCCTGCCCACAGGAAGGAGAAAGCTTCTTTGTGGAAGACTCTAAGCGACTCATCGTGTGGGCTGCCTGACATAAAACGCTGGGCTTGTGCTCCGTGGTGAGATTCTCTCTTGCCCGCTGTTTCCCAGGTTTGGTAAACTAAAAACAACGCATTGGCCTGCTAGCTTCTGTTCGGAGGGCTTGGGAACTAGATGGGAGAGTGGGAGTGGTTGTGATGGTTTTGACAACTATAGAATTTCCCAGCTACTTTGCTTTGTCTACCAGCATAAGCCAGGAGGAGCTGGAGTTACACACCAACATGAGAATATTTGTCCTCAGTCCTTCCTGCCACTTATCACCTTCCCTGGGTCCCGGTGCACAGCGACTCACTGGACAAACTCCTCCCCTTCCTCTGCTTTCTCGGCCATTCTCCTTTCTCCTTCCAGAGGATCCCTAGTGTCGTAGAAAATCTACTCTTTGTTTTTAGACCTAAAGTAGATAAACTTTAAAGAACTTCTTGCAAAGAGTTAAAATGTTTTTTATATATATATATATATATATATATATAAAGTAACTTTATATATATATATATATATATATATTTTTTTTTTTTTTTTTTTTTTTTTTTTTTTGTGGTGGGGGATGGAGTCTCGCTCTGTTGCCCAGGCTGGAGTGCAATGGCATGATCTTGGCTCACTGCAACCTCTGCCTCCTGGATTTAAGAGATTCTCTTGCCTCAGCCTCCCAGGTAGCTGGGATTACAGGCGCGTGCCACCAGGCCCAGCTAATTTTTGTATTTTTATTTAGTAGAGACAGGGTTTTGCCATTTTGGCCAGGCTGCTCTTGAACTCCTGACATCAGGTGATCCACCCGCCTTGGCCTCCCAAAGTGCTAGGATTACAGGAGTGAGCCACCGCACCTGGCCTAAAAAAAAAAAAAAAAAAAAAAAAAATTTAAAAACTTAGTCCAAAGTAGAAAAAAATTACAAACCATGTAAATGAAGAATTTCAACTGTTTTTAGTATTTTGCCTGTCTTATTTAAAACAATTCTCTAGCATCAAATTATTATGTCCATAGATAATTACATATGTAGCCCTAAATAGCCAAGGACTTTAATCATAAAATTATTTAAAATATAGTTATTGAGGTTAAGGTGGGAGGATTGCTTAAGCCCAGGAGTTCAAGACCAGTCTGGCCAACATAGTAAGACTTTGTTAAAAACTAAAAATAAAAAACAAAGAATAGTTATTGCTATTATGAGGAAATTCAAGTCGTTGATAAAGTTATGTTTTCACATCTTCCCACCTTCCTACCTCCTACGCCCCTCCAAGAAAAATCTGACGCCAGTTTGCATGTGTTGTTATAACCTATCTTTATCCTCTCAGCCTTGTTTTTGACAAGAGCTTCCTTTAAAGACAAATTTAGGAAGAGATTCCATTATGTTATTAGAATCTCGTCCAGAATCACATCTATTTTCAAAAAATTTTTTCTTAGCTCTGTTTAGTGATCTCTTAATGATGCCAAACAACTGTCAGAAATCATATTGCAAAGCCTCTCATAAACGTACCAGTCGGTTGTCTTTAAGTTACCATGTTGTTACTCCTCCAGAGTTTTGATGATTTTATTTGGCCATGAAGATGACGACCAGCGTGTGCACCTGTGGTCTGAGTAAGTCAGTGGGCCTGGAAGATTAATGAGCTTGGCCCAGGCTGGCTTGGGAGGCCCAGCCATGAACCCTGTTGTTTTCCAAGGCTTTGCCTGCATCCGGCTGGCATTTCTAATCCTGCCGTGGGGTTTGGCTCCGGTTCCCTCCCTTGCCCCCCATCTTATTTATCAATAGCATGTGAATTAGAGCAGAAGCTAACGGACAGACAATGAGCTGGAAGCGACCAATCCTTCCACCTTGGGAGGACAGCTGTGTCCCAGAGGCCTGGAGGCACCACGTTCCCTACAGTGATTTGGTTTTCAGTTTTTAGGGTCCTGCGCGTCATGGTCTGATAGGACTTTTGACTGAATATGGGAAGGGATTTAGGAGTAGACAAGAATAAGAAGTCGAATGTTCACATTTTTCCCTTTCCCCTCCCCTCCCCTCCCCTCCCCTCTCCTCTCCTTTCCTTTCCTTTCCTGAGACAGAGTCTCACTCTGTCACTAAGGCTGGAGTGCAGTGGCAAAATCTCGGCTCATTGCAACCTCTGGCTCTGGGTTGAAGTGATTCTCCTGCCTCAGCCTTCCAAGTAGCTGGGATCACAGGCACCCGCCACCACGCCTGGCTAATTTTTGCATTTTTAGTAGAGACAGGGTTTCACCATGTTGGTCAGGCTGGCCTCAAACTCCTGACCTCAAGTGATCCACCCGCCTCAGCCTCCCAAAGTGTTGGGATTACAGGCGTGAGCCTCCGCAACTGGCCTGTGCAAATATTTTCTTCTCAAAAATTCTGGAAGCAATCTGCAAGTAACCAAATAGTGCTCATGATCGTTTGGGAGCTTGATGTCCTCTTAGGGTATTTTTTGTGTCATTAGCTTCAGAAACACAGGAATATAAAGAACACCATTTATCATATTGCTGAGCCCAGCAGCTGTTTGGGTAATAACCTCTAAACTAAAGATGATGGCACTTGACTACATAAGCACCCATCAGGTTGAGAAGGAAAATGACCACATATTCTCTAGCTGTTGGTGAAGTTAACCAGGGAATGTATGGACACACACATTCTTTTTGACCATTTTCACCAATGTAATTGGGAACAAAACAAATCAGTCATTTTGAATTTATTTTGAAACAATCATGATTTCATGTATTGTGAATCACTTTTGTACAGCAGAGCTGATGTGTATGTGTGTGTGTGTGTACTTTAAAAACCTTAAAATACAGAAAAGCCTTGCTGTTCATTAGACATCTGGCATCTGCTGCTCTATTCCAAGTGATTAACTCATCTGCAATGACTTCTTACCCCTTTGAATAAATCAGACACTGTCACTGGCTGCAAGAATGGTGATGGTAACCCTGTATTCTATGAAGCAATTATCTAATGAACTCTAGATATTTTTATGTATTTCAGAAGGGACTTTTGAAAAGGTCTTCCAACATTTCCATCCCTGACAGCCATTAGTAGCAAACACACACACACACACACACACACACACACACACACACGGAAGAAGCATCCACATTTCACACTCTCTATCCCTGATGTTCTGCTGGGATTTGACAGACGGAAACACAGCAGTAGTTTGCAAGTGACTGCCAAATGGGGCAGCCAGACTGAGCAGGGCGAGAAGAGGTGTTATTCAATTGCTGGAAGACAGATGCTCTTCTCCGAGCCTCTGCCTTCTCTCCAGTAGCCATTCGCTGACACCACTGTGGTGCCACGTTGCACTCGCCAGGTAGAAGGAACTGGAGCCAGAAGCCCACCCTCACCACCTAGGGAAGAAAGCTCTCAGCTTCTTCATTTTGCAGAGGACGAAATCTTGATGCATAGTGGGAAATTGAATTTACCAAGGACATGGTACAGCCTCCACCCCCAGCACAGTGCTCAATCCATCATACTTACAATGATTTATTGCCACCATAGAACCTAAGAGGGATTTAGGATCTGTAAGCCCTTCTGTCATCAATGGTTTCTAAAATTTGCACTAAAGAGGGAAAATAAAGCTCCATTTTGGTTAATGTGCATTATTTATTTATTTTTTGAGATGGCATCTCGCTCTGTCGCCCAGGCTGGACTGCAGTGCTGCTATCTTGGCTCACCTCACTGCAACCTCCAACTCCTGGGTTCAAGAGATTCTCCTGCCTCAGCCTCCCAAGTAGCTGGGATTACAGACATGCGCCACCACCACCCCTGGCTAATTTTTGTATTTTTTTAGTAGAGATGGGGTTTCACAATGTTGGCCAGGCTGGTCTTGAACTCCTGACCTCAGGTGATCCACACCCTTCAGTCACCCAAAGTGCTGGAATTACAGGTGTGAGCCACCGTGCCCAGCCAATGAGCATTATTTTTGGACTCTGCCTCTCTCCTTGGGATAGAGATAAATTATCTGTCCGTTGTTTTCTTTTCTTCCCATGGACTTTATCCAGTTCCTGCCTTTGGGTTATTGTATTTCGGAATCTTATTATTTTTAAAAGAGAAAGAAACTGAAATTGAATCAGGGCCTTTATCTTGCTATCTCCCAAACTACTTGATTTAAAACCTGAACACTAAGCTGACCGATCTCTCTGCTTGCTCTAAGTAAACAAAAGAATCAGGAGGCCTGCAGTGAGAACTCCTACAGCTTTGGCTGAGACCATCAGGCTCTGGGAACAGGGGTGTGTTCTGGAACTCCTAGGGTGACTGTTTTAGCTCCAACTTCCCATGGGGAAAATGATTGCCCTGTTTTCCATTCTAATGCTAATGACCTATCTTTGGGAGTTCGAAGCTGGATCAACAGTCAGACTGACTTCCTATTTCTAATTTTCACACTCAGCCTACTTTGCTTTTTCACCAGACCCACTCTCCACCTTCACTAATTTTAGGTAAAAATTTATAGAAGTCAGCTGGGCATGGTGGCTCACGCCTGTAATCCCAGCACTTTGGGAGGCCAAGGCAGGTGGATCATGAGGTCAAGAGATCAAGACCATTCTAGCCAACACAGTGAAACCCTGTCTCTACTAAAAATACAAAGATTAGCTGGGTGTGGTGGTGCATGCCTGTAGTCCCAGCTACTCTGGAGGCTGAGGCAGGAGAATGGCTTCAACCCGGGAGGCAGAGGTTACAGTGAGCTGAGATCATGCCACTGCACGCCAGCCTGGCGACAGAGTGAGACTCTGGCAAACAAACAAACAAACAAAGGTTACAGAAGTCCAATAAGGTTTCAGATACCATGCTAGACCTTTTCCAATAGGAATGAAAAAGTAATACCCACTTCCCCGCCCTGCTTTTTCTCTTCCCACATTCAAAATCAGTTGAGTTGGGCAATTGTATTACTGAAAAAATGGAGAATTTTTTCTGGAGAATGATGCTTCAGTCTACTGGCCAAGTGGGCTTGTTAATACCATGTCCCTAAATGAGATATACTTTCCCTGCCATGGACAGTGTTACTGCTAAACAACTACAGGCCACCCTCCTTGAGAACTGGCCAAGAGTGTGCACTAACTGGTACATTCTAAGAGATGGAGGAGTAAAGTGCTAGACTGTGTTCAGCTCCTTCTCCCAGACTTTTTTATTTTTTATTTTTACTTTTATTTTTATTTTTGAGACGGAGTCTCTCTCCGTCACCCAGGCCGGAGTGCAATGGCATGATCTCGGCTCACTGTAACCTCCACCTCCCAGGTTCAAGCGATTTTCCCTTCTCAGCCTCCTGAGTAGGTGGGATTACAGGCACCCACCACCATGCCCAGCTAATTTTTGTATTTTTGTAGAGACAGAGTTTCACCATGTTGGCCAGGCTAGTCTTGAGCTGACCTTAGGTGATCCGCCCGCCTCGGCCTCCCAAAGTCCTGGGATTACAGGCGTGAGCTACCGTGCCTGGCCTCCTCCCAGACTTGACAATCGGTTGCCACTTAGCCTCTTTGCCTGGGGTAGAGTTTATAAAAAAGTGGAGAGGAGTCTGGAGCAAGACTCTATCTCACTAGCAGGAATAAGGGTTCCCCTACCACACTACGTGCTTAATTGGGAAGGGCCAAGACTCCCCTCACCCCAAGTCTCTGGACCCTGAGTCTAGGGTTCGGTTTACTATATTTATCCCACTGTAACAGGTGACAGCAGGAGCTCTTTAGCAATAAATAAAAATCTACCAACACTAAGAAATCTGCTCTTCACTTTTAAAAAAGAGAAAAATAACTGTAACCCTTTTAGAAAACTATCTCTGACTTCTCAGTCTGATCTAACTTCTTTATTTATAAAAGGTATAGGAGCATTTTCAAATCACATGCATCAGATTGGAAAGAGTTTGAATCTACAGTTTGAAAAGGCTTGGTGGACAGCCCCACCATTGCTTCATCCAGCATATGTGCTCTGGGAAGTATTGCAGTTAAAAAAGCAGGGATGACTTTTGTTTGTTGGAACAAAGCATTGAACAACTTTTTTCATTAGTAGGATTGGATTTCCACCCAGGGTGGGTGGCAATTAATGATCAGGATTTGTGACATGGTTTTCAGCCTGCTGAATTCACTGCTGAAGATGCAAAGCTGAAGAAACTGATGCATTCAAACACGGAACTTTCCACCTTCTGTCAACTGACATCATCCTGTAGGCAGCTGCAAACCAAAAGAAGTAAGCTCTCAACTGGATTGTCTAATGCAGCTCATTTAAAACTCAGTAGTAGCTTCTATCTTCTGCCCTGTCAGTGAATGCTCCCTTTGGGATAATGCCCTACATCTCTGACATGCTGGTTACACAAATTTGTCCACTAAGGGTGTGGAGGGGAAAAGTTCAATGCACAAAAGAGGCAGACAATAAGTAGACTTTGCTTCTAGATTTTTTTTAAGATAGTTAATCAATAGTGTACTTTGTACATGTTCCTTTTTTTAGGAAAATCCTGTCTTTAAAAAAATAATTTTTTAATGTAATTGTTTTAAATTTAATTTTAAAAATTAAAATTAATTTTAATTTTTGGTGATAGTTTAATGCTGACAAAAGTCTAAATTTCCCATTTTCCAATGAGTTAACAGACATATACAGAGTTTTATACATTTTGCCTGCAACTCACCCAATTTGTCACGTAATTTTGAATTTTAACATTTCAAAAGAGTTCATTAAACAAATAGACTTTCTGGGGAAGGACTGGATTGGTGTTTGAAATTGGCTAAACAAACACTCGGGGATGTCATACATTCCTGCTATGCAGATGTGTAGGACATCATGTAGTTCATGGATTGGACATTACCTTAAACCCATGGGCACTATTAAATAGAATAGGTAACTAAGTCATGACGGATGCTAGAAATCAGGACTCTGCTCAGTTGCAAAGTGGCTGGAGGGCCACTTTTTTAGGCTCAACCTATCACTCCCCATCTCCACTGCCCACCCCTACACATGATTCCCAACATATGTCGTTGGTCTTGAAACCAATTCTCGCTTTTTTGGCTCTTAACTCACATTGCCCCTCTCTGGGAAGCTCTTCCTTCATCCCATCACGTAAGGGCATCTCATCCTTGTCAAAGAGCTTTTCATGATCACACTGCTTCCTTAATCTCTGTCTTCTCAAAGCCACTGCAAAACCTTTGCCTGTATTACAATCCAGCATATCTTCTCTCTAGCTCAATGACAAATTTATTGGAAGCAGAAACCATGTCTTTTATTTATTACAGAATTTTTGAGCTAGAAGGAATCTCATGGTAAGAACGAACTTACCATAGGATGAATAAAAGATAAATGTAGAAATACTAGATAAATGTAAAGACCAATTCAAGGTCACAAAATCATTTTACGTAAGCCTGCTTTTCCCCTGATGTCCCAATTTGAAGCTTGCTGATACCAGTTGTATAAATCACACCAAAAGACAATCAGGTTACTCCTTTGAAATAGGGAAAAATACAACACCAAACCTGAGTTCATAAAGAAACCAAAAGATTAAAACAAGAAAGGTTATATAACTGGAAGAAAAGAAACTGATGAATATCAGGATACCTACTGCTCTCATATCAGGATTGTTTCTTTATTTTATTAATGTGATGGCAAATCAGTTTGAAAACTGTGACTATATAAACAAGATGAACTTAGATCGAGTGACTACGATTATTTCCAGAGTGCAAATAATTGCTATCCGTATTCATCAGTGTGTTACAGAGAAGCAGAACCAACAGGATGTGTGTGGGTAGATGGATAGATAGATGGATGGATGGATGGATGGATAGATACACAGATAGATAGATAGATAGATAGATAGATAGATAGATAGATAGATAGATACAGATTTGATTATAAGAAATTGGCTCATGCCATTATGGAGGCTGACAAGTTGCAAGATCTTCAGCGTGAGTTGAGAATCCTAAGACCCAGGAGAGCTGATGGTACACATTCCAATCTGATGGCCAGCAGGGTTGAGACCTGGAAGAGCCAGTGTTTCACTTTGAGTCTGAAGGTGGAAAAAAGCCAGCTTCCCAGTTCAAAGGCAGTCAGGCAAGAGGAATTCTCCCTTACTTAGGACAAGGTCAGTCTTTTTGTTCTATTGAGTCCTTCAACTGATTGACTGAGGCCCCTACCCACTTTAGGGAGGGTGATTTGCTGTACTCAAGTCTACCAATTTAAATGTTCAGCTCATTCAAAAAACAGCCTCACAGAAACGCACAGAAGGTTTGACCAAATACCTGGGCCACCCCTTGATTTAGTAAGCTGACACATAAAATTAATCATCACACTATATTTTATATCAAGTCAAATTTATCTTTCTCACTTCTTGAATAATAGTGAAGTTTTCAGATTCTATAAAATTGCTTTGCCTATTTGCATATTTTCCTTTCTTCCTTTCTTCCTTCCTTCCCTTTCTTTCCTTCTCTCCCTCCCTCCCTCTTCCTTCCTCCTTCCTCCTTCTTTCCTTTTCTTTTTTCTTTTCTCTTCCTTTTTCTTTCTCTTTCTTTTTCTTTCTCTTTCTCCCTTTCTTTCTCTCACTCTTTCTTTCTTTCTTTCTTTTTCTTTCTATTTCTCCCTTTCTCTCTCTCTCTCTTTCTTTCTTTTTTTCATTCACTCTGTCACCCAGGCTGGAGTGCAGCACCAAGATCATACTTCACTGCAGCCTCGAATTCCTGGGCTCAAGCTATCCTCCCACCTCAACCTCCTCAGCTGGGACTAGAGGTGTGTACCACTATGCCCAGCTCTTTGTATGTTTTTGTAAAGATGGCGTCTCACTATGTTGCCCAGGCTGATCTGCAACTCATGGGCTCAAGTGATCTTTTTGCCTTGGCCTCTCAAACTTTTGGGATTACAAGCATGAGTATCGCGCCCAGCCACCTTTTCTTTCTTATGGCTTAAACACCTATGTTTCTGACTCATGCCTGACTTACGCTAGTGCTGATGGACAGAAGTTTCATTTCATTTCCATGTAAAACTATGAATTGCATTATTTAAACACAGATTTGCTTATAGGCATTTTAGCTTAACTTTAGCGGTCTCTAGACCCTGTATTCTGTGGTATACAAAGAACTCTTTTGTCTCTATTGAGTAGAACAGAACATCTGCAAATATATTTGTTTGCCCTGAGAACTGTTTGTGGCCATGCAATATGTTGTTTAAAGATCTTTTATCAAAACATTTTACTTAGTAGATCCACATGAACATACACATACAGAAAATCTGACATGAGTGACTATTTATAGAACCATTCCTTTAGAAAAGGACTGCTGAGCATTTGATGGAGGTGGTAGAAAGGATAAAGGGGAGGAGACTTGACTCCAGCTTCTGCTCTGACTCTAAATAGTTGTCTGACCTTGGACAAATCATTGTGTCATCTCTAGTGATTTCTCTGGTCCTAGAAATCTCTACTTCTATAAAATTAGAGATTATTTTTTCCTTCTTCTCATGGTTAAAAAAAAATAAGAGATTACACAAATGGGGATAGGAAAACTATGCGTATTTGGAAAACTCTGGAAATTTGCACCATTTAATTCCAAATCAATTGTATCATCTTTTTTTTGTTTCTGTTTTTCTGTTTGTTTGCTTTTTGAGATGGAATCTTGCTCTGTTGCCAGGCTGGAGTGCAGTGGTGCAATCTTGGCTCAATGCAACCTCTGCCTCCTGGGTTCAAGTGATTCTCCTGCCTTGGCCTCCCAAGTAGCTGGGACTACAGGTGCATGCCACCACACCCAGCTAATTTTTTGTTTTTTTTTTTTTTTTTTTTTTTTTTGAGACAGAGTTTCACTCTTGTTGCCCAGGCTAAAGTACAATGGTGTGATCTTGGCTCACCGCAACCTCCACATCCCAGGTTCAAGCAATTCTCCTGCCTCAGCTTCCGAAGTAGCTGGGATTACAGGCACGCACCACCATACCCGGCCAATTTTGTGTTTTTAGTACAGATGGGGTTTCTCCATGTTGGTCAGGCTGGTCTCAAACTGCTGACCTCAGGTGATCCACCTGCCTCAGCCTCCCAAAGTGCTGGGATTACAGGCATGAGCCACCACACCTGGCCTAATTTTTTTATGTTTAGTAGAGATGGGTTTCACCATGTTGGCCAGGATGGTCTTGATCTCTTGATCTAGTGATCCACCCACCTCGGCCTCTCAAAGTGCTGGGATTATAGGTGTGAGCAACTGCGCCCGGCCCATATCATCTTTTAAAATATACTTTCAATTAGGTTTTGTGTTGTTTGCTTAGAGAATAATATGAATTTTTATTTTATTTTTTGCAGTTTGTGAGTTGTCATAGTTTTCCCATGTCAAATTTTTTACAAAATAATCCATAACCTAAGGTATTAGATTAAGTGAGAGCTTTTCTTAGTACTACCTGAGAACTAACTCTATTTTTCATCCTACGGGAAGCTGGATTTGACAGCTAATGGATCTGTTTTGTTCTAAAACTACCATCTGTTCCAAGGCCCTTTTTAAGGTTTTAATCATCACCATTATGTGTGAGATATAAATATATATTCATAATAATTCATTTCAAAGAAAAAGGTAAAAGCACAATTACACTTAGACGTAAACGATATATTTAAACAAGTGTAGCTCAGTTTAAATATCAGCAAATGAGGAAATTTAATGTACCCACTGACCCTCTAGCTATAAACACATTTGATATCTCCAAACACTAAAAGAGGTTCTTAGTGCAACAGAATTATAGGCCATACTGGAGGTTATAATACTACACACAGCTTCCAAACAAGTGTCTACTAATTTCAGGAGCTGCTATGCAGCAGACGTGAGTGATCCCTTTAGGGGCAGCTCTCAGGGACACAGTTTTCTTTTCTAGGCAGCGGCATGTCGGTACTGCTGCTGGTACGTGCTAGCATTCAAATCTTGGGCTCAGGAGGCCAGGTGCGGTGGCTCAAACCTGTAATCCCAGCACTTTGGGAAGCTGAGGTGAGTGGATCACTTAAGGCCAAGAGTTCGAGACCAGCCTGGCAAACATGGCGAAACCCCGTCTCTACTAAAAATACAAAAATTAGCCAGGCATGGTGGCGTGTGCCTGTAGACCCAGCTACTCAGGAGGCTGAGGTATGAGAATCGCTTGAACCAGGGAGGCGGAGATTGCAGTGAGCATAGATCACGCCACTGCACTCCAGCCTGGGTGACAGAGCAAGACTATCTCAAAAATAAAATAAAAAACAAACATTGGGCTCAGATTCAGCTCTACGCCTTCACTTACCCAACTTGTTTGTTCAACCCTTCCTCCAATTCTGTCATTCAATTAAGTCTTCCAAGATAAATTGACCAAGATAGTTCAAACTGGGTTTCTGCCCTTTGTAACCAAAGAAATTCCAGACTGATATATAACATATCAAAATATAGCTTTGTTCTACTCCTTTATCTTTCATGCTCCAGCCAATCTGTTAAACTAATCCATGGTACAAATTCACTAGGTGTCAATAATGTCTTATCCCTTCCAGGTAACACAGATGCCTTTTAAGCTTAACCTCAGGAGGCATTTGCCTTCATCTGGGAAACCCCAGGTGGTCGGTAGTAAGGAGATTTGGGGCAGAGAAAAGATATGTTCCATTGTTCTTTAGTGATTTTGGTATAAGTACACCTGGTGCGAGTCTAAAACAGAGTTGCTTTGGTGAGAAGAGAGAATCTGTTTTCCTCTATCCCTAAACTGAGAACAAGTCATGAAAGAGGCTTCGGGGGCCATCTGGGTAGCAGACATCATGGACAGGAAGATGCTGTTTGACCATAAGAGGGCAGTTCTTGGAAAGCATGCAGGATGTGCAGGCCCGTGGTTTAATGCTGGGGGATAGCTCCCGGACTTCAGTTGAACAGGGGCACAGGAGTGGGTAATAAGGGGATCATTCCAGAGGGGGAAATGGCCAGTAGAAAGGCTGATGGGCCAGGGGGCCTGACTCAGTGGCCTGCAGAGTGGTGAGATTGGGGGCTGTCCTAATGACTGGGGGTGAGTTAATGAATCATGAGATTGGGAACTTAAATGTAGGAAGCATGTGATACAGGCATCTGAATTTGACAGTGGCTTGAACATAGGTTTGTCAATGGAGAAATGTCATGATCGAAATGGGATTTATGTCAGATTGCTCTCTAGGCTGTGTAGGAAATCTAAGTCTGTAGAGTAAGGCCAACAGAAGAGCCCCAGACATAAGACTATTGCCAAAATTGCAGGAATATATTGGAAAGGATGGGTCAAGAGGATACAAATACAGGACTCAGCAATGACTCACTATTGGGGAAAGAGAGAGAAGGGTGGGATAGAAGTTGACTCAAAGTCATGAGCCTCAGGAACTGAGAGGAGAGTTCTCTGTGTTGCTGTTTGAAGATGGGAAGGAGGGAACAGGGAGTAAGAGAACCCAACACTAAATATTTAAGAAAAAAGATTCAAGTGGTGCTTTGAAACTTGGTAGTTCTTCTAAGATAAGAATTCCAAAAGGGAAAAGGAACTTTTAATTTTTTTTTTCCTCACTCACTGACTATTCAACAAAACCACTGGACAGGAAGAGAATTGAGTCTCCCTGGCCTTCTTCTAGGAAATATCTAAACTACTCAACTCAGGTAGCTCAGTAAGGAAATTATCTTATAGGAGTTTTTTTTCTGCCAAGAGACTTATATAGATATTCTTTATCATTCTTGCTCTTTCTGTGGGAAGAGGGGTTGTTTGAAAAATTAAGTAAATGATGAATAATGATGATTAGGAACAATTGTAAAAGCAAGTGAGGCCTGACCTAAATTATTTTTATAACATATTCTCATGATCTGCAGAAACCATTCTAAGTTTTAGGCAAGGGAGAAAAATGTGAAGTCCAACTGTCTGGTTTTTGTAAGTGCAGAGTTGGGTATGAATGTATCAGACCCATGAATTATAGTTGTGATACACAGTCTCTGACCCCAAGAAATTCTTTTTCCCACTGCTCTCTAGTCTTTCAGTAGGAGTGGCCACGTTGTGTGTCATGTGAGCAAGCCCCCTCAGCTGATTGGAGCCTGGTGAATCAGCTGACCCAAGGGCAGCCAATCCATGACCAGGAACCAGGAAGAGGTTTACAAAGATTCTCTGCCTAGACAGGGGCAATGGTGATTGAGTAGACCTATCAGATTATTTCTTTTGGAAGTTTTTCTCCTTAAAACTCAAAAGAGTCCATCTGAAAAATAACATCTGCATCACTTCAAGGTTCACTTCTACCTTTTTGCTCTCTGTTGCCAGTTCACCAGAAGCCCCTGTGATGATTACTATTCTTTTTTTTTTTTTTTTTTTTTGAGATGGAGTCTTGCTCTATCGCCCAGGCTAGAGTGCAGTGGCACATTCTGGGCTCACTGCAAGCTCCGCTTCCCGGATTCACGCCATTCTCTTGCCTCAGCCTCCCGAGTAGCTGGGACTACAGGCGCCGGCCACCACGCCCGGCTAATTTTTGTATTTTTAGTAGGGACGGGGTTTCACCGTGGTCTCATCTCCTGACCTCGTGATCTGCCCGCCTCGGCCTCCCAAGATGATTACTATTCTTGACTTACTAACAAGTTCAGCCAGATTTCTAGGCTGGCATTACCAGCAGAGGTGGGTTTCCCTGCTGTTGACTGGAATAGTCTCACTAAAGTCTGAGCACTCGAGCCTAGAGCCAGATTTATGGGACACTTACCTACCTACCTTCACTACTGTTATTCCCTCCATGCCCACAAATGAAGCTCCCAGCTTCAAGGGCACACAAAGAAGACCAGTGTGGCACATGACCTTCTTTTACTGGCGTGTACTTGAGAACGCCAGCCACAACATTTCTCTCCTGAATGTTGCCAGCATCAGTCCCAGAACCAGGGTCACCATCCTCGTAACTGTCATCAGAGAGATGCCTGCTGCAGCTCAGATACATCTACTTCTAAAAAGGAACATACGATTGTCCTGTGACTTTTTGTGTAGTAGTGTAAAGGGGACCTGTTGCCATTAGCTGATCATTAAAGGAGCGACTCGTTCAAGATGCAGCTCTTTCTATCACAGGTATAATTTCATGGTCTTGCTATCAGATCAGAGCAATCATCGTTGTCCTCAAAAGCAGTGAGCCCCACAATGGCCGCTTTTGTCCAGCCATTCAGCCATTAGAGCAGCTACTTCAACTACCTTCACAGGCTTGATGGGTGAATTGCCTGCTTTGCACTAAATGGCAGTTCTCTGATGCTGTTGTATTAAAAAAAAAGAAAGGAAGAAAGAAAAAGAAAGAAACCCTTCATCCTGCCCCAGAGAGAGTGCAAAGTGCCTTTCTTGATTCAGCTGTTTGCCTTCCTTCAATTCCAATCAGTCTGTGCTGTGTGGTATGACAGTGACAAGGTGAAATCCCTGCTGAGCAGCTCTGAAATCTGTGAAGAAATAGGCTTCATACACACATTGTTTGGTTGAACAAGAGAAACTACTGGAATTTCAGAGGAAAAGCCATACCTATCTTTAGTGACTAAATTAGAAAAAGTATGGAATGCAAATAAAAACTACAATGAGATACCACTTCATACCCATTAGGATGGCTGTGTAAAAAACAAAACAACCACAAATATTGGCAGGGATATGGAGAAATTGGAACCCTCCCTTCATTGCTGGTGGGAATGTGAAATGGTACAGTCCTTATGGAAAACAGTTTGCCAGTTCCTCAAAAAGTTAAACGTAGAATTGGCATATGATCCAGCCATTCTACTTCTAGGTATATAGCCCAAAGAACTGAAAATAGTGACTCAAACAGATACTTATGCACCAGTGTTCATAGCAGCATTATTCACAACGGCCAAAGGTGGAGAAAACTCTTGTCCATCAATAGATAAATGGATAAATGTCATATATGTACCATTGAAGATTATTCAGCCTTACGAAGGAGTGAAATTCTGTGTGTTGCAACATGAATGAACCTTGAAAACACGCTGGGTGAAATAAGCCAGACATAAAATGAGAAATATTATATGATACCACTTGTCTGAGGTATCCAGAAGAGGTATATTTGTAAATGGAAGACAGAGTAGAGGTTATCAGGGGCTGAAGGGAATGGGGAGTTATTGCTTAATGAATACAGTTTCTGTTTGGGATGATACAAAGTTTCTGGAAATGAATAGTCATGATGGTTGTAAAACACCATCAATGTACTTAATGCCACTGAAACGTATACTTTAAATGGTTAAACAAAAGTACAGAAAGGTCAGGCATGGTGGTAGGTGCTTGTAGTCCCAGCTACTTGGGAGGCTGAGGCAGGAGAATCACTTGAACCCAGGAGGCAGAGGCTGCAGTGAGCTGAGATTGTACCACTGCACTCCAGCTTGGGCAACAGCACGAGACTCCATCTCAAAAAACAAACAACAAAAAAGGATAGAAAGGCCAATTCTATTTGATTCTATTTGCTCAATTCCTTGCCAAGAGCTTAGGCATCTCTGTTCCCAATACCATCTTCTGGCCAGGGATTTGTAAATATATTACCTTGTGCCCAAGAAGACTAGACACTCAGACTCTGTGAAGCTGGTTTCACTGATGCTGTGGCTCTAGGAGGCAGGTTTCAGTGGCCCGCCCAGGCTGCCTTGCAGAGGCATTAATATACTCTGCAATTCCGAATGTCTTCATACGTTTTTCCAAGTTCAATCAAATATGTGTCCATTTTTCTGCCTTCCCTTCTGGGCAGGTCAGTTCTGCTGGGGAATGTGCCTTCTCCACTCCCCGAGAATCCTTTTAAAATGAGCAAAACGTGGGCCTGAGCGATTCGGCCCTCCTAGCTGGTTCGCACAAGCTTAGAGTATGTCTTTTGTTTCTTTCTACCCTTGACAAGCGTGATGGCTTTGCTTTCATGCTGACTTTCATTCCTATGATGTTGAAGGTAACAGGCTGTCTGCTGGTCCCATCACAGCTGAGTTTTATTTTAAACTTTAATGGATAGCAATGCTATATACCCACATGTGTCCTTATATATTGTTCTAGCTGCACATAGATAATCCTTCCTAATTTCACTCACAATTATAAAAGGGGTAGCCAAACAGCCCTGGGACACCGCCCCTTTCTGAAAAGGGAAGGCTTGTTTCTATATCTAGCTGAGTGTGACCCACAGTCTTGGGGAATTAAGATACTGAAAATCTTGAGGGATAATCCTAGTTCAAAGAAACATAAAATAAGAGAAAAAAAGACAATGAAAATCAGTTTCACCTGTGGTTTCTACACTCAGCAAACACCTGTACATTGTAACTATTTTGATCAGATAAAAACTTTGATGTTCTGAAATAACTGTCAGATTTCTGTACGGGTACTAAATGCTCAAAAAGTCCCTGTTGGCTGGGCACGGTGGCTCACACCTGTAATCCCAGCACTTTGGGAGGCCGAGGCAGGTGGATCACCTGAGGTCAGGAGTTTGAGACCAGCCTGGCCAACATGATGAAACCATGCCTCTACTAAAAATACAAAAAAATTTAGCCGGGTGTGGTAGCAGGCACCTGTAATCCCAGCTACTCGGGAGGCTGAGGCAGGAGAATCGCTTGAACCCAGGAGGTGGAGGTTGCAGTGAGCCCAGATCATGCCATTGCACTCCAGCTGGGGTGACAGAATGAGACTCTGTCTCAAAAAAAAAAAAGTCCCTGTTTGAACCATATTTACAAATTGGAAGTAAAACCACATATGCCTCAGGAAGCATCAGGCTAACACCATTTGTCATTTTGGTGTAGATGATTCAGAACAAATGACAATGCTTGGAAATAGTGCTATAATACAGTGAGGATACAGCCGTGTCAAGCAAACGGAGTAGACCCAAATGCATGGGAGCTCCTTTGCTTTTTGCCCTAATTCTTCCTCCCTTTCATGGATATTAGGAAAACAAGAGCAACCCGCCCTCATTTCAAATGCATTTTTCCCCTTCCTGCTCACATCACATTTTTCTAGTGTGCTGCTCCAGAATCTGCCAGCATGGATTCTGACAGGTTGGCGTCTGCTGGTGTTTGATGTTTGGCATTTCTGATGTGACACTGGCTTCATTTTATGCAAGAATTTGTATTCCGCGTAGCTTCCCAGGGTGGGTTAAGAAAGGGTAGGGCTTTGGATTGAAATCTAACAGTGGGAGGAAACCTTGGGTACACTAGCTTTTTAGCTGACTGTTAGTCCATTTATTAAATAGCAGTTATCCTGTATCATTGGTACCAATGTGAATATTAAATCAATTGGGCCATTCCACAGAGTTGGACTAAAGCTACATGAAATGTCACCAGACCTACGGGTTTAATGAGAAGAGCATGTTGTTCCTAAAAAACCCAACTAAACGCATGTTGGAAGCAATATGTAAGCTTATATGGGATCAGCTTCCTCATAATATCAGAGGGGAACTAGGATTGTATTGGATCCTCCATTCCTAAAGCTCATTTATTCCCTTCAGAGAGTAGGACAACTCCAACCTGTTTCATTCAGATTCCAAGGCCTTTTCCTTCATAGAAGAATAAGACATTTCCTAGAATTCTATGTATATTTCTAGATTGTGCAATCAGAATTTAAACAAAATAATTAAACCCTTCAAAAACAAGTCTGGCCTGGTATGGTGGCTCATGCCTGTAATCCCAACACTTTGGGAGGCTGAGACAGGGGATCACTTGAGACCAGGGTTGAAGATCAGCCTGGGCAACATAGTGAGACCCTGCCTATACAAAAATTAAAAAATTAGCCACACATGGCAGCATGTGCCCATAGTCCTAGCAACTCTGGAGGCTGAGGCAAGAGGATCGCTTGAGCCCAGGAGGTTGAGGCTGCAGTGAGCTAAGATGGTGCCATGGCAGTCCAGCCTGGGTGAGAGAGGGAGATCTTGTCTCTTATTAAAAAAAAAACAAAACAGTAGTATAATATGGGGGATGGAAAGGAGGTATTCCTTCCTATATCAGAAAGCAGTTGCATATGGCATGGTGGCCATGCCACAGGAAACACAGGCCTCATGGTCTCCTTTACCACTACCCACCTCTGAGGAGTGTAACCACGTCTTCCAGACCCTTTTTGAATTCTCCTTTCATCTATAGCCCTACCACACTGAAAGCACTCAATCTCTGAATTCTCCTCCCATGAGGGGATCGCTGGCAGCTGGAGGTGGGCACAGGTGCAGGTCCTGTTGTCTCTGCCTGGAAGTCGTCATTGTGTGTTTAGGTGGGTGCAGGGTACATCAGCAGCAACCCTCATGACCCCCGATCTGTGAGGGGGATATTATCAGCTTGGGAACATATGGAAGCCAGGCCCAGATAGCCAGGTTGGCTGAGGATTTGGCTCAAGGTACACAGAGAGTACTTGAAACCACTGAATCTTTCAGTGAGTTTATAATATGGTCCCATTCCTCTCTGCTTGGCCAGTTGCCTGCTTGGCATCCTCCAATTAAACTTGGAAGAAGTGGTGAAAGGAAGTGAAGTAATGTCTTAGCCACAGGTACAATGTGTGTCAATATCCAATGGAGGAGATGTAAATGTATCCTGTATGCCTCAAAGAATACTCCGAATTTACTGTCAGAGGGATATTTTGTCCATAGCATTTTTGCCAAGATTTCCAACACCAAGACTACTCTTCTACACTGTAAAAGCCAGCTTTTACTGCCCTCTTCACACACAGGTGTCACACACACGTACATATGCACGCAGGCACACTCACAGCCATATGCTCAGATTAAGCTCACATTTCCCATTACATAAGAATCTTCTCATTAAAGTGTTATCTCGCAGTCTTGTGCTATCTGGGTTCCCTGGCAGAATGGAAGTAGCTCTAAATATCCTGCCTTTTAGGAAATCTTGACTAAACACTTTGTGTGTTTCAATAGTTTTAAGAAGTCTAAATGCTTTGTTTCAACCTGAAAAGGCACATACGATTTGCAGTACTATTCAGGAAGGAAGGGAGGGAGAGAGGGAGGGAGGGAAGGAAGGAAGGAAAGAAGGAAAGAAGGAAGGAAGGAAGGAAGGAAGGAAGCAAGGAAGGAAGGAAGGAAGGAAGGAAGGAAGGACAATCTTGCTATCCTGTCCATTGTAAATGCTAAATGGAATGGTCTTTCTAAAATTTCTTAATCACCTTCCATCTCTGTAATATTTTTCCCACAAAAAGTAAATGAATATAGAAATAGTATCCTTCCATGTTCTCAGCAAATGAGCTCATTAGTTGTATTTAGTCCCCAGAAATGGAAGCCACCTCCCGTTTGTAGAGTGCCATGATGTTCGAGGTGCTTTGCATTTCTCTCATTCATTCTCACACAAACTTCATGGAGTGTGCAGCGTAAGAACAGCTAATGCTCATAGAATGTTGGCTCTGTACTAAATGGTTTCACCAAATATCTAATTCTCATAACCAGACTGTGGATCATTATCATATGACATTTTAGAAGGAACTGAGGCTCAGAGACATGACGTCATTTGCCTGAAGACACACAATGAATGGCAGCATTGAGATCCAACCCAAATCTGTCTGACCCCAAAGCCTACGTACTTCTTCCTCTTCTGGGTTATGTTACCTCCTGATAAACAGGGAAATTGGGAAGCACTTTACTGTGAATACCTTCAGCTCCCCAAATGGGGCCATCAATCACTTTGTAGTTCATGAGATCTACAGGGCGAGTGACCAGGTGTTCCTAAGAGAGCCTGTCCCTGTAAAGTGAATGTTAGGACTGGTCATGCCCCATGGCTCTCAAACTTTGGTGCACATTAGAATCAAAGAAATTGTGGCTGGGTGCGGTGGTTCACACCTGTAATCCCAGCACTTCAGGAGACCGAGGTGGCACAGGAGTTTGAAATCAGCCTGGCCAACATAGTGAAACCTTGTCTCTACTAAAAATACAAAAACTAGCTAGGCGTGGTGGCAGGCACCTGTAATCACATCTACTCGGAGGCTGAGGCAGGAGAATCTCTTGAACCCAGGAGGCGAAGGTTGCAGTGAGCTTAGATTGCACCACTGCACTCCAGCCTGGTCGGCAGAGTGAGACTCTGTCTCAAAAAAAAAAAAGAAATTGTTTAAGATTTCTGGGCCCTACCTCTAGCTTCCTAACCAATAATAGCCAACCACTACTTCTTTTTCTTTTCAAATGATCCATAAATTTACTGATTTATAATTTCATAGATTCAGACTATGACATTTCCAGTCTTAATAGTTTATTTTGTGAGTAACCGTTGTCATCAGATGTCTTGCTATTAAGAACTTGCAATCTGGTGTGATGAATGAGATCTTTATGGATATACAAATGCTGCAGGAAGGCATAGACTTATATTCAGATAGAGGAGATGTAGTGCCTAATATAGCATAGAACATAAGATAAATCATGTAATCTGGAAAATGGGGATGTTACATAAATACACATTACTGAGGAGCAGAGAGAGTTAATTATGAACTAAAGGAGTTTCATGGCCTCTAATTTTTTTCTTTCATTTCTTAGCTTCAGATGGCTTCTAATTTACATGCCTCTAATTTATATCCCTCTCCCCTCCCTCTCTCCTTCCCTCCCTCCTCCCTTCTTCCCTTCCCTTCCCTGCCCTGCCCTGCCCTTCCTTCTTTCCTTCCTTCCAGAATAGTATTGCAAATAGCATGTGCCTTTTCAGGTTTTTTAAAAAAGCATTTAGACTTAAAACTATTGAAATACCATAAAGTGTTCCATCAAGATTTCCTGAGGTTAATATTATAATCTCAGGTGAACAGAGTATCGAGTGAGTGGAGCTTATAATATTAACCTCTGTTCACTTGCCTTTATGAGGAAGAGGAGCATATTTTGTTTTCCCAAAGCAATAATGTATTAGTGTCAGAATTCCTTTTTATTTTGTTCATATAAATGTAGTTAGTGTTTCAAATCTGCATGTAAAAACTTGTCTTTTAACTTTTATTTATTTAGTTTTGAGACAGAGCCTCACTCTGTCTCCCAGGCTGGAGTTCAGTGGTGCGATCTTGGCTCCTTGCAACCTCCGCCCCCCAGGTTCAAGCAATTCTCCTGCCTCAGCCTCCAGAGTAGCTGGGCTAATTTTTGTATTTTTAGTAGAGACAGGATTTCACCATGTTGTCCAGGCTGGTCGTGAACTCCTGACCTTAGCTTATCTGCCCGCCTCGGCCTCCCAAAGTGCTGGGATTACAGCCGTGAGCCACTGCACCCGGCCTTAACTTTTAAATATATTTTCTTAAACACAGTTATTAAGCCCTTAACATTGTACATCACGTGGCTTGAAATCAGATTTACCATCCTGCAATGGCTCCAACATTAGAAGATTTTTGTCCTCACAGTCCTCAGTCTGTCACCATTTCCAGAGGTTTCCCACATGCTAGTGCCTCTTTGATACTACACTTCCCTGGGAAGGAGAGCTAGGGAAAGTAAAAACAACAATAATGATGATATTAGGACAATTTGTCATGTGAGGTCACAGCAAAGAATTAGAAGAACTAGGAAATGTTTTTCTACATTTTTATTAATACTTTAGGCTGGGGCGTGGTGGCTTATGCCTGTAATCCCAGCACTTTGGGAGGCCGAGGCAGATGGATCACTTGAGGCCAGGAGTTCAAGACTAGCCTGGCCAATATGGTGAAACCCCATCTCTACTAAAAACACAAAAATTAGCCAGACGTGGTGGCGCATGTCTGTAATCCCAGCTACTTGGGAGGCTGAGCAGGATAATTGCTTGAACTCGGGAGGGGGAGGTTGCAGTGATCCAAGATCACACCACTGCACTTCAACCTGAGCGATAAAGCGAGACTCCGTCTCAAAACAAACAAACAAACAACAACAACAACAACAAAAACACTGTATTAATACTTTAACATATAAAATCCACCATAACTCCATATTTAGATGTGCCTACTGATAAACAGGCCCCTGGAAAATAAATAGGTAGCCCCTGACCCCAAATAAGGTAGTACTGCTTTTAAAAAGGTATTGGTTTTGTTTCTGAATAGCGTTTGTTCCAAGATGTATAAAACTGTGGCTCCGGCATATGCTGTAGCTGGAGGGAAAAAAGTTGGGGTGGATTTAATGCTACATCTGTGACCAGTTAGTTACAGTAACCTCCAGGTATTTGGTGGTTTCAACAAAAGTTCTAATACACATTCCAGGCATCCAGAACTATATGGAAGACTGTAAAAAGATGCGGACAAATAATTCATACACCCACTAATTTGCGAAAACTAAAAAGTGCACGTAGTTCCCTGCTGACTTGAAAATGGTGCTCAATTCATTCTTTTACAAGGAAGTTGCCGTGGGTACCCACGCAAGGATAGAGCCTCGAGGGATGGTATGTGCAGACGACACAGGACATCCTGCTGGATCTTATCAGCGCTGACTGGGAAAAATGCACTAAATTATCAGTTCAGGGAGGGAGGGGGTCAGAGAAAGGAAACATTGCAACAGTTACCAGGGCCTCAGAGACACTGACCAATTGTTCCAGCTAGATAAGACACTGGCTTTGGATTTTCACAGTTATTTTTCAACTGTGGCTGATAAGCTGACTTTCATTTGATTTATTTTCTTTTCTCGGACTTATATTTCATGTTTATGGGTGGCCTTCCTCCAAACCACTAATTATCCTCTGTAGTCGCTCTTATTTGCACGATTTGATTGATTTGCTGTAGAAGTTTTGATTTTTGTGGGATTAAACAAAACACACAAATAGCATGCCATCTGCTTGATATACATGTCATTCAGGTCCATAAGAGGCTAACCAATGAGTTCTGGGGTGGTTAGCTGGGTTTAAGTTAGAACACAGAAAAAGCAAACATAAAACTCCCAACAGATTTAAAACAAATTGACAAAGAATTCAAGAAAGCCTAGATATTTTCTAACGTTTTCTGGCCATTTTGTTTTTCTTCAGACAGGGTCTCCCTCTGTTGCCCAGGCTGGAGTGCATTGGTGCAATCACAGTTCACTGCAACCTTGACTTCCCGGGCTCAAGCGATCCTCCTGCCTTGGCCTCTTGAGGAGCTGGGACTACAGGTGCGTGCCACCACGCTTGCAGGCACATCTAAATATGGGGTTGTGGTGGATTTTATATATTAAAGAATTAATACAGTGTTTTTTTTTGGGGGGGGGGGTTGTTGTTGTTTATTTGAGACGGAGTCTCGCTCTGTCGCCCAGGCTGGAGTGCAGTGGTGTGATCTCAGCTCACTGCAACCTCTGCCTCCCAGGTTGAGGCCATTCTCCTGCTTCAAAATTAGCAGTGGCTAATTTTTTTTTTTTTTTTTTTTTTGTAAATTTTCTGTAGAGATGGGGGTCTTGCTATGTTGCCCAGACTGGTCTTGAACTTCTGGGCTCAAGCAATCCTCCTGCCTCATCCTCCCAAAATGTTGGGATTACAGGTATGAGCCACTGTGCCTGGCCATTCTGGTCATTTTGCCTCACTCCTTTGGTCAGCCCCAGTCCTCAGCTAATGCTTTGGCCCCCACTCCTATGGTGAAGATTCCCCACTCTGGATTTCCACAATGTGAGCCGAAGCGACCATTTCCACTTCAGAGGTATTCAAAAATTCTATTCAACAGACATGTTTCATCTACCTGTCCAAAGGTATGGTGCCAGGCTGTGGTCAACGGAAAAACTGATTTGTGCCTGGGTCATAATTTATAAAGGTGACTAAGTGACATCTGAGAGGCCAATGCTATTGAAAGCAAAGATTAAAGTTACTCACAGTTGCCCTATAAACAAGAGGCACCTCAGGCCATGCAAAGCCTGGGGTAAGCACCAGTGCTGATCAGGAGGCAGAAAGGAGTGAGAAGGCCTTGGCCACAGCCATTACTGGGATTTTCACAGGAAAGGCAAGGAGAGACAAGGGAAAGAGCCTAGGATTGGCCAGTTGGAATAATTCCAGTGGCTTTGGGACACAGTTATCCCTAGTTGTCTGGGACCTAGCCCTGGGTTGATTCAGGGCTGGGAAAATATTGGCTTGCTGTGAAAGAGTCAGATAAGGAGGTGGTTGAGAGAGCAGGCTCTGGATCACAGGGGAGGTGTGAGTAACCTTGGCTGTTAGTTTGGCCCTGTGATTAATGAAGGCCAAATAAACAAACTAAGTCCAAACTAAGAAAACACAGTTAGGGCAGGGATGAACAGTGTCTTCTACCAGGTATTCGGAATCCAGTAGCTGAACCAAGTATCATGTAAGCAAATCCAAGATATGCCCTGATAAATGCAGTACTGCACCAGCAGCTTCCATGTGTGATGGGAGTTTGAGGGAGGCAGGTGACTAATGAAATGGAAAGTTTTCTTTCACAGGAGATTTACATCCTCTTTTTTTTTTTTTTTTTTTTTTTTTGAGACAGAGTTTTGCTCTTTCACCCAGGCTGGAGTGAAGTGGCACAATCTTGGCTCACTGCAACCTCCACTTCCTGGGTTCAAGAGATTCTCCTGCCTCAGCCTCCCAAGTAGCTGGGATTATAGGTACCTGCCACCATGCCCGGCTAATTTTTTTGTATTTTTAGTAGACATGGGGTTTTGCCATGTTGGCCAGGCTGGTCTCGAACTCCTGACCTCAGGTGATCCACCTGCCTCGGCCCCCCGAAGTGCTACGATCACAGGCCTGAGCCACCGCACCCGGCCGTACATCCTTTTACACTTAACTAGAAGACCACTGTCATGCACTGCATAATACTTCAGCCAACCATGGACCACATCTATGATGGTGGTCTCATAAGATTATAATACTGTATTTTTACTGTACTTTTTCTATGTTTAGGTACACAAATAACACTGTGTTACAATTGCCTGCAGGATTGAGTAGAGTCACTTGCTGCATGGTTTGCGGCCTAGGAGTAATAGGCTATAGCACGTAGCCTAGGTATGCAGTAGGCTACACCACCTTGGTTTGTGTACATGCACTCTAGGATGTTTGCACAACAATGAAATCACCTAACAACACAATTCTCAGAACGTATTCTCATCATTAAGTGATGCATGACTGTACTTCAAAACCATACAACCCCGCTAGTAAGTGCTACCCTTTTGTACATCGAAGGACATAAGTCAAGGCCTAGCCCAGTGCCTGGCACATAAGAAACATTAAAACAAAGATAGTTCTTGGCCAGTTGCAGTGGCTTACGCCTGTAATCCCAGCACTTTGGGAGGCCAAAGTGGGCAGATAACCTGAGGTCAGGAGTTCGAGACCAGCCTGGCCAAAATGGTGAAGCCCTGTCTCTACTAAAAATACAAAAAATTAGCTGGGCATGGTGGCACATGCCTGTAGTCCCAGCTACTAGGGAGGCTGAGGCAGGAGGATCGCTTGATCCTGGGAGGCGGAGGTTGCAGTGAGCCGAGATCGTGCCACTGCACTCTGCACTCCAGCCTGGGCAACAGAGCAAGTCCCTGTCTCAAAAAAAAAACAGAAAAAAGGTAGTTCTCATCTCTCCCTTCCACCTTGTATTGCTAGGCATCACTGACTTAATAAAAGCCTGATACACCATTCTCTCCCCAAATGGAGGCATTCTTTTTACAATTAATGTAGTTCACAGTTATTTGCATAGTTCTTTTTTTTTTTTTTGAGACAGGGTCTTGCTGTGTTGCCCAGGTTGGAGTGCAGTAGCATGATCATGGCTCACTGTAGCTTTGAACTCTTAGGCTTAAGCAATCCTCCCACCTCAGCCTCCTGAGTAACTGGAACCATAGGCATGTACTACTATACCTGGCCATTTATTTTTATTTTTTAGTTTTTTGGAAACAGGGTCTCACTCTGTTGCCCAGGCTGGAGTGCAGTGATGCCATCTTGGCTCACTGCAACCTGTGCCCCCTGGGTTCAAGTGATTCTTGTACCTCAACCTCCTGAGTAGCTGGGACTACAAGCACATATTTTTTAGTAGAGAAGGGATTTCACCATGTTGGCCAGGCTGGTCTTGAACTCCTGACCTCAAGTGATCTGCCTGCCTCAGTCACTTGAGGCAGGTGTGAGCCACGGAGCCCAGCCTATTTCCCATTTTAAAAACAAAAAGTCATATGGGGTTAAAAAATGCTTGAGTTAATTTTGATTTATTCTTGATTAGCTGGTATGGAATGGTGGGAGAGGCAGCCCAAGGGGTGCCCACGTCTGGACCACTCTGGTGCTGGCCACACCCCTGTCTGCTTGAAGCCACATTGGCATCCCCCCGGTACCAGCGGGATCCCTGACAGCCACTGCCATTCCCTGGAGGGCACCACCGCTCAAGAGGCCTCCTTATGAATTTGGCAAAGAATTTTATAAACTGCAGGCAGGGGGAAGCTTGGAATGTCTTTCTACCACTAGTAAACAGCAGCTCTTTGCTACGGTGAGTGTAACAGAGTTGTTTTCCATTAATATGTGGCTTTACGTGAGAACAAGCTGACACGAGGAGAGCAAACAATTAGAAATGATTTTTCTCATGCAGTAACTATGCAGATTCAATCTCCTCACAGTGGAGGTATAGGATTGAAAAATTGTTTGTCACTCTCTTCTTGGTCCCCAGCATTGTAGGTTTTGTTTCAGTTAGCGTCAAATCTTCTAAGCCAACAGTAAACATCTAATGCACTTGATTAGTGAAGGATGTTGCTATGTGACTCTCCATCATCATACAATGACGTTCACGGCTACTGTCTTTGCACTGTATACTACGTGTCAATCAATCCATTCCTCTCTTGACACAGATCATTTCTATTTATTGTGCTCCATCCCTGCTTCTCACACTTTACTGTATGTGAGAATCATCTGGGCATTTCCTTAAAGTACACATTCCAGGATCTCAAAGGTAGAACTTAGAAATTCTGATTGCATCGGTTTGATGAGGCCCAGGAATTTGGCCTTTAGTCAACTCTCCCTCCCCCAGTTGATCCTGGTGTAGGTGGTCCATGGAGCAGACTTTGAGAAACAGATTTCTAGTTCTTGGTTAAAAATAATTATGCAGGGCTGGGCATGGTGGCTCATGCCTCTAATCCCACCACTTTGGGAGGCCAAGGTGGGAACTTTGCTTGAGCCCAGGAGTTCAAGACCAGACTGGGCAACACAGGGAGAGCCCGTCTCCGCAGAAGATACAAAAATTAGCTGGGCATGGTTGTGTGTGTCTATAGTCCAGTTACTTAGGAGGCTGAGGGAGGAAGATGGCTTGAGCCCAGGAGGTCAAGGCTGCAGTGAGCTGTGATCACACCACTGCCCTCCAGCCTCAATGACAGAGTGAGAGTTCATGTCAAAAAAAAAAAATTATGCGATATAGTCTGTGAATTAATATAAAGCATAGCAATAACTAAAAACAAGTGTTATTAGCACTTGTTGACATAAAATCCTTTCTAGATTTTTTTCAATTTGGCAGCTTTTTATTTATTTATTTAATACATATTAGATGTAGATATTTTCAGGATCCATGTAATAATTTGATAAATTCATATAATCAAACCAGGGTAATAGGGACATCCATCACCTTAAATATTTATCTTTTCTTTATGCTAGGGACATTCAAAGTATTCTCTTCCAGCTATTTTGAAATGAACAATTGGTTAATGTTAACTATAGACACCGTACTGATATATCAAATGCCGGGTCTTATTTCTTCTAAGTGTATATTGTATGTATTAATCAGCTTCTTTTTATCCAAACCCACCCTTCCTGGCCTCTGGTACCCACCAATATACTCTCTATCCTCACAAGATCCTTGCCAGTTTCTGTGTAACCACTATTGCCTGACTTTCTAAAACAAGCCAACAAGAGAGACCTCAAGGTTTTATCGAGAATGTGGGGTTTTGGCCGGGCACGGTGGCTCACGCCTGTAATCCCAGCACCTTGGGAGGCCAAGGCGGGTGGATCACGAGGTCAGGAGTTCGAGACCAGCCTGACCAACATGGTGAAACCCCGTCTTTACTAAAAATACAAAAATTAACCAGGCGTGGTGGCACGTGCCTGTAATCCCAGCTACTCAGGAGGCTGAGGCAGGAGAACTGCTTGAACCTGGGAGGTGGAGGTTGCAGTGAGCTGAAATTACACCACTGCACTCTAGCCTGGGTGATAGAGCGAGACTCCATCTCAAAAGAAAAAAAAAAAAGAGAGAACGTGGGGTTTTTTTGGTCAATGGGTACAAAGTTTCATTTAGGAGGAATAAGTTCTGGTGTTCTATCTCACAGAAGGGTAACTGCAGCTAACAAGTGTATTGTATATTTCAAAATTGCTAGAAGAGAGGATTTTGAATGTTCTCAACCCAAAGAAATGGTAAATGTATAAGGTGATGGCGTATTAGTCCTTCCATTGCTTATAACAGAATACCCGCAGGTGGGTCATTTATAGAGAAAAGAAATTTACTTTTTACAGTTATAGAAATTTATTTCTTGTAGCTGAGAAGTCCAAGGTCAAGCGGCTGCATCAGGTAAGAGCTTTCTTGCAGGTGGGGACTCTGCAGAGTCAACCTAAGGTGGTATAGGGCATCACATGGTGAGGGGCTGAGCATGCTCACATGCTAGCTCATGTCTCTCTTCTTCTTATAAAGCCACCAGTTCCCCGCCATGATAACCCATTAATCCATTAACCCATTAATCTATTAATCCATGAATAGATTAATCCATTCATGAGGGCAGAACCTTCAGGATCCAATGATCTCTTAAAGATCCCATCTCTTGGGCTGGGCGCAATGGTTTTCACCTGTAATCCCACCACTTTGGGAGGCTAAGGCAGGCAGATCGCAAGGTCAGGAGTTCGAGACCAGCCTGGCCAACATGGTGAAAACCCAACTCTACTAAAAATGCAAAAATTTTCTGGGTGCGATGGCACTTGCCTATAATCCCAGCTATTCAGGAAGCTGAGGCAGGAGAATTGCATGAACCCTGACGCGGAGGTTGCAGTAAGCCGAGATCACGACACTGCACTCCAGGCTGGGCAACAGAGCAAGACTCCATCTTGAAAAAAAAAAAGATCCCATCTCTCAACACTGCCACATTGGGGATTAAGTTTCAACATGAGTTTTGGAGGAAACAAATATTCAAACTATAGCAGATGGATATGCTAAACACCCTGATTTAACTATTACAGAATGTATACAAGCATCAAAACATCACACTGTACCCCATAAATATGTACAATTATTATGTGTCAGTGAAGACAACAAATTTTTTTTTTAAAAGAGCGTTAATCTTTTAAAAAATGAGAACTGGTAGTGTCTTTACAGACTAAGAAAAACAAAATCAATATCTAAATCAGCTAAAGGAAACCTTATAGTCTACAGAGAAGGGCCCTAAAGCAGGGAGGGAGGAGGGTTGCTCTAGGTCCTTGAACAGGCAGTAAGTTAGAGAAACAAGATCTTGGCTTTTATTTTTTTTCTTTCTTTAAGCAGGCGGTTAAACATTATTTTTCTGGTTACTGCACATCTGCCCAATGACTCAATAATCCAAGTTCCTTCCTGAGTCTGTGAAATCCCTTCTCCAGGACTCAAGAAAGGCGGGGACATTGGGCATCCAGGGCTGGATCCTGGCACATGCTCCCAGGGCTGTGCCAGACTTCTAACAGCTTCATGTTAAATGCTGTTTTCAATCATAGTTTATATTTTACATCACATAAGCGAGTTTTTTTTTTTTTCCTGTGTTTAAATCTCCCAAGATCAAGTAAGTGGAAGCAAGAGACCCAAATTGCAGGAAAATGGGAGTGGGTAGGGATAAGGGAATTAGGAGGTTAGGCTTGTTTCTCTCACGTCTTGCCCACCATCCCTTGTCCATGTACTGGTGACCGGTGTGGAAACTGGCCCAGTGGATTTTCCTCATTACCTTTTATCTTTATTATCTTCCTACATTTATGATTAATCACCTGCTCATACTCATGCATCTTTTCAACCTTACTCTCTGATATGGTTTGGCTCTGTGTCCCACCCAAATCTCACCTTGGGTTGTAATAGTCCTTACGTGTTGTGGGAGGGACCCAGTGGGAGGTAATTGAATCATGGACGCGGGTTTTTCCCATGCCGTTCTTGTGATAGTGAATAAGTCTCATGAGATCTGGTGGTTTGATAAAGAGTAGTTCTCCTGCACATGCCCTCTTGCCTGCTGCCACGTAAGGCGCGCCTTTGCTTCTCCTTTGCCTTCCACCGTGATTGTGATGCCTCCCCAGCCATGTGCAGCTGTGAGTCCATTAAACCTCTTTCCTTAATAAATTACCCAGTCTTGGGTATGTCTTTATTAGCAGCATGGGAATAGAATAATACACCCTCTTTCCTCTTTGTTAATTCTATTCCCAGATCTTTAGAAAAGCTTTCCACCTTTCTGCTTGCCCCTCTCCCCACATCCACAGCCTCACCACCATCTTCTCTCTCCATCTTTTCATTCTGCTTCTTTGTTTGAAATGGCCTTAGTCATGCCAGGAAAACATTAGAGCAGGGCTAGGGATACATCAGTACTGAGGAAAGACGGAAGCCAAACATTTTGAAATGAGGATGTTAGGATAAAGAGCCAGGGTCAAGAAACTACAAGCATCTTGAAATTGTGAAGTCATCTTCTCTAGAATCTCCAGTATTTCAATCCCATTACATTCCCCTAATTGAATCTGCCTTTGCCAGCCTTTCTGCTAAAATACAATTTCTTATTAAACTTGATTTGGTTTGGTTTAGCTTAGCTCCTAGCATTGAATCAGTGTTGTTTTCTGATTTACTGCAACCCTACTCTGTTGTTTTGCAACTCTACAGCCCTTAGGTACATTATAAAACTTCCATGGGGTTGACCTAGAAACCCAACAATATGACATTGTTCTGTGGGGAAACACATCCTAATCTCAATTCACTGACTGATAAATGTTCTAGCAGGAATACTTGGCTCCCTAGGTGTCTGCACCATGCTGGGCACATAGAGGTGCTCCACCCCAGGACAAAGTTATTTCATTGAGTTGGCAAATTGAGGAGAAACAGGAATTCTATAAGTCATTGAAGAAATCCATCATCGAATGATGCTTTTTTGACAAGAAGTAATATCACTGCTGTTAATAACTGTGACTCCCCAGAAAAAAAAAAAAAAGTCTGCATTTCCTTTTCTATCTTTTAAATTTTGTCGAATCCTATTTTCCCAGCCTTTGTGTCTCTCCCTAGCCACAATCCACTTGTCCTTCAAAGTCTTCCCTGGTGGTTCCAAGTCAAACAGCAGTAGCTGTACAAGTGTTAATGGTAGTAGCTACTATTTTCTTTTCTTTCTTTTTTTTTTTTTTCTTGAGACAGAGTCTCACTCTATTGCCCAGGCTGGAGTGCAGTGGCATGATCCTGGCTCACTGCAACCTCCACCTCCCGGGTTCATGTGATTCTCCTGCCTCAGCATCCCGAGTACCTGGGATTACAGGCACCTGCCACCACGCCCGGCTAATTCTGTATTTTTAGTAGAGATGGGGTTTCACCATCTTACCCAGGCTGGTCTCGAACTCCAGACCTCCGGTGATCCGCCTGCCTTGTCCTCCCAAAGTGCTGGGATTACAGGCATGAGTCACCATGCCCGGCCACCATTTTCTTGACTATTACATGTACCTGAACTAAGTGATAAGAAGGCATCATCTCATTGAATTCTCATGACTCTCCTATGAGATGCAAACCATCATTACCCCCACTTTGTTAGAGAGGAAAGTGAGGCTAACAGAAGTAAAGTACCACATCTAGAAAGTGGCAGAGAAGCCAAGCCCGGGACCTGAGCTACCTGGTTCTCGAGCCCCTAATCATGCTGCCTGCTCCTATCGCCACCATCTGGTTTCCTCCCACGCACTCCTGATAATGCACAATACAACATTCAATTACATTGTTCGTTCTTTTCCAGCAATAGTGTGTTTAGCTTTTATGCTGTGTTAGATTATACGTTGCTACTAACCATGAGGAACATATGATTCAAGAGAACAAAGAAACGACCTTGCTCTGGTGGTTCAGAGCGAGGGTCTTGGGCTAGATTCTGCAGCTTGCCATCTGTGCCCGTCCCTGAGCCCACTCCTCATCTGTAAAGTGGTGCCCATATCATCAAACTGTGATGAGGATTAAAAGAAATAATACATAGGAAGGGCTCAGATGTGGTAATAGAGCAAAAAAAGTTAGTTATTGGTGTTTCGACAGCAAATACAGTCCTAAAATCATGATGTGGCTAAGTAGTTTTCTGAAAACTAATTTGGCAAGGTCACCAGTCTGCTGTGCCATCCATGTTTTGTCTGGGTGGACTTAACTAACATTCCCTGTCTCTCCCCAATGCATCAGCAATATTTCACATTTTTTGTCTTCTGTCTGCCTTCCAAAATTATGAAAACGTTCGCCCTGAGCAGACCCAGGCAGCAGTCTAATCTTTCTGCCCCTTCCCGCTGTAAGAGAAATATGGAGTGGGTTTGGGGTTACCCAAATGACCCCAAATGTTCATTCTGGTCTGAACTCTCCCACTGACCTCCTCCTATCTCTCCTCCTACCCCTGCCCTGTAGGCAAATCCTGCTCCTGTCATCAGTTTCCTCCTCTGCCACAGGAGAGTATGGGCCAGCTGATCTGAAGGTGGCTTCCAGACTCCTTCAGACTTTTTTTTGAAAGAAGTAAATCCCAAGCTGTTGTCACCATCACTGTTTTCTGCTCTTCATAATATCGATGTGTTATGTGGGTGCGTTTGTGTGTGTGTGTGTGTGTGTGTATAGCCATACTGTGTTCCCATGTATGTATGTATATGTGTCAGTGTGTTTGGCTGCATCTGTGCGTGACTGTATATGGGTGTGTTTGTGTGCACCTGCGTGTGACTGTATTTGAGTGTGTGTGCACTTGTCTGTGACTGTGTGTGCACCTGTGTGTCCTGTATATGTGTTTGTGTGCGCCTGTTTCCTGTGAGTGTGTTTGTGTGCATCTGTGTGTGGGTGTATATGAGTGTGTTTGCATACATCTTTGTGTGTTTGTGTGATATGAATATGTTTGCTTTCTGTGTATCTGTGAGAGTGTGTGTGTCTTTGGACATTTCCACAGGGTTGACGTGGCCCAAACCCAAGTGACAAGAAAAGAGGGAATGGTGGTCAGCTCACTTGTGCCTTCTGCGCGACCCACGCAGGCGGACCCCAAAAGCCTAGGAAGCTCGTGGCCTGGATACCGCCCTCAGCGCAGAGGAGGCAGCCCCGGGCGGTGGGCGGGGCGGGCCCGGGCGGTGGGCGGGGCGGACGGCGGTTCTCCGGGCATGCTCGGCCTCGGCGGCTGCAGGCGGGGCGGGTCGCGCTGGTCCCCGGCCGGCCGGAGCGGCGGCGGTGGCGGCGCGAGGCGGCATGAGGGAGCCGCTCGGTAAGTCCCGGCGTCTAACCCTCCTGGCTCCCACCGTCCATTAGGGCCGCTCCCACGGCGCTTCGCGGGCCTCACCCGCAGCCTCCCGCACTCCCCCCAACTTCTCCAGCTGGGACGTCGCTCCGGTTCCAGCCACCCTGGCGGTGGGGGATGTCTGCACCCCCAGTCGCAGCCCCGCCTGGGCCCCCCGCGCGGTGCCTAGCCCGGCAGCCTCGGGGTGGAGGGCGCCTGCCAGCCCGGGAGGGGCGTCCCCTCCCCTCAGGTGCCCCGCTCGGAGCGCGGGGGTCCCGGGGCGGGCACCGCGGGCCGCGGCTGGCGTTAGCGCTCGCGTCGCCCCTCGGCGCGCGGAGGGCCTGGGGGGCCGGGGTCACTCACTCCCCTCTCGAAGTCGCCCTCCCCAGCCTGTGTCCACCAACCCCTCCCGCGCCCTCGCGCCCAGATCTCGCGGACCTCACCCCAGAGCTGACAGCCGCCGCGCTGGGTCCCCGAGGTCCCAGTTCCCACGCTGCCCCGGCCGTCTGGACTGCCCGGGACGGTGGGGGGCTCCCGCCGCGGCCCCGCTCCCGCTCCGGTCTCTGCGCGGTCTGCGCTGGGGATTAGGGCGCTAATCGCAGCTGCCTCCCAGCGAGTGCCCGGGGCCGCCCGGCTCCTGGCTGCGCGTGGGATGGGAGAAGGGCAGGAGCCCCGCCTAGGAGTGCTGTAAATCCCGTTAATTATCTCATTTATGGGATCTGGAACCCGCCCTCCTAGGGTCTCTGCGCTCAGATCTCCGCGGGCACCCTCTACTTCCCCCGTCTCCAGTCGGGGTCCGTTCACCCCCAAAATGCCAGGGTTTGCCTCGATGCCCTGGCCACAGTGGGGCCCAGCACTAGCTGCTAAAAAGCGCCCCTCTCGCTTCCGTCAAGAAGCAGAGCGCCTGGGATTCTTCTGGGCATTTGTAAAGAAGCTGTGATTTCACTACTGAAGAAGAAAATAAAAACGAGAACTTTAGGCCAGCGCTACCTGGGCATGCCCTGGTGTTTGGTCATCCACGCGCTTAAGGAGTAGAGAGGCCTTGGGGGAATTAGCTTGGGCACATCACCTCCCCACACCTACACCCACTCTCCCACCCCCGCACGCACTCCACCCGCCTCCCGTGTCCTCATTCCCTCCCCAAATCTAGTAGCTTGGTCTTAGTCTTGGGGAGAGGGGTGGGGCGGTGCAGACCACACAACTCCCAGGGTTTCCTGTCCTGACAGTTTAATGTGATGTTTCTCCCACAACTTGTTTTCCTTCTCCGGTCTTTTGTCTTTTCAGATTTACAAGGAATAGATAACCCAGAGATTGAGGGCTAGGGTTGCAAAATACAGGGATTTGGGGGAAGGGGCCTGATGGGTAGGATTCGGGCAGCCAGAAATGCTCTGGCAAAAAAAGGCAGTCTGCATGGTGTGAACTGAGGGTCATGGGCTGTACAGGTAAAACTTTGGGAATGTCAGTTCATTTTAGAATTTTAAGACCACCCGGCAAAGCAAGAATGCATACAGGCTTTTTTGGAAATCATATGCAGATTCTATTTCATTGGACTTGTGTTGGTTTTCGTGTGACATTGGGAGTTTGTTAAAGTGGTTTGGTTTTCCATAACGTCTGTGGATTGGGACTTAATTATTTACCTTGACATTAGGTGTCTAATTCTTAGTCACCAGCTTAACAAGCTTCCTGAAGTCTCTAAGTGTCACTGTGGGCATGCAGCATGTAAGAAACTGTTACTCCGCCTGGAGTGGGCGAGCAAATATTTGTTGAACAGAGGCCTTTAATCTGCTGGGCCTTCCTCCTGTAAAACTTCACCCTTTGCTGCAGAGACTGGAAGGTCAGGCCCTTGGCAGGCCCAGGAGAATTAGGGGATTTGGGTGGGTGGAGAAAGCCTGTTTCGGGGAAAAAAGAAGTTTGGCCTGAGTGTCCACATGCTCTGGATGACTTGACAAAGTCATCAGGGTTATCAAATAGCTCATCGAGTGGTCACAGATTCCAGAAGCCTGTGGTCTATTGTTCGGCAGCTATAAAATGTAGCAGGGTTGGAGGTACACAAGGAAAATAAATAAGGACCAATTTTTTCACTTAAAAAAAGTAAATATGAAAAGATTCTTGTAGTCTAATTTTTAACATGCAATTTAAAAATAAATCCTAGAAATGTTATCAGTACAGAAAGCCCAGAAGTCTGTGGCTCCCCCAAGTTCTCACTGGCCAGTTTGGGAGGACAGTAAACACCAGTCATCCTTAGGAGTCCTTAGTTTTTCTTTTAATGAGCTTGGCGAAACTCCATGCTAATTAATCTGGAGAGCGTTTAGAACACAGAGCGTTGGAGTGAAACAATTGTTCTATTGTGTTTTTTATTTTGATAAGCAAAGACTATCTCTCTGAAGTCCTCTGGGCCTATTGCTGAACCCATTACTGCAGTTTACTTGGGTTTTTAACAGATGTTGTTTTTCCTCCTTTGGATGAGAAGGGTTATCTCTCTCATTAAAACCTTGCTCTTGTGCTTTGTTTCAAGGGCCTGCTGATGGAAGGAATGTTGAGGTCCACTGACTTGCAAACGCCAGCAGCCCAGGGAGGGGAGGTGTTGGGCTTTGATATATGCTTTAAACACTAAATGGTGTTTAGAAAAATACAGGAACCCCTCCCCCAGATACTAAAACCTCAATTATCTTGATTTGAATTGAAGATGTCTTGTTAAAAATTTGGATTATCTATAACCAAATATCTTTCCCAACAACTTTCTATAGATATGCTTGGGAATAGCCTGGTTAAATCAATAGGCTGGCAGATTTGTTATCAGATCGTGAAGTATCCTTATAGTTTTGGGCTTATTGGTTGTCTTTATAGTTTACCTGTAAAGATTGTTTTTTCTGTATGTAAATGAAAGAATTTAGATACTATTAGGAAGAAGCACCAAGATACATTCCAAAGAAGGAAAGAAAAAAAAAAAAGCAAGCAACTTGTCTGTGTAGGAAGAATAGTTAGAGAAACAGAAACCAGATTGTTGCTACTGGTTATCTCTTGGCACAGTGGGGTTACTAGGAACTTTTCCTTTTTACTTAAGCACTGAGTTTTGCAGTGTTTACTTTTGAAATCACTTTACATGACTTTTGTACTTAGGAAATAAATAGAAATGTAAAGATCATATGAAATAATTTAAGTCAAACACTTTGATAAAGACTTGGCTTTTTTTTATTCTGAAGATATTTAAAAACAAAACCAAAAGAAGGGTAAGTTTAATGGAATATTTAAGGTATCTTTACATGTGGAGCTTGACATACATGATGATAAGGGAATAAAACTCTAACCTATGATGATGTTTTACAGCTATTTTTGCAAATAGCCAAAAATTCCAAAAGATTTAAAAATCTTATCCAGTTTGAGTCCTTTCTTAATGACTTCTAATCTTTCAGAAATGTTAATGAGGTACTTAAGGTCTCATAAAAATATTGCTAGCCAAAGCAATAATTGTGTGACACAGAATTTAGAGGTGAAAGAGAAGACAGGAGAAAGAGTGTGTGTAAGTGCATGTGTGTGTGTTCACATTAGTTGTGGAAAGAAAAAAAAGAGGAGTCAGAAGGGATAATACTTAGGAAAAAAATTCAGTGCATAATGTTGGGGACTTTTTTCTTTTTCTTTCTCTTTTTTTGAACAAATGCCTTAATACCAATCCACCCCAGCAAGATTAATGTTCCAAGGTCCTTTTGATCTTAGACACAAGTTTTCCAACTCATTTGTTTTTTGTCACCTTAAAGAAACCTAAGGATGTCCTCCTAAAATGATTACTTCACAGATTAAGTATGATTTTTTACATCTTGTGAGATTTTAACAACTTGACTGCCTTGGCAGAGTTGGTCATCACACGTGTGGTATGGTAACAGCAGTCTGTGAGAACTTGGTGTCCCAGGACTTCAACTGGGACTGTTGCGTTATTTAATAATTAAGACTGGAAAGGGAAATAGCAATTCTATTGTTCATAGTAAAATACACAATTCTACCCTTAGGAAAAAATCTGTGGAAAGCATTAAAAACCTACGTGTCAGTTAGCAACATACTCCATTCTGGTTTGTTTTATGTCTTGGTGATTTACCTCTTGTTTAAAGAAAGTACTTTGTTATATATTAATCATAGCATTAGACCTAAATGTTGTCAGTTGAAGAGATATTTACACTGAACTGCCAACAATTTGAGGGACCAATTACATCTTAAGCATGGAATGTCAGTGAATACAACTGAAAAGTTTTAGGTCTTTTAGAGGAGTAACAATGTCTAATTAAGACCTTTTTAGAATGCTGGTTGTAACCTTGTATTAGATTTCTTCAGCAGCACATGTGATTTTGGCTTCCTGAAAACAGGTTAAGAGTCTCTCTGGCAGATAAGGCACATGTACCATATACTAGAGCCTTATGTGATTTACTACTCATTTATTCTTTTCTTCAATGTTTCTTTTATTGTCATTGAGGCTTCCAAATACCTAACCTATTTTTAAAGATGCATTTTCGGCCGGGCGCGGTGGCTCACGCCTGTAATCCCAGCACTTTGGGAGGCCGAGGCGGGCGGATCACGAGGTCAGGAGATCGAGACCATCCTGGCTAACACGGTGAAACCCTGTCTCTACTAAAAATACAAAAAATTAGCCGGGCGAGGTGGCGGGCGCCTGTAGTCCCAGCTACTCCGGAGGCTGAGGCAGGAGAATGGCGTGAACCCCAGGGGGCGGAGCCTGCAGTGAGCCGAGATTGCGCCACTGCACTCCAGCCTGGGCGACAGCGAGACTCCGTCTCAAAAAAAAAAAAAGATGCATTTTCCTCATCTAACCTAAGCAGCATTTCATTTATGAAAGTTTTTTTCTGATGATGAAATAGTTATATATAACTTAATTAAGTTATGTAATATGTTAATATATTAAGTTATGAATAATGATGATTGGTGATGAAACAATATTGTTATATTAAATTATATAATAAGAATGTGGATATTATATATGTTGTTATATATACTTAAGTTAATATTAAGTATATAAAGTTAAGTATAGTAAGTATATGAAATTGCCAATATTTGACTATTTTTGACCTGCAAAATGACAATTTCATATGATTGGACCTAATACATTTCATGACAGAATATCATAAGATTCAGTAAAGTATAAATAAGGAAATTTTTCAAAAACTCAGAGTCCATCACCTCTGCTGACATTTTGGTATGTTTCCTTTCAGTGTTTTTTCCCCTTTCAAGTACATATGTATATAAACAAATTTGGTATGACATTGAATCTAGGGTTCTGTATCCTGTCTTTATTATTTAGCGTGGTATCACGAGCATTTCCCTGTGCTGTTGTATACCTGAAAACATAATTTTATGTATGTGTATACATATTATAGTCCACTATATGGATGCACCAGAATTTTTTTTTGAGATGGAGCCTCATTGTCGCTCAGGGTGAGGTGCAATGGCACGATCTCGGCTCACTGCAACCTTTGCCTCCCAAGTTCAAGCCATTCTCCCACCTCAGCCTCCTGAGTAGCTGGGACTACAGGCGCATGCCACTACACCTAATTTTTCTTGGATTTTTAGTAGAAACGGGGTTTAACTGCGTTGGTCAGACTGGTCTTGAACTCCTGACCTCGGGTGGTCTGCCCACCTCAGCCTCGCAAAGTGCTGGGATTACAAGTGTGAGCCACTGCACCTGGCCCAGAATTTTTTTTTTTTTTACTAAATTAGACATTTAGTCTAATTTTGTTATTATCATAATTAAAACTGGGATAACTATCCTTATACAAAACAGTGTGTATCTCTGATTATTTCATTAGGACAGATCCTAAGAAGTGAGATTATTCCATAGGGTTTCAGATGTTTAAAGATTTTGTTACATATTAATAATTCTTTTCTTTTCTTTTCTTTTCTTTTTTTTTTGAGACAGAGTATCCGCTCTGTCACCCAGGCTGGAGTGTAGTGGCACAATCTCCGCTCACTGCAGTTTCCACCTCAGGTTCAAAGGATCCTCCCACCTCAGCCTACTAGGTAGCTAGGACTACAGGTGAGCGCCACCACGCCTGGCTAATTTTTGTATTTTTAGTAAAGGTGGGGTTTCACCATATTGGCCAGGCTGGTCTCTAACTCCTGACCTCAAGTGATATGCCTGCCTCAGCCTCCCAAAATGCTGGGATCAAAGGTGTGAGCCAGTGAACCTGGCTAATCACTTTTAAGAAGGGAAATACTCATTTTCATTTACATATAGCCTGCACCCCCCACCCCCCACCATTTATACACACACAAACAGGAGAACCCTTATAGCTCCTCATGCCCTTACCAACAACAAGCATTGCTTTTTAAAAGCTTTAATCATCTCATAAGTGAATAATGGCATTTTGGTTTAATTTGCATTTCTTTGATTACAGGTGAGGGTGACCATGCTTTTCATCTTTTTAATAGTATATTTGTCTCTCTTTTTAAAGTTAATTTTTAGTTTGTGTTCTAGGCCAATTTTAAAAAGGAAAAAAGTTCTGGTTGATTTAATGAGTTCCTTAATGTTTTGTTTCCTTTCACTGTCTTGAGCATTATAACTGTAAATATGAGAATTAAAATGCTTATTTTTATAAATGGAAAGGAAGGAGAAGATGGTACCTGTTAAATGGCATTCATTTGCCAGTCCTAACCTTTAGTGATGAGAAGATCCGTAATTGAAATAATACCACCTAGACCATAGCATCGCAAGGGAGGGTGCTGACGGGGTCTTATTTGTCTTTATATTCTTCAGCCCAGTGCCTGGCACTTCCAATGTAAAACAAGTGCCCTGATGAATTTACGTTGGCGTAAGCGTGCAGCACCCGCACTCTGGGATGGAGAATTGCTGGATGTTTCGCTCCTGGCCTGCCTTCCCTAGCCCACTCCTTTCCTCAGTGGGTGGCCATTTATCCCTACTCTCTTGGGTGGCCTCTGCATGGGTGCTAATAAGGCCAAGGTCAGAGGTTCTGTCTTCAGATGACCTATTTAGCCCTGTTCTGTGTCGTGGCCACAAGCTGTACTCTTTTTCCTGGGGCAGCTGACTTCGATGCCTGCTGCTCATCACAGGCGAGAATAGGCTAGAGAAAGGGGCCTGCTTCCTAGAGCTAGAAGGACTCTAAAGAACCTCTAGTTCAGCCTTCTCATTTTACTCCTTCAGGAGAAGACTGAGACCCAAAGGGTTCTCTCCTTTCCTCCTGTGCAGTGACTCAGGCTTGATTCACCTCACAGATAAATACCGTGCACCATGGAGAAACAGACACTCATCCCAACAGCGAAGCGGGAGGTAACCCAGCCCCATGCCCAATGTCAGTGGATCGTTAACAGCAACTTCCTAATTCTATAATCCCTTCCATTTGAATAGACACCATAGAGCTAATATTTAAAGAACTTTGAAAAGGTGCCATGCAATAAGATCACTGCAAGTGGTCTTATTCAGGTTCTTTGGAAGGACAAATCATTAATCTTTGATGAGAATCCATTTGATGATTTGGGGAAAAGAGAATTTTGTGAGACTAGGTTGGTTAAATCAAAATAAAATGAGCTGTCATCTTCTCAAACCAACAATTATTTTCAGTTTCTATATTTCTATTAATGGAATGATCATTATCCTCGTCACTGAGGCTAAAATCCATTGTACTTCTTCTCCTGAAAATTACTCTTATTATTCCTTTTTTTTCTTATCCCCTCTGCCAGCCCCCTGTGCATGTTACAATAGAAAGGACTTGTAACTACAGGTCCCCCATCTGTTCTCGCTCTATCCACTTTAGTCCCCTGCTTTTCTGCCAGATTTCCCTTGCCCAAACCCATTTGTAGTTTGCTGTTGTCTATTCAAATTAAGTCCAAATTCTATTAATGTTGCAGATAAGAATGGCTATTTCTATATAGGACTTTTTTTTTCTTTAAGAATTTATTTTTTTAAAGTTACTCATCTCCCACTTATTATAGATGTCGTTTGTATACATTTCAGTTTCATACAGCAGGCTTTATGATAGCCCCATGTTATTTATGAAAAGCTCAAAACTCCAAATGATGAAAGAGGTCTGTTAAGGTCACAAGGCAATTGCATGGTGTATTCAAGAACGAATCATATTACTGAGCATTTAAACATTAACACCAGCGTTGCCATCAAGACATTATAGCCAAGTGAGGCATCAACTCTTGTGTGTGTGTGTGTGTGTGTGTGCGTGCGTGTGTGCGTGCGTGTGTGCGTGTGGTGTGTGAGAAGAGTCATCTAGAAGAGCCATTCTGCTCCTAGAGAATAAAGGAGAATTTTTTTCCTTTTAAATATATGGTTTTTAATTTTAATGCCACCATGCCTTCTCTCTTAGCTTATTTATGTGTATGGATTATTTGGTAAAGTAGGAAACTTTTTTGATGTTAAGGAAGAAAATATAGATGAGTGAACCTAAATTAGTAGCCTGAACTTTGAAGCTAGACAGACCCAGTTCAAACCATGGATCTAACACAAGCTGTGTAACCTTGGACTGTCAGCCTCAGTTTTCTTGTGAAAATGGAAACATTCCTGTCTACGTCGAGAAGTTTGCTGGAAGCATAGAATGAATGAAAGTGTGCCAGTACAGAATCTAGCACATTACAGATGGTCATGAATAGTTGATGTTATTAGATTTCATGTGTGCTGCAATCCTGGGTTTATAGTTCAGGTTTTTCCTTGGAGTTGGTAGAGGAAGAGTTTATTGGGCTGGTGGGGAGGGAAGAATCAGTTAACTACGATTGAAAGATATTCTTGCTAAATATAATTACCATGCAAACACATAACCATATTGGACCAACCTATCCAGCCCCAGGAAGAAAATGGCCCACATCTGTGTTTTGTGAGGGTTATGTCTTCTCTGCCATTCTGACAAATGGACTGTAGCACAACCAGCTGTGTGCTGCACATGCCTGTTCCTTAGTGTATTCGGTGGCCATTTGGAGTACAGTGCAATTTGCTTTTATTTTAAAGAGCCCGGCATAGTAAGAGAGAGAAACTGAGTGTTGTGAGACCTAATGCTAACTTTAACTGTGATGCTGACCCTGTGTGTGATGTTGAACCAGTGAGCCTGGGGACTTTGTTCTAGTCTGCCAGGATTCTGTTACTAAGCCATTAATTTCTTTTCTTTCTTTCTTTTTTTTTTTTTTTTTTTTTTTTTTTTGAGACAGGGTCTTGCTGTGTCACTCAGGCTGGAGTGCAGTGGCATGATTTTGGCTCATGGCCACCTCCGCCTCCAGGGTTCAAGCGATTGTCCTCCTTCAGGCTCTTGAGTAACTGGGATTACTGGTGTTTGCCATCATGCCTGGCTAATTTTTGTATTTTTAGTAGAGACAGGCTCTCACCATGTTGGCCAAGCTTGTCTCAAACTCCTGGCCCCAAGTGATTCACCCACCTAGCCTCCTAAAGTGCTGGGATTATAGGTGCGAGCCACTGTGCCTGGCCCCATTTCTTTACCCTTGGGATAATTCTACTCATAATCTATTTTAAATGCCAGTTCCCCTTCTCATACACAAACACATGCTCTTTGCCTAATGAACTCCTAACCATTCTTCAAAACCTAGCTCAAACACTTCTGTCTCTCATTTGTGCATTTTCTCAACAAGTATTTATTGAGTTCATACTGTGTGCAAGTTGCTGGGGATAAAGCATCAAACAAACCAAAGACCCTGCCCTAAAGCCTGACTCTGTGTTCCTAAAGCCCTTTGCTTGTGATGGGATCTCATTCCTCTGTAATCCCTCCCATGGTGGAACTTACTCTGTTGAATTAAAGAACAAACCCTTGCTTCTCTGGTCCTTCTTTGTCTGTTGAAGCAAATGACCCAAGTTGTACAACTCCTTGAAAGACATGCAGTAGGAGTGTCAGGAGTGGCAGAGTTGCTATGGAGATTTTTCTATTAGTACAGTAGCTGCCAGAGCTTGTCAGCTTCCATAAAATGTAGGGACATAATGGAAAATTATCAACTTCCAAAGTTTGATACTCTCCATGCTGACAGGCGAGACTTTCCCTACTGTAATCTAGCAGGTGATGAAGAGTGAGGACAGGCAAGCAGAATTGTGCGACAGACCCGAGTAAGAGCTCCCAGTGACAGGAAGCACATGCCGCAGGCATCTTCCTTTCACCTGCACACGGGCCAGCAGGCGTTTCCTGGCCATTGTTCGCCATGGCTGCAGCGGCTCTATTTCCGTCCACCAGTGAAGTGGGGTTGGAGCTGGCTGAGCTTTTTGATGGGGCTGGCTTTTGTGGCTTTTGTGTGTCTCTCACCCAGGCCAGCATTACCATCAGCCCCCGTAGAAGCAGTGGTGGGTGTATCCGTCTGACCAATCCGTCTTACGCCTTATCATCAAAGGGAAGACTTAGGAAGAAAGATGTTCTCATGTAGGAATAAACAGGGCGGCTCTCCCTCTTTTGCTCGTAGGTAGGTTTCTGCCCATTTTCATTCTTCTTTGTGGGTACTCTTGTTTTGTGCAGTTTACACTGGAGGAAGTTGCTGCTGTTGATTCAGGTACTATAGCAGGATTTGGGTGTGGACATCCTTGGCTGAGAGATGCAAAAACTTTTCCCCAAGATCTACTGGGAAGAAATTTGATTCATAAAAGTTTCATAAGGAGGCCGGGTGTGGTGGCTCATGGCTGTAATCCCAGCACTTTGGAAGGCAGAGGCGGGTGGATTACCTGAGTTTAGGAGTTCGAGACCAGCCTGGCCAACATGGTGAAACCCTGTCTCTGCAAAAAAATACAAAAAATTAGCCAGGCGTGGTGGCATATGCCTGTATTCCCAGCAACTCGAGAGGCTGAGGCAGGAGAATCGCTTGAACCCAGGAGGTGGAGGTTGCAGGCAGTCGAGATCATGCCACTGCACTCCAGCCTGGGCAACAAGAGTGAAACTCTATCTCAAAAAAAAAAAGACTTTCATAAGGAAAAGAGAACTCTGGGCTTGTGTAGTGAATTGGGTGTGTATGATTGATCAGTGTGTTGTTTTCTCGTCATGAACCCAAAGAGTTAAAATCTATTTTTGGTTGCTAGTTAACTGCCCCGGGGTGGCTGCCCTGGCAGTTGCTGTTTCGATGGCTTCCGCTGAATTGTATCATGACTGTGTTGATTAAAGATCTCACTCTCTCCTAGAGCAGAAGGTATGTCTACAAGATGAAAGCAGGGGCGTGTCCTAAGATTAAGCTGGATATTGGTGGTTTCTCTTTTTAGAAACATGAAGCAGTCATTGCAGCTCCCAGGTCTGTATTTTTTTTGTCCGCACTCCTTCCGCCTGCTGTTTGTAGGTGAGTGGGACAAGGGGAAGGTGGACAGTGTTAATCATGTCACTGCTTAAGCACCGTGCCACATGCTCTTCTACCAGAGGCAGCCATCGAAGGGTGAGGTCCTCAGGGTTCCACCACATCATTTAGAGTCAGAGCCACACCCACTTTCTAGGTGAATAGAATGGAGAGTAATTTCAGGCAGAGCCATCCCTGTGTCCCCTCTTTCTGTGCAGGTTCTGTGCTGTGTCCATCGCCATGGTCTGGTTTGGTGGGGGGACCACGGGAGGAGGAGGTGTCAGACTGACCTCTAGGGAGACCTAGTCACAAATAGAGCTCTCTGTTGTCCTGCAGTGCTGGGTCCTGCCACCACCATGGTTCCAGTGGTTGAGCTTTGCTGAAGCCCAGGCATCATGTACAGTGTAGAAGACCTCCTGATCTCTCATGGATACAAGCTGTCAAGAGACCCCCCAGCATCACGCGAGGATAACCCCAAGGGGCGCCAGGCAGCGAGGACTGGGACACGAGCAGGCCAGGGCCTGCAGAACGGGCATGAGGATGGCCCTGCGGCCCTCGCACATCGTAAGACGTCCGCGGGGAAAGGACATGTGAGTGACTCCGAAAGCCGCCGCAGCACACCGAGAGGCCACGGGGAGCCCCAGAGCACTTCTGCTTCCAGAACCTCGGAGGCGGGGTAAGTTTCACTGTGAACCCACCGTTTTCTTTTGACTCAGGAGTTTGGCGGTGGGTGATGTGTAGGTAAACTCTTTCAAATCTATATTTGGCCAGGGCCAAGGAGGGAGAAATGGTATTAGACACAAGAACACTTTTTTTGCTTTTTGTTTTGTTTTGTTTTTGAGACGGAGTCTTGCTCTGTCGTCCAGGCTGGAGTACAATTGTGCAATCTCGGCTCACTGCAACCGTCTCCAGGGTTCAAGCAATTCTCCTGCCTCAGCCTTCTGAGTAGCTGGGATTACAGGCATGTGCCACCACACCTGGCTAATTTTTGTATTTTTAGTAGAGACGGGGTTTCACCATGTTAGTCAGGCTGGTCTCGAACTCCTGACCTCGTGATCTGCCCGCCTAGGCCTCCCAAAGTGCTGGGATTAGTGAGCCACTGCACCCGGCCACCTTTTTTAGAGACAAGGTCTCACTCTGTTGCCCAGGCTGGAGTGCAGTGGTGCAGTCATAACTCACTGCAGCCTTGACCTCCTGGGCTCAAGTGATTCTCCCACCTCAGCCTCTCGAATAGCTGGGCCAGGTGCACACAACCACACCTGGCTAATTTTTATTTTTTGTAAAGACAGAGTCTCACTGTGTTGCCCAGGCTGATCTCTAACTCCTGGCCTCATGCAGTCCTCCCACCTCAGCCTCCCAGAGCACTGGGATTAGAGTCATGAGCCACCACACCCAGCCCAAGATCACTTGTTTCCACTGTGATATTCAGGGTGTTCCAGCAGCACTTAGCACAGGGCTTGGCCATAATGGGCCTTCAATAAATAGCAGTGAGTAAACACATTCTGTCATGCTAAATGCCATGTGTTAGGACTCTGCTTCTTGGTTCCCTTGTAATCTCTTCATCTTGCCTCAGATAGGAGTCATTTTAGAACTTTGTAAAAGCTATTTCACAACCACGCACCCATTCACAGTATATTTGGCTTTCTTATTAACACAATTCAATATTTTGCAGGTTACAGAGAGTGAAAAGGGCTCTGTATTCCCCTCCGTTTGTAAAACAAAACGTTTCTTCTGGTATATTCATATCATTCCATTGGCTTCTGACCTATCTTTTCCTTGCACGCACACTGGCCCTAATGTGGGCATCCCATCTGAATACAGCTGCATCTGTGGGTGTTTCCTTACAACAAAAAGAGAGGGCGGTTTAGCTAGGGGAACAGGATGGTAAAAAAGGAGAGAATTTCGGCAGCTTGCCACAGAGCCAGGCTGGGAGAGGAGCCCTGAAACCCTCTCCCAGGCGGTTTCCACCTGGAGGAAACCTTTGTCATCCCTTCCTAACACTGTGTTTGCCTTTAGTGCTGCACTGGGACCAGGCACAGATTGGGGAGGAAGAGCTCTGAGTCTACAGAGCGTGTTATGTAACTGCATGTCAGCAGTTAGATATGGACAAAGGACACAGACGGAATCAGGGACCTTTCTTTAAGAAAAACAAACAAACACACAAAACAGGCAAGTCTGATGGGAATGAACTCGCCTTCCATGGTTCGAGGTCACCCTTGCAGACAAAGGACCTTCCTTGTTGGTTGACAGTTTTCAGGCAAAAATGGGAAGGATTTTGTTTTTAGTCAGAGCACTTAACACATTATTGGAGAAAAGCAAAGGTGAGAGCCCTCGTTTCTGCCCAGCGTAGTAAAAGCAGGTTTAAGTTGCCAAGTCAGATGCTTCTCCAGCGAGGAGCAAGAGGAGTTAGCACTGATGGAGCCAGGCTCAGGGGGGAAAATCACAATGAAGAAGGGGCTGGAAGCTGTTTCTCTTTCACCTTGTGCTTCAGAACTCACACTTCTGTCGACTACTGTCAAGGCCTTCACTTTCTTGGCTGCCATTTTCCAGCATGGAGCTGGAAAAGGGGTCTTATGGGTGAGTTGTCTGAGGGTTCAGATAACCTTAGTGACTACCACACAAACGGGTGCTTGTTTTTGTTTTGTTTTTTCATTTAGTTTTCTGCTGAGTATATTTGTACCTTCCAACTTGGATATCAAGGTACTGAGATTGTACCTTGTCTCCTATTTCTTTTGTTTCTTGTACAGAGTCTTACAGTACAGGGCATATATGGTTATTTAATACATGCTCATGTGCTCAATTTATTCTTTCCCCAATTGTAGCAACTGTTGAAAAGCAGAACGGTCAGTTTCTAATGAAGTAAAGACAGGGCTATGGAATCCCTGCAGATGGACCATGTAGGTTACGTGGGGTCTCCCTCAAATTTGAGGGGCTGGATCAGAGTTGAGTCTCACGGTGGGAGGCAGGAGAATCCCCTTTAGAATTCTGTGTGGGCAGTGTGGCCGCCAACCTCATCCACAACTCGCTCAGGACTTTCTAGCCCCTTGTGTGGTAACAGGTTCCTGAGGACTACGGCATAATCAGATCTGCAAGCTGCCTTTGTTTCCATCCTGAGTGAAGGGCTCAGATAAGTGGCTTTGTGTAGCCCTGGGATGTTTTCATACAGATGACAGAGTTCTCGACAGATCTGGCCTCTTGTCCATGTTGTTGAGATTGGCCGATTCACTTAGATGGTGTAGAGTGGCTTTTGGATTGAAGGTTGGCTCCTAGGGTAGAAATAGCAAATGCATACATGTTTGCAGACATCCCTGCCAGTGCCCCAAGCTTCAGAGACTGGCTGCAAGGTTCCCTGGGTTGAAATGAAAGACTTTTTTTTTTTTTTAGGTGCCCAATAGAGAACTGAAAATTGGAGGGAAACAGAAAGGTAGGCATGAAGGAGAATTGTTTTTCCCCATCAGAAACAAAGTGCTTTGGGAAAAAGTAAATAGGTGTCAATAGTTAACAGCTTAAATTTAAAAAAAAAAAAAAAAGCCAATACTGCTATGGCTTATGTGAATTCTGAATCTGATGAATAAATGGTGCTGTCAGATCCCAGTCTTTGGTTACTCAAAAGCACAGCTGTGGTCTTGCTGCCTCCTCCATCCCACACAGTGACCTCTGCTGGGCTGGCCTCCCGGTCTAGGGGGTACCTGGGGCCCGGGATAGCCCTGTCCAACTTGAAGCCATCAGCGTGATTGGGAAGGGTCACGAGAGTTCCTCTTCTGCAGTTTCTTGGTTGAGGGCTGCCTTAAAGTGTGTCCCCACACTTTGAGCCAGTCCTCAACACCCCACTCATGTCCTGGGAAAGATGGAGATCAAGGTCATTTGGAAGGCCACAGGGGCTGAATGAAAATTTGTTTTATTCTGACAGAATAGTGGAGACCTAGGCATGTTGGCAATATTATTATCTTAGAACTGAAGAACATTGCATTCATCCAATGTGTGCTGCTGTAACAGGCTGGGTAATTTATGATGAATGGAAATTTATCAGTTCACAGTTCTAGAGGCTGGGAAATCCAGGGTCAAGGTGGTGGTATCTCATGAGGGCCTTCTTGCTGTGTCATCTCATGGTGGAAGGTGAGAGAGTGAGATCAAACAAGAGAGGGCTGAACTCATCCTTTTATAAGGGCACCAATCCCACCTAGGAGGGTGGAACCCTCATTACCTCATCACCTCTTAAAGGTCCCACCTCTTAATACTGTTACAATGGCAATTAAATTTCAACAGGAGTTTTAGACAGAATAAACATTTAAACCATAGCCAACACAAAGCCCAGAGGATGTCACTGGCCATCAATGGCTGCTCAGTGCAGCAATGGAGGGAGCCCAGCTTGAGCCACAACTTCCCCACCCCCCGGGCTGCCAGATGCCTTGGGGCTGCCACCCTGCAGCAGCACTGGGCCTGGCTGAGCTCTCCCCAGGTGAGGCCTGTTTTCGTTTGAAAGGAGCACTTGATTCTGTGAGCTCCTGGGGTTACCATCGCTGGATGGTCTTTTCTCAGTCCCTTGTCCTCCACCCTCCCCCTGGCATGCATGGACGTGTGACAGCTCTCAGAGCCCAGCTGTGTCCCTTTCCTGTCTGGGAGAGGCCTATAAAGACTGCATCCTGACCTGTCTACACGAGATAATGCACATAACACTGCTCTTCTGTGGATGTTGTAAAGGGAGCATACATGGAAGGCAGGATTATCCATCATCTGGGGCTTAGCTGGAATATCAGCATTGTCTGGTGAGAATGGTCAGGACTGTTCCTTACCCTGTAATGATTAGTATCAGTTTAGAACAGAGTTTCTGATTTAAAGACCAGCTCTATCTAGTAAAATTTTTTTACTTTTTTTTTTCTTTTTCCCTTTCTTACTCGAGGGACTTCTAGTAAAACTTTAAAAAAAACAAAACACAAACATGAAGCTTTGATGAGATTTTTGAGCATACAGGACACTTGTTTCCTAATGTGCTGAGGGGGCTGTTGCTTTGAGCTTTCACTATTAGCAGATCAAGTAGTACTGAGCATCTAGGACAGGAGAAGAATGACAATTCTGTTGGGGAGAAAGACAAAGGAGCATGTGAACTTGCTAAAAATCTCTTAGGTGCAAGTAGTGGAGAAGGACCAAGAGTTGGTTCTCCTTCATACATAGTTTATCTAAATTGATGAGTAGACAGTAATTGTTTTTTGAAGCTACATGTTAACGTGTTGGGCCATCATTCGTATGACTGGTAACTTTACCAGCGTTTAAAGCACAGCAGATGGACTGTGAAGCCTGACTGTGGGACCCCTGGCTCAGGGGCCCTCCTTGCCCCCAGGCTGAAGACTTCCTAGCAGTAAAGTTTCCCTCCTTCATAGATCCTTTGGGAGGCAGGAAGTGGAACCTACCTGAAAGGAAAGGGAGGGGTCGTTGTAAGGATTCATGGAGAGATTCACGGACCATTCATAGGAAATGGAGAAAAACTGGCTGGCCTCATTAGAAATGGAATGAGAAGGTGTCCCCCTGGATTGTGGGTTATTCCCCTGGGGACTCATTCATCTCTGTCCCCCATTGCCACCCATCTCTGCCTCCCATTGCCACCCATCTGTGCGTCTCCGGGTACTTGTTTTGCTCCTCTTCCCTTCCCTGACAGCTTCTGCTTCCCCGTACCTCTGGCTGGCAGAGACTTAGACTCCGCCCTTGCTCCCCTTGATGGCTTAGCTTCAGAACCCACTGCTGTCAACTGCCCGCATCTCTTAGTTGAAACTTTTGAAAAAATTGAGTTTCAGACAGCCGGTGGATGCTTGAGTACTGGGTTAGGGTGTCTCCCCGCTCCGATCAGAGGGGAGGGGCTGGACAAGGGAGAGGTAGGTTGGATGGGGAGGAGGGAATGACCAGGCATGGGTGCCTGAGCTTTCCCCACTGCAGGTGCTGCGGGTGAGGACAGTTTCCAGGCCACAGGGACTCCCTGTGTACCCCAAAACATGTTCTCTTCACAGACAATTTGACAAATAACACTAAAGACTTGGCATTTTCCCCTTTTTAAGTCGTTGACTCCATAGAGAGCTCATCTAGATGCTAGCCCGCTCCTAAATGGTCTCAGTTAACAGACTGTAGTGATGAAACTGGCTGTGGGCTTTGCATGAAAGGCACTGACGTGGTCCAGGAAAAGACTCACAGGCCATGTCCAAAGCTTGCCTGCTGAAACACACACACACACAAACACACACACACAGTAAGAGGAAGTAGGCAAAGAGGAAAAACTGTGTTATCTGCACATGGAGGAAACTGCATGCTTAAAATACAAGTAGCCAAAACTAAATAATACTTAACGACCATTAAAATATGTAAAAGGCTGTTATCAGGCACTCAGGGTTTCCTTAATGTGTTTCCTTTGAAATATTATAATCAGAGGAAGCTGTAAAATACACTTAACATAGCAGAGGTTTGAAGCTGAAAGTTATACCATAATTGGCTCTTCTCTGCATAGCCCCAGGAATTCTGGTAAGATTTTTTTGTTAGTTACCCATGAGAATAACTTGTAATTATCTCCTGTCATCAGCGGCAGTTGTAACTAATGAGAGACTTAGCAACCTAGGGAGAGTCTCTGATGTGGTGGTCTGGGGCCCTCATCTTGGGAGGTTTCTATTTGATCAGTAAACATCCATTCTAGATAGTGCTACTGGATATGGTAAACAGTTCATTTTCAGGGTCTTTTAAAGCTTCTCTTAAATCATATCCTGCTTATAAGGGTTTTCCAAAAACAGAGAATGCTTCAAGTTTAACATCTGTTTCTATGTTCCTCTTTCTTTTACAAACTTATGAATCCTCAAACACGATTTGCCTTTTCACTGCTTGTTTCCATACTAAGCATTAGCTGTTGGTATTTTGACCTTGTTACGAGGCAAAGCCTCTCTTTCTTGAGGGCTGGCATGCTCATGAACACCAGGAAGACACAGGCCGCCTCTTCCCTCACTGTCTTCTGTATGCCCTTCTCCTTGGTCTCGTTCGTAAGTGTGGAAACTTCCAGAAGCGCCTGGAAGCTGGTCCTGTCTCCTGCATGTGCCCCATGTAGCTTTTACCAGCACCAGTTTCCCCACTAAAAAGCAGGTTGTGTCCTTTGAACATGAGGCTTCTGGAGGTGCAGTGGTGTGGAGGTGCAGGCTTCTGGAGTGACAAGGAAGATCCAGCGGCAGCACTGCCGAGGGCCTCATGCATCTTGCTGGTTATGCCATCCCCAAGAGGAGAGTTGTTCGTGTGGAATTCTGCCTTCAGCTAGAGAACTGGATGAGTCTGAGAGCTAAGAAATGCCCCACAGAGAGACACCAAGGGTAGGAATGTGAGACGGGGGTCCAAAAGAGACCCGAGTGGGTCTTCTGGTCCAGCCGCTTTGCCTCAAAGATGGCTGTGCCTCTGCGTTCTCGACAAAGGACAGGTTGTGGACTGGGGGTGTCACTGGTGGGCCGCTGTGCAGCTATGGGGCCTGGGGCCTTTAGGCGGCCTCCCTAGGGTGTCATCACCAGAGACCCAGCTGCAGGGTCCTTCAGGCTCTCAGAAACCCATGACTAGTGACCACCTTTTCTGCTCCTCACAGCCCTCATCTTGGCTTCTGAAGAACCGTGGGTCGGAGGCACCGCGAATACTCCATAAATATTTGTTGAATAAATGAATAAGTAAATGAAAGCAAGAGTGGTGCTAGAAAAAGGCAAATGAGAACGAGGCTGGTCTTTCTCCATGTCTATCATGGCACTCTGTGGTTCACACTGGTGAAAGCAGTTTAACATGGTAAAAATCTGACATGCCCTTATTAAAGAGAAAATATGAAAATACTGAAATAATCTGCCTTACCTATTAGATACGCATGAGAGAGAATGGATTAGAGCTTCTCTTCCTGCCTTGTTTTAATAAATGAAATACTGGTTTGTTCTGCATCCGTATTGTGGAAATGGGTGTAGCTTCTTCATCAGAGACCAGCCATCCCCAGGAGGAGCAGCGTCTTGTGATGACAGTCAGCTACGTCACTCTTTCCTGGCATTGTGAAGGCCTGTTGATTACAGCTTAGACAAAGACAATGCCGATCTGAAATAATCATCACCTTCAGACAGACACTCGGTTCTTCACCCTTTCCTGTGTGCCACCCGCACCCCCTTCCCCAGGCGATCAAGCAAACAGAGCTTCAAGATAACCTACTCCATTGAGAATGTATTTTAATTGAGTTAATACCAAATGAAACAAGGGCTTCTTATGTGTCAGGCACTGTGCTAAACACTCTGAATGTATCATCTCATTTCATTCCTCCCAGGATACAAAAAGGAAGGCGTAGTCCGTCCCTGCAGTACAGATGAGGCATCAGAGGCAGGGGCAGTTAAGGACGCTGCCGACAGCGTTCCACTGGACAGCCGTGGTGTTGGCCTTTAAACCCACGCCGCCCCTCCAGTGCCCAGGGCAGCTGCTCACCACTCTCCTGGCAACGTTCCAACACTGCTCCCTGTTGGTGTGATGAGAAGCCAGAAACCACCCCTCTGCACGTGCCCCGAGCCTGGACTGTTCCGTTGACCCTGGGCAGCCGTCTTTGGGTGTCAACTGCAGGTTCATCCGGCTCCCCAAGGACTGGCCACAGACATTGTTTTCTCAGCCTATTTTTCTCCATCTATACCTTTTCTTCCTCAAGTTAGGGAATCCACAAGAAAGTGATGAATAACACTTTGAAGGTATTATCTCATTTCATCCCTCCCAGAAAACTCAAAAGGAAGGATTCTGTCCCTGCAGTACAGATGAGGCATCAGAAGCCGAGGCCGGTCCAGCTGCCCACCCATCAGGTGGGAAGGGCCTCACGTTGTGGGAGGGAACAGTGTCTGCCCTGCGTGCAGTCACCAGGACTTCTCCTAGTCACTCGGGTGGGGAACCATTTCTCTAGTGCTTCCTGTCCCTGCCTGTGACAACACCCTCAGGGGTGGCTTCCTGTAGGACCTGGGATGCTCCCAGGATGATCATTGATGTGGAGGGACAGGGTCCTCTATCAGTGGGATCCTAGCATGGGAGGGGCGTCAGCATCTGGCCCTCTAGGGAGTCTGCCTCCAAGTAAGGGCCACCCAGTGTGGCTTCTTGCCTTTACATTCATTAGAAGGCATCAGTGCGTCCTTGCCATGTTAATCAGTAAAAGGAGTGGGCTCATTTAAATAGCTGGCGTGAGTCGGGGGTTAGGGGTTTATGACCCAGCTTTCTTCCCTTAGAAGTGCAGTTGCAGGAAGGATGTTGTTCAGAGATACCCTGACTCCCAGTGAGAGGTTCTAGCACCTTCATCGGGGACACATTAGTACACGCAGCTGGCGGCTGCCCCAGGAGCCCTCACAAGCTCCACCTACCTTTTCTCCAGGTTATTGTTTTCCTTCTCCTTCCACATGGACCTATACCCTTCTTCCTTCATTTGTATCCCTTTGCTCCATCCTGCTTCTCTCTTCTCTCTTCTCTCTTTCTCTTTCTCTTTTCTTTTCTTTCTTTCTTTTTTTTTTTTTTTTTATTTTGAGACAGGGTCTCTCTCTGTCACCCAGGCGAGTGCAGTGGCACCATCTCAGCTCACTGCAGCCTTGACCTCCCAGGCTCAAGCAATCCTCCCGCTCATCTCGAGTAGCTAGGACCACAGGCACTCACCACCACATCTAGCTAATTTTTCTTTTTAAATTTTTTGTGGAGACTAGGTCTCCTTATGTTTCCCAGGCTGGTCTCTAACTCCTGGGCTCAAGCGATCCTCCTACCTCAGCGTCTCAAAGTGCTGGGATTACAGGCATGAACCTCCGTGCCGGCTCTCTCTTTGTCTTCGCTACCTGTAGGTTGGTCAGTGGTCCACATCAATGAGGCGCCCCCTTGCATGAGTAGTCTCCCAGCCCCTGATTTTGTTACGTGCATTAAACACTACTAGAATTACCATGACAGTTTCCAAGCTGGCGCCATCCTTCACATCAGCACCAGTTGTGAATTTACTAATTTATGAAAAGGAAGCAACAACCCCAAAACCCAGTCCCAGGGGTGGGGCCGGTGGACCGTGGCCTCCGACTTAACTTGTGTGTATAAAAGTTCTTTACTAGACCTTGCAAAATCAAAAGTCTACTGAAGCCCTAACCCAAAGATGATTCAGAAACCTGCTGGCAACCACAAAAGAGCAATTTGTGTCCATTTCTAGCCGTCAGAGTTTAAAAAATATTATGGTCTTGTGGCTGGCCAGGTTGGCACTGTAGTGGCAATGGCTTCCAACTTTTTTTTTTTTTTTTTTTTTAATTTTTCCATTCTGAGTTCATCTTTGTGGAAGCCAGACCCAAGCGCAGGAGTTCAAAGCCCATGCTGTGGAGGAACTGCGACTTCAGGGGCTTCCATCCAGGTCGATATCAGTGGGTGCCTTTCCAACATGCCTCCTACTTAATTTCCTCTGTGCACGTTGATAACTCAAGTGCCTTTGAATTGCTTTCCTGTGCCCCTTCTTCAAATGTCCAAATTTAGCATCACTTCTGAGTCCTCAAATTTATTATGCTTCCTCTTCCAGACCCATTATTTGTGTATTTTTTTTTAATAACAAAACTGTAACCTCCAGAAATAGTCCGCCAGGTACTTTATGTTTTAACTGAATCTGCACTGCCTGTCATCTAGAGTCATTCATTGTGACATCATAAAAAGCAGGCCTGACAATGCATTAGCAGTCTGACTGGGCATTTGTGGATTTTCTAGTTACCATTCTGCCAGCGCAACCTACAATTCTTGTTCAAATTGAACTTTGCTGAAGAGTAATATTCATCCATTATGTTTTCAGAGCAGTTTTCTCTTTTCTGACTGACCTTTAATTTTATGCTAACCTCTATACTTCAGTCTTCATCTTCTCCGGACCCCAGATTTCCCCTTTCCAAAATTAGCCCATTCGTTACCCTGTATCAGAGGGATATTTGCACGGGGTGGTATACTGAATAGACCAAATCATGCTGAAAAAAGAAATTGCAGGCTTCCAGGCCCAGAGAGCTTTCAGAGCAAATTCTGGAGCGGAACATGGCTGAGGCCATCACAGAAGCATGTTAGGCACCTGACAGCGGGGTTGGTGAATGTGAGTCGCTCTAAAGAGATGCCCAAAGCCCCTTCTGCCAACCAGAGGAGAACGCTGCTCCTGGCTCTTTCAGTGAGACCTACAGCCTTGGCGGTCAGTTTCTGTATCTGGATACCAATGCCTAGATACAGACGCCTCCGGAAGGGGAGGGGCTTTTGAAGGAACAGGCTAGGCCAGTGTGTCATGACCATCCACTGGTCTAGAACATGACACTAGGGTTGGAAAGCAATGGAAAGCAGCAGGCATCTGCTAGACTGCAGATCTGGGAACCAGGAAGGGATCGCTGGATAAAGGCATGGCTTTAATGGGGCCTCCCCAGCCCCACCCCAATGACCACAGCGAAGCATGGCTGACTGGACTTTGAGGGCCCCCACGGGAGGACCAGGCTCAGGATTTTGTTCATGGAGGAGGGAAGGGTAACTGTTTGTCTCACTTCCCACAGAACCCCCAGTTCATTAGGCAGGCAGCAAGCCTCTGGCTGATTTCTTAAGTTAATCCACACATCTATCCCGTGCTCCTGGGTATCAGGCCCAGTGCCAGGCTGCAGCTGCCTGGGTGATAACAAGTCAGTGTGGCTCATGAGGACCTTGGAGGCCACTGAGAAGATGGGGAATGTGAGCCAGTGGTTACAGGCATTCCAAATGTTGCATTTTTTTTGTTTTTTTTTTTTTGAGACGGAGTCCTGCTCTGTACTGCCCAGGCTGGAGTGCAGTGGTGCAATCTCAGCTCACTGCAACCTCCACCTCCTGGGTTCAAGCCATTCTCCTGCCTCGGTTTCCCAAGTAGCTGGGATTACAGGCACCCACTACCACGCCTGGCTAATTTTTTGTATTTTTAGTACAGACGGGGTTTCATTCACCGTGTTGGTCAGGCTGGTCTTGAACTACTGACTTCAGGTGATCCGTCCGCCTCAGCCTCCCAAAGTGCTGGGATTATAGGCGTGAGCCACTGTGCCCAGCCCAAATGTTGCTATTCTAAGGAGAATCACTTTTTAAAAGAAGGGTATCATTTTCCATTGTGGTTGAGAAGGAGTCATGTGAATGAACAGAACTGTCTCCTAATTTTTCTCATAATTAGCTGCTGCATATGCAGTGAATAGACTTGCTCATTTTCTGTTAAACATATTGTTTTTCACATGCTCATATTTCAGATGTTTCCCAAGCAGTTGCTAGTAGTTGTTTCGCTGGCCTCATCTCTCCTGAGATGAGAGATGGGGCTGTTGGCAAGTGTAACTTCTGTTTCATCTCCGTCCCGTTCACCCGGGAATTCTGTGTAAAGACCCTGCTTGTCCCATTGAACTCATGGACACAATTTGTCTGGGCGATCACATTCCACTTTGCTTTCCTTATCTTTTTCCCACCCTGTGTTAATGTGTTCAGCATGTTTTCCTAGAAGTGCCATTGTTAATGTCTTTTAAAATGTAAGATAATTAGTTTCATTTTTCTAAAAAGAAAAATTTGATCTCATTTCCTTAAACATATCAGAAAATATATTTTTGGCTTTGAAACCCTATGCAGCAGTACACATTTTAGCTGGTAATGGGCGTCCTATAGCGAAGCTACTAGAAGAGCCATTCTTGCTAACTTGTCTGAAGGAGAAATCTACCAGAGCGACCCCCATGGGGAGTCCGCTTGCACCTGTCAGAGCCCAGCCCTTGCTAGGTACAAAATAGATGTTTATTAATTAAATGGTTTATAGTTTTCTATGTCATGTGGACTGCGTTGCAAAGTAGATAATTTAAAATTTCCCGGATGACCTGTATTTTTATTAAATTGGAATTTTGGCACCTTGTGCAAACAGAAGGAAGTTTAACCCAAAATTCTTAGTTATTTTGGTTTGTTATATATGGCAGTTTTGACAAAGTTAAAGTGATAGTGTAACATTTTTGGGTGGAGAAGAAAACCAACCACGCTCCCTCTGTAGGAAGTGACAGGCTGTTTGTATTCTTGTCCTATTTCTGTCATTTTTTATCTGTCTTCTGATTATGCTCGTGGCGTGTACTTGCACAAGTAGCACCTTAGGATTTTAGCCCCTTCTCTAAGCACACTGTGAAACCCGAATATCAATTGAGAAAAACGCGTCAAAGCCACACGGTACGGTTTCCTCCCTAAAGTCATGCAATCCAGGAAAGCGTTCACAGGACTGTCAGGAATGAGAACGGTGCTTCATAAAAGCCTACTCACCATCAGCCTAAGAGCAGAGGTAAGAGGGTAGATTGTTTCTGATGCAAAGCACCAACCGCATACTTCCTAATGATTTCTTTTAGCCTTTCACAGTGGGGTGTAACAATTGTAATGCCTTATTACATGGTAGTTTTTAAGTCTTGCCCTTGGATTTTCTATAGAGTCTGGGAGCCTATAGACAGTAGGTGCTGAAGACTTTTCAGTGGTTCATGTTCTACAGCATTTCTCAGGCTACTGATGGGCGGTCACACAGGAGTCCCCAGGGGAGGACTCTGTGGCTTCTGGAGCTGCAAGCCTGGCTCAGCTAAAGTGGGGAGGGAGGGAGGAAAGGGGCTATGCAGAGGGGCCAGTGACGATGGCTTTCAAAATGACTAATCTGTGTCGAACCTGACCAGGAAGCAGTCTTCTCAGCATTCAAAACCCAAATGCTCAAAACATAATTTCAATGACAACAAAAGCAACACAGAAATTGTGACCTCCTACCGTGCCCGGTGTTAAGACAGTACAGGTCTTATACCATGTACAGGTCGTTAACACAGAAGCATTGAGGCTGCTCAGTGGCAAATGTCTTACCTCAGATTGATTTTGGATATTTTCTGGTTTTCCAGCCCATAACTAAGCTTTGCTGTAAATGACTGCCTAACAAGTTAACAGGGGGTAGAAGTAGATACAGAATTATTGTTATTATCATTATTATTATTATTATTATTATTATTGAGATGGAGTCTTGCTCTGTCGCCCAGGCTGGAGTGCAGTGGCATGGTCTCAGCTCACTGCAACCTCCTCCTCCCGGGTTCAAGCGATTCTCCCACCTCAGCCTCCCGGGTAGCTAGGATTACAGATGCCCGCCACCACACCCGGCCGATTTTTATATTTTTAGTAGAGACAGGGTTTCACTGTGTTGGCCAGGCTGGTCTCATACTTCTGACCTCAGGTGATCCACCCACCTCAGCCTCCAAAGCGCTAGGATAACAGGCATGAGCCACTGCACCCGGCCTTGGATACAGAGTTTGAGGGGCTATCCTTACCTTTTAAGGCAAAGAGGTAATTCCAAAATAAGAATAGTAGCAATAAAAATAGAAGTTTTTACCAGGGCTCCTGCCCACAGCCTTCTGCCTCTGTGATTGGAAGGGCTCTCCTGCAGCCCAGGCCCCAGCAGGGACTCTTCCAGGCTTCACGCACTGTTGCTGCATAGAACTGGTGGCCTTGCACCTCCCAGTTTCATGTTGTGTTCACTCTGCTGTGCCACCAGCTGAAAAGCAGACTGTGTTGCTGGAATCATTCGAAACCACAAAATGTATAATAACACCTAAGCACATGGGGAAAAAGAAATCGACCTCACTAGTAATCAAAGAAATGCAAATTAAAGTAGTGAGAAGTTATGGGGAAAAATAGTTGTAATAACTAGGGATGAAAAGGTTCAGCAAGACCGGCTCTCCTCTGCACGACAGGAGGGACTATAAATTGGATAGTTTATCTAAGGTCAGTTTGACAACATGCATCACACAACACCCCATGATCTACTCACTTCTTTTCTAAGGACTTACTCTAAATGATCTGAGACCTACATCACGTGTTTGTGAACAATAGTGTTTTTCAAAGTGTTTTAGAATAGAATCCACATCAATGTCCAACACTGGTAAAGGGTTAAGTAAATCCTGTGTGTGTGAGGGAATACAATTCATCCATGAACATTAAGCACCTGAGGGCGTTTTCATTACACTGGAAGAAGTAAAATGCAGGGTTAATTGAGCGTTTTAGGTTCACATTTCTTGGCTTAGAGCTCTTTCACAAATCCTTGCAGGCTGTGTAACTTGGGGAAATCATTTAACCTACCTGTGCCTCAGTTTTCTTATCTGTAAAAGCGGGAAGTAGTGGTAATTATAACGTTGAAATGAAATAATTCACTTGGCATGCTTAGCACCATGCATGGTACAGCATGGGTGCCCAGTAGATGTTAGTATTAAGCAAGTTACTTAACACCTGTGCCTCAGTTTCCTCCTCTGTAGAGTGGTATTGACAGTAGCTTCTACCTCAGAAGGATGTTGGTGAAGCTTAAATGAGTTAGTTTGCAGAAAGCACATGGCTTGGACCTAGCACACAGCAACCACCGTGTAAGCAGCTGCTGCTGTTTGTGCTACAAGTGTCAGGAAATGTTCACATAATACCAGATATCTAGTAGAATACCCAGGCTGTTCAAAAATTCACATCCTCACACACACACACAGGTGAGAAGATATGTATCAAAGTAACCATCTCTGAGTAGAAAGAGTATAAGCAATTTTTGTTTTTTGTACTTTTTTATATTCTTCCAACATTCATTTTCAACAATGAATCCATTACTGTAATAATTTAAAAAGCAAACAGCTATCCTAGACTTGAAACATTTTTCAAGTCAGCCCGGCCCATGGTTAATCAAAACTGTTGAGTCCCCTGAACTTCCTTCCAGTTAATGGTTTTTCCCTATTACATGGCCCTAGTCTCTGATCATTCATGGGTAGTAGCTTAATATTTCTGCACATTATGTTCTTCAGATACTTTCCTTTGGTTGCATTAGAACTGTGATTCTGAACTCTCCCCGCATGCTAGAGTCATTTGGGAGATTTTGAAATATACTGGCTCCTCATTAGACCAATTAAATCCAAATATTTGGAGATGGGCCCTGAGCTTTGGTATTTTTTAAAGGCTCACAAGGAAATCCTAATGTGTGGCCCAGTAGTGAACAACACCCTGCATTTGATACTACCATTTCCTGCCTTGCAGAGAGTTTCACCCCATGAACAGGGCTCCCCTCTTCCTCTAGACAATCTCAATGTAAGCCCTAGCAGTGTTTCCCAAAATTGAGGATAAGAATCCTCTGAAATGCTTGTTAAAAATACAGATGGAGCCGGGCGCGGTGGCTCACGCCTGTAATCCCAGCACTTTGGGAGGCCGAGGCGGGCGGATCACGAGGTCAGGAGATCGAGACCATCCCGGCTAAAACAGTGAAACCCCGTCTCTACTAAAAATACAAAAAATTAGCCGGGCGTAGTGGCGGGCGCCTGTAGTCCCAGCTACTTGGGAGGCTGAGGCAGGAGAATGGCGTGAACACGGGAGGCGGAGCTTGCAGTGAGCCGAGATCCCACCACTGCACTCCAGCCTGGGCGACAGAGCAAGACTCCGTCTCAAAAAAAAAAAAAAAAAAAAAATACAGATGGGGCTGGGCGCAGTGGCTCACTCCTCTAATCCCAGCACTTTGGGAGGCCGAGGTGGGCGGAAGACTTGAGGTCAGGAGTTGGAGACCAGCCTGGCCAGCATAGTGAAACCTCGTCTCTACTAAAAATACAAAAATTAGCCGGGTGTGGTGGCAGGTGCCTGTAATCCCAGCTACTCGGGAGGCTGAGGCACAAGAATTGCTTGCACCCAGGAGGCGGAGGTGGCAATGAGCCGAGATTGTGCCACTGCACTCCAGCCTGGGCGAAAGCGAGACTCAGTCTCAAAAAAAAAAAAAAAAAAAAAAATACAGATGGGCCAGGCATGGTGCTTCATGTCTGTAATCCCAACACATGAGGAGGCGGAGGTGGGAGGATTTCTTGAGGCCAGGAGATCAAGGCCAGACTGGACAACACAGCAAAACCCCATCTCTACAAAAACATCTTAAAAATTAGCAAGACATGATGGAGTGCCTGTAGTCAGTCCCAGCTACTTGGGAGGCTGAAGTGGAAGGATTGCTTGAGCCCAGGAGTTTGAGGCTGCAGTGAGCCATGATTACACCACTGCACCTAGCCTGGGTGATAGAGTGAGACCCTGTCTCAAAAATAAATATATAAATAAAAATATAAATACAAATGCCTGGGCCCTAACCCAGACCTACCAAGTCTGAACTTTCAGTGGGAGAGACTTGGTAATGTGTATATTTTACAAGCCCACTGGGTGATGCTTACCATCAGAGAGATGAGGGGACTCTGCTAGAGACATCTTTCTCAATCTTGGCTGCACACTGGGAATCTCCGGGGACACTTGGAGAGTCTCGGATGCCTGATTGCCTCGCCCTCCATTTACCACCCACACGTCTTAAGATTGTAATGTAATGTGTCTAGGATACTGCCTGGCATCTGGATTTTTGAAGTCTTCCTGGATTCTAATGTGCAGTCAGGGTGAACAACCACCAGCAATGATGATTCTCAAAGTAAGGCCCTGGGACCAGCAGCATCAGCATCATCTGGGAACTTGCAGATTATAGAGCCCCTCTCCAGACCCGCCAGATGAGAAGCTGGGGATGGGACCCAGCAATCTCTCTCTTAGCAATTCCAGGACTCAGTGATTCTGATTCTCACTAAAGTTTCAGAACCCTTGCTTAAAAACAGTGTTTTTAAAAGCAGGTTCCCAGATTCCCTCCCAGAGATTGCACAGGAGGTCTGGACTGAGCCGGCAATATGCTGCAAGTGGTCCAAGACCACACCTTGAGAAATACTACTGAACAGTTAACCCTTGTTCCCTTGGGCATTTTTTTTTCCTTATGAGGCAGGGTCTCACCGCTGCCCGGGCCGGAGTGCAGTGGCGCAATCACAGCTCACTGCAGCCTCGAACTCCTGGGCTCAAGCAATTCTTCTACCTCATCCTCTGGAGTTGCTGAGACAGGTGGGCACTACCATGCCTGGCTGATTTTTAAATTTTGTGTAGAGACAGAGTCTTACTATGTTGCACAGGCTGGTCTCAAACTCCTGGCCTCAAGAGATTCTCCCAGCTTGGCCTCCCAACGTGTTGGGATTACAGGCATGAGCCACGGTGCCCGGCCTTCCACCAGACATTTTAATGTTTATAAGGACCTTGACATCGCTGGAGTACACCCAACATCCCTGTATTCTTGTGGGCTGCCCACTGCTGCCCCTTCTTGGCCCTTGATGCCAAAACACGTGGCTGTCTTCCAACCATAATTAATGGGATATGTTTTCTTTCAAGCTGGCAAGTACTGTGGCTGGGAACCAAGTTTTCAAAGTTGCTGACCTGAGTTTGACTTCGAATGCCAGTCACAGAAGCAGATGAAGACATGTTTCTTCTGTGCCTAACGTCTGTGACTCTTTGTTTTGTAGGTTTTGTAATCAACCCCCCTCAGCATGGTCCTCTCATCCCCCGACTGGTAACGACCAAGCCTACCGGAGAAGAGGACGGCAAGAAGCCAGGAGCCAGAAGCCGAGGGAGCACGAAAACCTGGAGGCCAGAGGAATGGCCCAAGCCCACAGCCTGCCTGTCCACGTGAGGGAGGGTCCATGGGAAGTTGGAGGAAGGTCAGAGCATGTGATGAAGAAGCCAGTTTGGGAAGAAGAATTGCGAATGTCAGGTCCTGCCAAGTGGCAGAACGTCAGCCTGGAAAGCTGGAACCAGCCAAGGAAATTAGGGAGGCAGATGTCTGATGGAGATGGGGAGAGACTGTTTCAAGACCTGTACCCATTCATTCAAGGAGAACATGTGTTGAATTCTCAAAACAAAGGGAAGTCTCGCTCACTGCCTAGAGTTCTTTCCCCCGAGAGCCTGAGTTGCACGGAAATTCCCATTCCATTAAATGAAAGACATTCACCTAAAATGCCACCGTATCCTCCCACTTGCGCACCAAATTTGGACTCCACGAGGAATTCTGAGAAGAGTGGCTGCTCAGCCCCATTTCCCCGGCCTAAGTTTGGGAGGCCCCTCAAGCCCCCATCTTACAGCTCGCACCAGCAGTCTAGGGGAGGAGCGGACAGCAGTGACTCTCAGGACAGCCAGCAGATGGACGCCTATGTCCCCAGGCATGAGCTCTGCCTGTCAGACCCTGGATTGGAACCTCCAGTGTACGTGCCTCCGCCCTCATACAGATCGCCCCCGCAGAACATCCCAAACCCCTACTTGGAAGACACGGTGCCCATAAATGTGTGTGGCGGTCACAGTCAACAGCAGTCTCCGACCGAGAAGGCTGGGGCCAGCGGTCAGCCTCCTTCAGGCCCCCCTGGAACTGGGAATGAGTATGGTGTGAGCCCCCGCTTGCCTCAGGGGCTCCCCGCACATCCCCGACCTGTCACTGCCTATGACGGCTTCGTTCAGTACATTCCCTTTGATGATCCACGGTTACGACATTTTAAACTAGCTCAGCCCCAGGGTTTCTGTGAAGACATAAAGCTTGACGATAAATCATATAACTCCAGTCCTGTCACTGCTCAAGAGCCGGCTCATGGAGGAATGCAGCCTGATGGTGCCATTTGGAATCCACAGAGCTTAATACCCCCGTCGGGGGATGAGAGAGGCCTGGTCTTGGCCGATTCCAGCCCCCGGTGGCTGTGGGGCCAGCCCCCCGGGGATGGGGAAAACAGTGGCCTCCCCAACCAGAGAGACCGCTGTGTGGCAAGGGGACAGTGGCCTGATGTGAGAGGCAGCCAGCACGGGCACACTGGAAGACAAGTTTCCTCCCCTTACTCACAGGGCGAGAGCACCTGCGAAACTCAAACCAAGCTCAAAAAGTTCCAAACTGGGACTCGGACCAAGAAAAGTTCAAAGAAAAAAATGAACGAGACTATATTTTGCTTGGTTTCTATCCCAGTGAAATCAGAATCACATCTGCCAGATAGAGATATGGACAACAATGACTTAAAGCCCAGTGCTGATCAAAAGAATGGGTCTGATAAGAGCCCGGCTCTGCAAGAACAGAGTCTGCTGAGCATGTCTTCCACCGACCTGGAGCTGCAGGCCCTCACAGGAAGCATGGGTGGGAGAACGGAGTTCCAAAAACAAGATCTAGGGGAACCAGAAGAAGACAGACAAACAAATGACCTCAGTTTCATCCACCTTACAAAGCACAGAGAACTCAAGCATTCTGGCTCTTGGCCAGGGCACCGGTACAGAGATCAGCAAACACAAACCAGTTTCTCCGAGGAGCCCCAAAGTTCGCAGCTGCTCCCTGGTGCAAAGCTGGGAGGGCCGAGTCGTGCAGCATTGAGTCCAAAATGTTCAGACCCTGCTGCCTCCGAAGCTCAGACGCACACAGCATTCCCTACCGGTGATCACAAACAGAGGCCAAGTGCCCGTAACCTGAAAGGTCACAGGTCCCTCAGCCCATCCAGCAACAGTGCGTTCTCAAGGACTTCCTTGTCCGTGGACCAGGCACCGACGCCAAAAGCAGGCCGAAGTCAGCCCTGCGTGGATGTCCACGGGCTTGGAGCCCACCCTGGGCCTAAGCGGGAGGTGGTGAAGGGGGAGCCCACGGGCCCTTGCAACAGTAAACAACTCTTTGGGCAGTTTCTCCTGAAACCGGTCAGCCGTCGTCCCTGGGATTTGATCAGTCAGTTAGAAAGTTTTAACAAGGAGCTCCAGGAAGAGGAAGAAAGCAGCAGTAGCAGCAGCAGCAGCAGCAGCAGCAGTGAGGAGAGTGAGGCGGAGCCGCAGCAGGAGAACCGTGCTCACTGCAGACAGGAGGATGTGGGCTTCCGCGGAAACAGCCCGGAAATGAGGGTTGAGCCACAGCCGAGGATGTGGGTGCCGGAGAGCCCTGTGTGTAGGTCGGGAAGAGGTGAGAGTAAGTCTGAGAGCTGGAGTGAGGAGCTGCAGCCTGGCCACCCACGTGCCTGGCCTCCATCCCCGGGCCGCTTTCGCGTGGAAGAAGGTGGCGGTGCACCTTTCTGCTCAGCAGATGGAAGCACGAGTGCAGAGAAGAGACACCTGGAGGTTAGCAACGGAATGGACGAGCTGGCAGGTAGCCCATTTCCTGTGACGAGAATGTCTTCAAGATCAAGTGACGCAAAACCACTGCCCGCGTCCTATCCAGCTGAACCTAGGGAGCCCCAGGAAAGTCCGAAAATCACCAGTGCTTTCAGCTCTGTGAAACCAAGTGAAGCGGTCCCTCGGAAGTTTGACAGTGGTGGAGAGAGGGGGGCAGGGCTCCCACTGTCCCTGTCTAACAAGAACCGAGGGCTCTCAGCTCCAGACTTACGGTCTGTGGGGCTCACCCCTGGGCAAGAACAGGGTGCCAGTGAGCTAGAGGGGTCTTTGGGTGAAGCAAGCACAATAGAAATCCCCCCAGGTGAGTCCTTGCAAGCCAGGGCTGCAAGGATCCTGGGCATTGAGGTGGCGGTGGAGTCCCTCCTGCCGGGCATCCGGAGAGCGGGACAGAACCAGCCTGCTGAGCCCGATGCAAGTGCCTGCACCCCAGAGTCCCCCCAGGAAGAGTTGCTATCTCGCCCAGCACCGGCAGATGTCCCCAGGGTGTCCACTGATGCCTTTTATGGCAGGAGGAAGTGCGGCTGGACCAAGAGCCCTCTCTTTGTAGGGGACAGGGACAGTGCCAGGCGGGCTCCTCAGGCTTTTGAGCACTCAGATGTGGACGGGGTTGTCACCAGCACAGACCCTGTCCCTGAGCCTGAGCCCAGCCCCTTGGAGTCCAAGTTCTTCGAACAAAAGGATGTGGAAACAAAACCACCCTTCAGGTCCACTTTATTCCATTTTGTAGAAAGAACCCCAAGTGTGGCAGGCTCTGAAAAGAGACTTAGAAGCCCTTCCAAAGTGATTGAAAGTTTACAAGAGAAACTGGCCTCCCCGCCTAGGAGAGCAGACCCTGACCGCCTGATGAGAATGAAAGAGGTGAGCTCAGTGTCACGGATGAGAGTCCTGAGCTTCAGGAATGCCGACTCCCAGGAGGACGCCGAGGAATTGAAGGCCACCACAAGGGGCCAGGCCGGGCTCCCGGGAGGCCTTGTGTCTCCTGGCAGTGGGGACCGTGCCCAGAGATTGGGCCACTCACTCTCTGTGTCCAAGGACAGCATCTCCAGGGAAGAGAAGGAGCATCCGGCAGCACAAAAGGAGAAGAGCATGGATCAAGACTTCTGGTGCCCAGGTGAGGAATCAGGCAGACAGGCAGGTGCTCAGTATACATTTGGAGTTTTTAGTCAGTACAAAATACCAGGTTGGTGGATAATGTAAATCTGCATATTCAGAAAAGATCAAGTTGACCCTGGGAATTGTTTTATCAAAAGATTCCTCATTTTCGAAGAATTATCCAGAAGCCATCTTTAAAATTCAAGATCTTGCAGTATATTTTATTTTTTTGAGATAGTATCTCACTCTGTCGCCTGGCTGGAGTGCAGTTGTGCAATCTCTGCTCACTGCAACCTCCGCTGCTTCCTGGGCTCAAGTGATCCTCCCACCTCAGCCTCCCGAGTAGCTGGGGCCACAGGCATGCACCACCATTTCCAGCTAATTTTTTAATTTTTTTATAGAGACGAGATCCCACTATGTTACTCAGGCTGGTCTCGAACTCCTGAGCTCAGGTGATCAGTAGAAGAGTTGAGATAAATGTCAAAAGATCCACATCATAAGCCATGGACTGGAAGGGACCTTCTGTCATTTAGTCTAAGCCTTTTCTCCCTCCCCTCCCCTCCCCTCCCCTCCCCTCCCCTCCCCTTCCCATTTTTTTCTTTTTGAGACAGAGTCTCACTCTGTTCCCCAGGCTGGAGTACAGTGGCACGATCTCGGCTCACTGCAACCTCCGCCTCCTGGGTGCAAGCGATTCTCCTACCTCAGACTCCTGAGTAGCTGGGACTACAGGCGTGTGTCACCAGGCCCAGTTTATTTTTGTATTTTTAGTAGAGATGGGGTTTCGCCATATTGGCCAAGCTGGTCTTGAACTCCTGACCTCAGGTGATCCACCCACCTTGGCCTCCCAAAGTGCCAGGATTACAGGCGTGAACCACTGAGCCCGGCCCAGTCCAAGCCTTTTACAGTAAGGGGAAAAGAAAAACTTGGTCCTTACGAGTTGAGTTAGAGGAATGCCCTCTCCTGAGCTGGGCCCTTCCCTCTTCCTACCCAGTCTCCAGCAGGTGGTTCTGCTCCTCCCACCCCTTTCTATTTTCTGTTTTGAAACCCAAGAATTTTGAAGCAGATAGAAAAGAGCTGTTGTTTCAGTTGGAAGTAGTCAGAGATTTCTATTGAACAAAAAAATGTAGGGCCGGGTGCTGTGGCTCAAGCCTGTAATCCCAACACTTTGGGAGGCCGAGGCGGGTGGATCACGAGGTCAGGAGATCGAGACCATCCTGGCTAACCCGGTGAAACTCCGTCTCTACTGAAAATACAAAAAATTAGCTGGGCGTGGCGGCGGGCGCCTGTAGTCTCAGCTACTCAAGAGGCTGAGGCAGGAGAATGGCGTGAACCTGGGAGGCGGAGCTTGTGGTGAGCCGAGATTGTGCCTCTGCACTCCAGCCTGGGCGACAGAGCAAGACTCCGTCTCAAAAAAAAAAAAAAAAAAAAAAAAATGTACATGGGCACTCTCAAGTTTCCCCCAAATACAGTGGGATTCTTAGGGGTGTTAGCCAGTGTTGCTTCTCTGCTCCTTATGCAAAACACATGATTGAAATAATCCTTCGTCGGGGCCCCGTTGGATCCTCTAGTTGGACAAGCTGGGCCTTTGCAGTGGTAGAGAATACTGAGAATGTGAAGGCTTTGCCATTATGGTAGGAAAAGGGTTACCTGCCCATTTTTTGAGCTTTCTGGATTTATTGTAGCCTTCAGCATAATTCCTCTGCAGTCCCCCTTCCTCCTCAAAAAATATGCCCACTAGACTTTAAGGTTAGTTAAAACTTGTCATAGACTTCTAAAGCAAGTTTTCTTCATCTATAAAATCAGGATGATTTTCTCAGTCCTACATCTTCCTGAAAATTGTAAGGAGTTTAAAATAAGACAAATAAATCCTGTTATAATACAGTACCAGTTGGTAAATATTTCTGTGTCTCAGTTCATGGAAACCTATTTCAGGAAGGTTTTTTGTTTTGTTTTGTTTGAGACAGAGTCTCACTCTGTGGCCCAGGCTGGAGTGCAGTGGCATGATCATAGCTCCCTGTAGCCTTGAACTCCTAGGCTCAAGCGATTGTCCTGCCTCAGCCTCCCAAGTAGCTGGGACTACAGGCATGCATCATCACACTCAGCTATTTTTTTAGTTATTTGTAGAGATGAGGTCTTGCCTACACTGCTCAGGTTGGTCTTGAATTCTTGGCCTCAAGCAATCCTCCTGCCTCAATTATGGTGCCCAGTCTAGGGAGTATTTGATAACACAAAATTTCCAGTTCAGAAAAGCACTCCTTCAATTTTTAACTTGACTATTTAGTGTGAGAAGGTCCAGTAGGTATCTAAAAACACCCAGGTAATGCAAATTTTAATTTTAGCCAGTTATTAACAACACCTCCCTCATGACGTTTTTGGGTTTTTTTTTTAACCACTGCTACTAACAAGCAGAAAATTTAATTATTTTTTTCTCCTCTCCATCTGATGCATTTGCTAATATACAATAAAATGGCCAAAAATCTGCAGGCAGAGAGCCACTCATGTTGACAGCTTCCTCGGGCATTTTCAAGTACAGTCATGCGTCGCTTAATGGGGCTGCACTCTGAGAAATGCATCATTAGCAGTTTTGTCATTGTGTGAACACCATAGAGAGTGCACTTCTACAAACCTAGATGGTAGAATCTACTACACACCTAGTCTTCATGGTAGAGCCTATTGGTCCCAGGCTGCAAACCTGTACAGCCTGTTACTGTATGGAATACTGCAGGCAATTGTAACGCAATGGAAAGCATTTGTGTATCTAAACATATCTAAAGAAAAGGTACAGGCCGTGCGTGGTGGCTCATGCCTGTAGTCCCAGCACTTTGGGAGGCTGAGGTGGGTGGATCACTTGAGGTCAGGAGTTCAAGACTGGTGTGGCCAACGTGGTGAAAACCTGTCTCTACTAAAAATACAAAAATTAGCTGGGTGTAATGGCAGGCACCTGTAATCCCAATTACTTGGGAGGCTGAGGCAGGAGAATTGCTTAAACCCGGGAGCCAGAGGTTACAGTGAGCTGAGATCGCGCCATTGCACTCCAGCCTCAGCAACAAGAGTGAAACTCCATCTCCAAAAAAACAAAAAGAAAAGGCACAGTAAAAATATGGCATAAAATATTAAAAAAAAAGAAAGGACCACTTTTGTAGGGCACTTACCATGAATGGAGCTTGCAGGACTGGAAGTTGCTCTGGGCAAGTCAGTGAGTGAGTGGTGACCGAATGTGAAGGCCTAGAAAATTCCTCTACACTACTGTAGACTTTATAAACCCTGTACACTTAGGCTACACCACATTTGTTTAAAAATTGATTGCACTATGACATGACGTCACTAGATGACAGTAATGTTTCAGCTTCATTATTATCTTATGGGACCACTGTCATCTATGTGGCCCGTCATTGACCAAGATGTTGTTCTGTGGCGCATGACCATAATCGGAGGGGAGAGCACCATTAGGGACGATATCTTACATTTGTTTTGCTCAGGTGGCCCCCTGTGGGCCTTTCATGTGATGGTCACCAGGCCTCAATATTCAAAACCACTCGTCTTGAGAGCAACTGAGGTCATATGATGGAGGTAGTAATACTTTTGACGTATGTCCACTTTTCCGCTCACTGTTGCTTCACAAGTTAGAGTAAAGCCTTGTTGTTAAGTCACTGAGAAGCGCTTGGACTTTGCTTTCCTTTTGATGTATTTAATCATTTTAAACATAAGAATCCTCATCTCTTCCCCACTGCACTGCTGCCCCCATGACCCCAGCATGCTAGAACTGCTTCATTGCTCCTAAATTTGTAGCCCATTTAAATTCAAGCATCTGTTCTGGCACTGTAACACAAGGCCATGCCATGTCTATCCGCACCACCCCACCCTACACACACACCCTTGTGCCGTGCCTGTCATATCATCAAGTGTCTTGAGATTAAAGTTGGTCGTTTCAGCTCACATGTCTTTAGTGGTCTTTCATGCCTCTGGTTAAGAAATCAACAGCCCAAAACGAGTTCGGGTCACAGACTCCCATCTTTGCTGGATGACTGATGCTCCAATTCGGAAGTGTCATCCCAGGCATTGATCGTACACAGAACCTCCTGGTTCCATCATCCTCTGTTGCAAACTCTGTTAATATGAGTCCAGGGGAAGAATGAGAAGAGATATCTGTGTGAGGCCCAAAATGAGGGAAATCGGGGAAGGCTTCATGATACCAGATCATGCCATGAGAAGGCTAGATGTTAGCACATCTCTGAGGGCGTTAATGTGTGAAATACCCACCAGGGCAGTCCTCAGTGAGTTGTCCTCAGCTGAAATGGAGCCCACAGGAAACAGGATTCTAAATTCTCCGGGTAACCACCCTACCCTCTAGACCTGTGCTGTCCAATATTGTAGCCGCTCATCACATACAGCTACTGGGCACTTGAAATATGGCTCATGCAAATTGAGATGTGCTGTAAGTGTAAGATACACACCAGATTCCAAAGACTTAGTACAAAAAAAGAATCTAAAATGTCTCAATAATTTTTATATTGGTTACATATTGAAATGATATTTTGAATATATTTGGTGAAATACAGTATTAAAATTAATTTCACCTGTTTATTTTTATGTGTTTCAACATAGCTACTAGAACATTTAAAATAATGATGGTTGGGCATGGCGGCTCATGATTGTAATCCCAGTACTTTCGGAGGCAGAGGTGGGAGGATCATCTGAGCCCAAAACCAGCCTGGGCAACATAGCGAGACCCCCATCTCTACAAAAACTGAAAAACAAAATTAGGCTTGGTAGTGCATGTCTGTAGTCCCAACTACTTGGGAGGCTGAGGGAGGAGGATCACTTCAGTCCAGGAGTTTGAGGCTGCAGTGAGCTGTGATTGTGCCACTGCACTCTAGCTTGGGTGACAGAGTGAGACCCTGTCTCTAAAAAATAATGTTTTGTGGCCCACATTATAATTTTACTGGACCTGGATAGTCCATGAGCTGAAGAAAGAGCCAGGGGACTGTGGGCAGCAGGTGTGTCCTGTGGAGGTGTCTCTAGTGTGCCTGGCACAAAAGACCACTAAAAAGGTGTGAGCTGAAATGACCATCTGTAATCTAAAGACACTTGATGGTAGGTACAACACAGCACAGATAGTAAGGGTCTCGAAGGGTGTGTGTGTTGGGTGGGGTGGTACAGACAGACATGGCATGGCCTGTTCCATGCCTAGTGTTATGTAATGTGAGGCTTAGCCTGGAAGAAACTAAGCATCTTAATAACAGGTGCTCCCACTAGCCGAAGTGTGACTTCCACACGTTCTCATAATTTCATGACCGCACACCTTATTCTCAATGGAGAAAAAGACACCTTTGCTCACAGGAGGACCCTCTCAGAATGTGAACACTCTGAGGCTGATTGAGCACAGAAATGAAGCACCCAGCTATTAATGTCTTATATTGTTTCATGGATGTTGTTAAGCATCAACAGTCAGAAAGAATTTATGTGAACTCCCCTTCCTTTTAGCCAGATTATTCCTGCGTGCAGCTGATGACGTTTGAGCAAACTTCTTTTCCTAAATGCAGAGACTGTCCCATCTGGGTAGTAATGTAGGGCTTTAAGTACTCTGAATGCTGTCTCAGTCATCACAGTCGTGATACCTGTTGTATCATACATCTGTCTCAGCCAGGTTGAAAAGGAGTGAGGAGGATGTGTAAGACATTTTGCTGCTGGAAAAATTGGAATGTCTATGGCCTTTTTAATGCACAGTTGTCCAGATGGATTTCAGAAAAGATTGTTTTTCACTTTTCTTTTTCTTTTTTTTTTTTTTTTTTTTTGAGACCGAGTCTCACTCTGTTGCCCAAGCTGGAGTGCAGTGGTGCGATCTCAGCTCACTGCCACCTCCACCTTCCAGGTTCAAATGATTCTCGTGCCTCAGCCTCCCGAGTAGCTAGAACTACAGGCATGTACCACCACACCTGGCTAATTTTTGTATTTTTAGTAGAGATGGGGTTTCGCCATGTCGGCCAGGCTGGTCTCCAACTCGACCTCAGGTTATTCACCTGTCTCGGCCTCCTAAAGTGTTGGGATGACAGGCATGAGCCACCTCGCCCGGCCAAAAGATTGTTTTTCTAACTTTTCAGATACTTCCAGATTTCCTTTTTTTTTTTTTTTAAGTGAATCACCTTTTTTGACCATGCCGAGACTTGCTGTTTTTTTTCCTTTTTCTTTTTTTCCCAGCTTTATTGAAGCATGATTGACAAAAATTGCATATATTTAAGGTATAGAACATGGTGTTTTGATTCATCTATAGATTGTGAAATGAGTACCCCAGTCAAGGCAGTTAACATAGTCATCTTCTCTCATAGTTACCAGTTTTTTTGAGTGTGTGCTGAGAACATTTGAGATGTACTCTATCAGCAAATTCCAAGTGTACATGATGGCATTAGTAACTAAAGTCACCATCCTATGCACTCAGTCTCCAGTACTTACTCATCTTATAGCTTAGGGTTTGTACCCTTTGGCCAGTATTTCCCCTTTTCCTTCACCCCAGCCCCTGGCAACCACCCTTCTACTCTCTGTTACTGTGATTTCAACTTTTTTTTTTTTTTTAAATGATTCCACATATAGGTGAGATCATGCAGTATTTGTGTTTCTGTGTCTGGCTTTTTTGACTACCATAATGTCCTGAAGTTTAATCCATGTTGTTGTAAAATGGCAGGATTTGCTTATCTTTTAGGGCCGAATAATATCCCATTGTGTGTGTATATACAATTTCTTTTTTTCTTTTTTTTTTTTTTTTTTTTGAGACAGAGTTTCGCTCTTGTTGCCCAGGCTGGAGTGCAATGGCGCCATCTCGGCTCACAGCAACCTCCGCCTCCTGGATTCAAGCGATTCTCTTGCCTCAGCCTCCCGAGTAGCTGGGATTACAGGCACGTACCACCATGCCTGGTTAATTTTTTGTGTTTTTAGTATAGATGGGGTTTTTGCATGTTGGTCAGGCTGGTCTTGAACTCCCAACCTCAGGTGATCCACCTGCCTCGGCCTCCCAAAGTGCTGGGATTACAGCCGTGAGCCACTGTGCCCGGCTATATAATTTCTTTATCCATACATCCAGTCATGAAAACCTTGATGATTAGGTAGTTTCCTATCTTGGCCATTGTAAATAATGCTGCAGTGAACTTGGCTATTGTAAATAATGCTGCAGTGCAGATATCTCTTCCATACTGATGTCCTTTCCTTTGGATACATACCCAGTCATGGGATTGCTGGATCATATGGTAGTTCTATTTTTAATTTTTTTGAGGAACTTCCATAATGTTTCCATAATGGCTGTACTCCTTCCAGATTGCTTAGACATTTTCTCTTTAAAAAATAAGAAGCCTTTGAGCTGCTATGGCAGGAAAATCTTACCACAGGAGGCGCACGTGTGAGCCTTAGGTTTGTCTGGATTCCAGACAGACATCTGTGAATTGGAGGTTGTGGGACTTGGCAGCACCCAGCAGCAGCAGTAGTGGCAGTTTAGGATGATTGCTCTTTTGTATGGTGTCCCGTTTTAGAAATCCAGGTCATCTGGGCACAGATTGGGATTTTTCCATTGACGGCAGTAGAATGGATCAGTGCGTGAGGGGCCAGACTCGTACATACCTGTGTTAGAAGGCTCTAGAAGCCTTGCGCTGACAGGTGAGCATCCAGCCCTGGGGCTGCCTAGTGGTCAGTGGTGATGAGAGACAGAAAGCCTCTCTCTGCCAGCCAAGCAGTCAGGATTTGAGGATCCTCACGCCTTCAAGGGACAGCGTTTGATCACAAAGATGCGTATTCTAAAGCAAGCTTTCTTTTGAGCTGTAATTTACCAAAAAAAAAAAAAGAAGAAGAAGAAGAAGAAGAAGAAAGAAAGATAAGACATCTACCTTAATATCAGCCAAACACATCACTGCCAGTTTGGAAACATTGCGTTTAAAGTGAAGTATATTCCACGGTGAACAGGAAGGAGCCGCCGAAGTATTCAGCAGTTCATATTTTCCCATCTGTGTTTGGGTAATGACTATGCACAATTCTTTGAAAACAGCCTTTTTGACAAATAGTTTTTTACTCCTTAGTGAAAACATGATTGTTAAAATGTCTAAAAATTAACCTTTATACACTTGTAGATTTTGTTCCCTAGACAAATTCGTGGTCTAAGGATTAAACAGAAAATAGAGCAGTTGAATATAACACTAATTTTCTTTTCTTTTCTTATTTTACAGATTCCTATGACCCTAGCAGAGTGGAGAGGGTGTGATGAAATGCCGGTGGAGCTTGCATTCCGTTGCGAATTGAGTATTCTCAAGTAGCTGGTAGATTTAGTCTATCAGCCCCACTTCCCCATGTAGAAGCTGGAAGCTGCTGAGTTTTTAGCATCCTGATAACATTCTTTACCACTGCCACTAGGAAACTTGCCATCCTCTCAGAATTGCTTTGTGGCGATAAAGCAATCGTCCGTTGAAACCATCTGTTTTTATAGCATGAAGATTTAATGCCTATAATTAGGAAGGAGTTTTCACAGAAACCCTCCCTCATGACAGATTTGACTAAGCTGGTAAATAGTTTGGTGTTGCTCTCATTCTGGGTGAAGATTTCAATGTGGAAGATCTAGCAAATGCTTTGGAAAGGCCTGTGAATGGTGTGCTCCCCTCTGTGTCTCCATGGCCTGCAGTCCATGCTCTTGTGAAGGAGTTTGGGACACTGGCTGTTGCCCGGTGTTTCAGCACTTTCAGTTTAGGGGAAATGTGAATCAATAGGTATGATCCATTTCTAATCAATTTGGCCTTCTGCTGCTGGAAGTAACTTTACTTATAAGTAACTTGCCATCAGAGAATAAAAGCAATATCTTTTAAGTTCCTGAAAAATTAAAACTTGTACTGTAATATACTAAGAGTATTATTTATCTGGCAGTGAAATATTTTGATCATTTGCAAACACGCCATTGTCTGCTTTGCACTCAGTATTATCTATTTTTATTTTCTGTATGGGTATTTAGAAATTCTTTATATGAAAAATAATTGCTGGTTTAAAATAGACCATTTTAACAAAGTGACTATATTTCTTTTTACGAAAATGCTATTTTTCTATGATGTAAACAATTGTTAGGCGGCAGATTTTTAAGGAAGTATTATTTTATTTAAGAGTCTGTATCCCTTTGTGTGAGAGGAACCCAAAGAGGGTTCACTTTTGCTTTAAAGCTCTGTCCCTTACCCACTGACAACTCTGCTACTTTTATTTTATCTTAGAAAATGTCAATATAGACATATCACAGGGTTAATAAAAGAAACTTTTCACAAAGATTTTTGTACAAGTGTAGCTATCAGGTTATATTTGAAAATAACCCTCTGAAAACCAGCCAACATTGTCATGACAATTTTTGCTGCCGTATCAACTAGAATTACCAAAAAACATAGTTTTATCTTTGTATGTGTGTGGGGATCTACCCTGAGACCATGCTTTTCTTCCCACCCTGCCACCCCACCCCTTTAAAGAAATACGTATTTTTATCTAGAATGATCTTGAATTAGTCTCTGCATATTTTTAGAAAGTGCTTGGGGACATTATATATATGCCATTACAAAAGCATTATGAGGCCTATGTATTCTACTGTGTTTAATACTGCATTAACCTGCACAAAGTTTATGCATTTTTTCATGCATTTTTTTCCTTCTTTCTAAGTAAGGTATTCCTGACAACTAACATTCCCTAAATCATTTCCCCTCCCTCCCTCCCTCCCTCCCTTCCTTTCTTCCTTCCTTCTGTCCTCCCTCCCTTGCTACCTCTTGCCCTCCTTCCTTCACCCTGTCCTCCTTTTCCCTTTTATTTTTTCCCCTTCTCTTTCATTTTATTTTCTTTTAGAGAAACCACCTTATCTATTTTTAGACATTTCGAATTCCTAAAATGTGAACCGTTGGGTGATCTGTCCTTTGGCCCTAAAACGGCTGGCCGGGCTGTCCCGGCCTGTTCTCATCTGTACCGTATGATTTTATTTCATAATAACTTTATGTATTTGGACTGTAACAAACAAAACAGAACCTAAGTCGCCCCGAAAAATCTTTCCAAGCCTTTTCAAAACACTTATCTGCAGTCCAGAATTCAGCTCTTATGAAAAGTGAGAGTGCACTCCAGTTTTCACAGCAGCAATAAGTGCGGGAAACAAAAAGATCCTCTTCCCAGGAAAAGTTGAGTGGGGAAGAGTTCAGACACTGTTGTAGCTGGTGAATCATTGAAGTCACCTGGTAGTACCAAATAAGGGCTGAGGCGCCTGGAGGTCTTTGTGGGGTCTTCCCTCTTTAAATGCAAACGTAAGAAGGTATATGTGTATATACATTTATATACGTGCACATGTATACTCGTACATGTATGCACACATACCCATACATGTATATGAACTCCGTTCTGATTTCCTCTGAAATTTTGTTGATACCATCTAAATACCTCTTTGAATCAAAATAACTTAATTTTAGCTCATTCCTCAAGAGAAAGAGAAGGATCCCCAAGGAAGAAAAACTGTTGTACCTTCTGTGATTCTCAAACCAAAATGTGATGCGCTTCTGTTTTGTTATCTTAAATTGTTGTATCATATCTTTCTGAAACCATTCTGAATTAAGTTGAAATTTTCAACATTTATACTTTAACTGTTCTAAATTTAAGCCTACATGTAAATCTTTTTTGGGGGGAAGGTAACTTGAAAAGTTTAACTTGAAAATTTGACCTTTAAACTTTCATATTCTAAGGTAAATAATAGCCTATAACCAACAACAGCTTTCCCAGAGGTCTTGAATTTAACACTAATTGTTTAGTTATTGTTTCTATTTCTCATACATACATAACTTCGTTTTTTGTGGCTGGAAGAAAAAGTTTCTATATTTTGTATTTGTCTTTGTTCTTCTCATGCACACAATTTACTGTTGGTGTTTAATAATTTGGAGCTCATAAAATTAAAAGTTGTAATTTTGACCATTTGGGCTAAAAATTATATGAGGGATTACATATGCAATGGATTAGTATTTCTTGATTTGCAAAAGAAGGGAAAATGATGGTAATTTAGCTCAAATTGCCTTTCTTTGAAGAAAATTTCTGAATGACTGAAAACCAAATATCTATATTATCACTTTCAACCTCATGTTTCTGCAAAGTACAGAAAAACTCCTCACTGACAGTGCACCCAGCCCCTGACTGGGTTTTCAGGATTATGTCCATGTGCATAACTGCTTGGATTTCTTCTTTTAAAGTCCCTAAAACATGAATCTGTTCTTTGAGATCCTGGTTTCCTTAGCAGAGTTGTAGGTTGCGGGTTTCATTCACGTGGAAATTCTAAGTAGAACTTTTGCTGCCCCATTTTACTGTTGGTGAAGGGCCGTTGTTAATGGAAGTTTACGTTTTAAAACTCAGATGACTCAGAAACCAGACTGTGATCATTTTTTGCAGCAGCAAAATGACTTATTCTGACAGCATCTCGGTTTGGGGCTTCTGAAGAAAAAGGATGAAGCTGATCTGTTGAAACAACTACTTTCCCAACTCGGAGGCAAAAGGGGCTGATAGAAGATAACATTCACCTACCATTTCATCTTGTGACCCCCAGAGATCACGTTTGCGTGTTCTGGCTGAGTTTTTTATTATTGTTTGTTTTAAATGATTAAATAATACACAATTAAATGTCAGGATAGCATCTCTTGCAAAGTGACCAGTGCAGCAGAATTGTCTTTCTATCCATATTTGAGCTTAGAGAAACATTTCCCATGTCCTAAGTTCTTAGAAGCAATTACTTTAGCGTTGGGGAGCATTGTTCTACCAGACCCATTTATGCAGGGGAGATGAAGCTTAAAAGACGGGATGTGGGGTGGGAGTGTGTTTCTTAAGCCGAAGCTGTTGCAGGCTGGGGGATTTTTGCATTTTCTTTTTGTTTTGTTTTTGACTGCAGATTCTGTACATCTGTCTGTGGGAGGAGAGTTGCTACTCAGGACAGGATTTAAGAGACACATTCCAGTGACCTTTAAGAATCTGCATGGCGGGAGGTCCTTCTCCAGGAGTGTGGGTTGGTCCACTCTGGGACCCACCACACTAAGAAGGGGGAGATGATAAAATAACATTAAAGGAAGAATGGCCTCCAGCCTGCAGGTTTTGTTGGAAAGAAATAAAAAGGGAGTCATTAAGACCATAAATTCAGATTGAGGCCTCTTGAAAAGGTTGATGTGGGCTAGCAACCTGCCTGTCGAAACAGTCCTTGGTTCATCAGCAGTGTGGGAAGGCAGCCAAGGCTCCTGCAGATTCCTGGCATCGACCTTGGAAAGCCTCTGCGATACTTGTGTGTACGAATACAGCAGAGGACAGGGAGGTCCTTGTTCTGTGGTCTCTGTTTAGTGACTGAAACTTAAACCCAAAGGCAAGCCCAGATTGTCTGGCCGTTCATCCCCATGCTTTGATAGGGGTTAGGAGGAACCCTTTCCGTATGAAAGACAGGCCCTACTAGGGCTTACAACCAAGCCAAAGGACCATCTCTTCTTTCTTCCACCTCCCTTCACCCCTGCCCCGCAGCAGAGCCGAGATGTGAGACATTCATTGTCACGGAGCAAGGAGACAAAGGCAAGTTCAAGTTGAGAAGCATATGGCAGCAAACAGAAATGAAAACCATATGTCCCAGCAAGGGGAAAAGCAGTCATTTCCAGATTATAAAAATCAATGAAGTACTCTCCACCTAGGTCAGCTGAAATTCGAGCCCTCACAGTCAGGCCTGTCAGAGAAGTTAAGCAGAAACATCTCGGGGGGACTTCTAAAATTTAGTGAAGACAAGGCCTTGCAACTCCAAAGAAACTTTTTTTCCCCCCCTTGAAACAGGGTCTTGCTCTGTTGCCCAGCCTGGAGTGCAGTGGTGCAGTCACGGCTCACTGCAGCCTCAAGCTCCTGGGCTCAAGCACTATCCCCACCTCAACCTCCTTAGTAGCTGGGACTACAGGTGCACACCACCATGCCCAGCTAACCACAGAAACTTTCATCTCTTCATTTTTTCTTTGGGCACCATTAATACCTAAGACAGGTAGAAAGGGTCCCAGAAAGACACCATTGGTAATGGCCGATTGCCGGCTGCAGTCATCGCCCCCAGATCAGGCTGGTACAGGATGCCTTAAGGTGATGAGAGGTGAGGGTGCATGAAGAATAATGAGCACAGGGAAGAGAGAAGCAGGACAAAGTAGCAGATAAAATGCCGGCAAAGCACAGATGAATGTCTTCAAGAAGCTCTTGTATTTCTCTGCACAGTGTAAATATCCTTGCTATTTCAGGATGGCGGCTGGCCTGCTCAGTAACATACATGTTCCAAATAAAGATTTTGCATGAAAGTACCTATGTCCGTTGTCTTTTACTGTGGGTGCAAGAGCTGCCCTAGAGGCTGGTTCCTGAAGGGCGGGCAGCAGGCTGCACGGGGAGCAGCTCAGATGGTGTGGGTAATGCAGGGACAGGTAGCCCACAGGGTTCCAGCACCTTTGGTCTCCACTGGGATTTCCCGGGAGTTAAAGCTCCTGTTTACATCTCCCCCAAGGCTTACTGACATTGTGGAAAGAGGCCTAGAGTTAATTTGGGAACTGGGTGTGAATATTGACTCTATCAATAACCATGTGACTTTGTACACATCACATCCCTGGCTTCTGTGTCCTCCCCAGCCTCTCCTACCAAAGGAACATAAGAATCCAATATATAGAGAACCTCCAGCACATTGTGGGTGTTGACTGCATGGAGAATGAAGCTAGAGCAGTGCCTTCTGGGGAAAATACTTGCCTGGAAGTGTTGTAGGTTTTACCATCCAGGCCTCTGTCTTGTAGGGCTATTCTGGAAGCAGAGGGAGACTCAGTGCAACATCATACTCTCCAATCGTTTCTATTGTCAGACCAATAAACCTCTAAGCTGTTGTTTCTGAGTTTTTAAAAACACGGTCCTTCTTTCCAGTGTAGGCTTCCTCTCTCTCCTGTAAGCTTTTGTAAGCTGTTTTCCTCATTTCTTCCTTGGCTCCACATGTGCAGAGCCCCAAAGCTTGAGTATCCCGGGGCCCTCTAAGTAGTATGAAATTTCAGATCACACTAAGATGTGTGTTTTAAAGTAAGGACTATCCCCTAGTTGGTTGATAAGTTAATCCACATATTAAAATATAACTGAAAAAAATCCCTTGACCACATTAATGCTAGAAGATGAAACACACAACCCAGGAATTGGGGGACTCATCCTGGGCCTGGCTCTGCCATTAACTAGCTGTGACATTGACCCCCTTTCCCTGGAACACTTCATCCTGTAAGTGGAGAGGGAGATTGAGCTCAGTTAGCTGGTTTCTTCCAACTCTAAGCTTATATAACTATTTTCTGGCAAACCTGAACGTCCATAGGGTCTTTTGTCCTGCCAGAAGGGTTCAAGAGTAAAACAATTGGAAAACTACGTCTGTACGTGACTGCGGACTGGGTCATGGCCAGGGTGGGAGTCCTGCCATTATTTCTCTCACCAGGGTGGTCCACTTCCCCCATTCCAGTAACTTATCGTGCATCTCCCCATCACCGTCGCTATGGCCCAGCCAAGGGACTGACAATATTGAATTCTCCTGACATATTTTTCTTACGTTAGGGCAGGGCACTAGGATGTTTATAAACTGGGCAGTCAGCCCAAGGCATTAATCTGCAGTCACCCACATAGACTGCTTTTCTCACTATTTGGCTGCTGGGGTCCTTTTAAATACACTTAGTTTTGGAGATATTTGTGTCTCACCAGCTAAATCGCCTTTCTGCTTCTACCCCACACAGCAGTGTTTCCCCAAGTGGTCAGCTTGCAATTGACTGGCTGGAAAAGCTGCCAGTCCTACAGTCCTACGTTGCTCAGGGTTTTGGGGACCAAAACTCCATGGGAAACTGAGTGCTAGCCCATATGCCTCTGGTTTGGTTTCTGCTGGAAAGCCCAGCTTTTCTTGGAGTTAGATGAGATTTATTCTGGAGACCCTGGTCAATGTTTCTTCCCTTGACTTCCCCACTCTGTCCTGTACATTAACCGTGATTGTTTGTTGTAATTTTTTTTAATTTTAGAGATGGGGTTTCGCCATGTTTCCCAGGCTGGTCTCAAACTCCTGGGCTCAGGGGATCTGCCTGCCTCAGCCTCCCAAAGTGCCGAAATTACAGATATGAGCCACCGCACCGGCCAACCATGGGTTTTTCTACCTAATCTAACTCCACTGGTATATATATATATATTTTGAGATGAACCTTCACTTTGTTGCCCAGGCTGGAGTGCCATGGCACAATCTCAGCTCACTGCAACCTCCACCTCCCAGGTTTAAGCGATTCTCCTGCCTCAGTCTCCCAAGTAGCTGGGATTACAGGCATGCGCCACCACACCCAGCTAATTTTGTAGTTTTAGTAGAAACAGGGTTTCTCCATGTTGGTCAGGTTGGTCTCGAACTCCTGATCTCAAGTGATCCATCTGCCTTGACCTCCCAAAGTGCTGGGATTAGAGGCATGACCACCGCGCCCAGCCCCACCGGCATATTTCTGAGTTTATGATAGCAGGCTCAGCTTGTGTGGAAATAAACCCAAATCTGCATTTACGGGTTGAGCACCCCAAACCAATATGCTCCAGAGTCCAAAACTTTTTTTTTTTTTTTTGGTGGGGGGGACAGAGTCTAACTCTGTCACCCAGGCTGGAGTGCAGGGGCGTGATCTTGGCTCACTGCAAGCTCCCCCTCCTGGGTTCACACCATTCTCCTGCCTCAGCCTCCCAAGTATCTGGGACTACAGGCGCCCACCACCTCGCCCGGCTAATTTTTTGTATATTTAGTAGAGATGGGGTTTCATCATGTTAGCCAGGATGGTCTCAATCTCCTGACCTCATGATCTGCCTGCCTCGGCCTCCCAAAGTGCTGGGATTGCAGGCGTGAGCCACCTTGCCCGGCCAATCCAAAACTTTTTGAATGCCATGATGCCACAAGTGGAAAATTTCACACCTGACCACATGTGATGAGTGCACAAAATTATTTAAGATGTTATATAAAATTCCCTTTAGGCTACGTACCTAAGGTGTGTATTAAACATAGATGAATTTCATGTTTTGGCCGGTCGCAGTGGCTCATGCCTGTAATCCCAACACTTTGGGAGGCCAAGGTGGGCGGATCA